>NC_000006.12:41878181-42181212 GCF_000001405.40 Homo sapiens | reverse complement strand
TGGGGCCCACCTGTAACAGACTGTTCCACTTCCCAACTGGTATCAGGTGTCACTGCAGCAAGAGGGATTTAGGTTAGACCAGGGATAGATTATTTGCAACGAGCGATGAGTCGCAGATCTGTGGGGAGCCATGGAACACCACATGTCACCAAGGAGGGGAAGTATAAGGGACTTGCGCAGGCTCTTCTGAAAAAGTATGGATTTCTTCTTGAGAAATGAGGATTTTTTGCAGAACCACCCACCCTCTTTCACTTTTTGGCCGACACTAAAGCTTCCCAGAGTGAATGCATGCACATGCATTCAGATTCAGATCTACACTGTCATCTAAATATTCCACCCTTTTTTTCTTTTTATTTATTTGTTTATTTTTTTTAGACAGAGTCTTACTCTGTTGTCCAGGCTGGAGTGCAGTGGTGTGATCTCGGCTCACTGCAACCTCTGCCTCCCTGGTTCATGCAATTCTTCTGCCTCAGCCTCCCAGGTAGCTGGGATTACAGGAGCACACTACCATACCCAGCTAATTTTTGTATTTTTAGTAGAGACGGGGTTTCACCACGTTGGCCAGGCTGGTCTCGAACTCCTGACCTCAGGTGATCTGCCCACCTCAGCCTCCCAAAGTGCTGGGATTACAGGCATGAGCCACTGCTCCCGGCTCCCTTTTATCTTTTTGAAGAGGGGTCTCACTATGTTGCCTGGGCTTGTCTTGAACCCCTCGGCTCAAGGGATCCTCCCACCTTAGCCTCCTGAGTATTGGGGATCACAGGCATTTACCACCACACCTGGCAAAACATCCCATCCTTATCTTGCTAGTAGGATTATAAATCTCTTGAAGAAGCTATGTTTGTTTGTTTTCCCTTACTGGGGTACTCCCTAAAAACAGATATGGTGATTCTTACTGTTTTAAATTTGGTAAAATTTAAATCCCAAGGGATACCCCAAATTTGCACCTAAGAATGCTCCTGTCCACATCACACAGCCCCCCACATGTGACACATACATCACAGAGAATGCATCTCCAACCACCCCACATGCATCACCTTCTTCTCTACATTCGGCCCCGAAGCACTCTTTCCTGTTCAAAGTCAAAGGTCACCTCTGTGATGCTGCCTCTGAGTCAGACGCCTGTAGGTGTCTTCTACAGAAATCTATTCATAACTTCTCTTAGCATATTTTATTATAATGATGTTTGTCTGTGTGTCTCACCATTAGCCTATGAGTTCCTAGAGGATGAAAACTGTCTTCTTTGTACATCTAACATCTAGCATTAGTACATAGTAGGCGCTCAGTAAATGCTTGTTGAAGGGAGGCGTCAATCAATGAAATGCAAAGCGCACAAGTAGGCTCCAGGGTCCCCCAGGGCAGAATGGATGTGTGATTGCAGCACTGGGATTGAAGCTGCAGCCACTGGATCTGCAGGATTCCATAAGAGGCCTGGAAAAGCTCAGTTCTGCCTCAGAGAGTCCACGTCCAGAAGAGCATGGACTGGAGAAGCTCAGTGGGGAAAGCTGGGAAAAGCTGGGAGAGGAGTCAGAAGGGCTAGGGGGTCACCCGACGGCAGAGGGATGTTGAACAGTGCCCCCCAGCAAGGAGTGCTGCCACCAGCTGTCACTCAGAGGGGCCAGGAACCATCCTTCACTGTTCCTGGCTCTGGACTCCCACTTCTGCCTCTCTGCTGCCACCATGGACCCTAAAGAGGCGAGCTAAGCCTCTGAGTTCATTAGATTCTATCTAGGGTTAAGACAAGAACACCACCAACAGGCACCACCATACCACCCCACCCGCTAGTGCAGAAGCAGCCGGGCGGTGCACTCAGCCGGCTGCCTCAGCGGCCTCGTCAGCCCCCTCCTCGTCTTGCTCGCCATTCTGGAGCCTGCGCACGATGCGGGTAAGGTCCAGGCTTCGTGTCAGTGTGTCCAGGAGCATCTGGTCCTTCTGGACGCCCTCTATAAACTCTTCCAGGGAGAGTTCCCCTGGGGTAGAGAGAAAGGGAATCAGGGGGAGGAGGGTGTTCATTTCTGCAGTCCAGAGCACAGAACCGGGTTCTTGCCAGGGGCAGGGACAGAGCCCACGTGAGGAGAAGTCAGAGCCCCTGCTGCGGGTGCAGCAAGCAGAGGAACCCAGAGCCCAGATTCTGGTCCAGGGGCCCCTAAAAGCCAACTTTGTGGCTGGGGCAGAGGCAGGTGGAGGAAGTGACCAGCACGGGGGCCTTTGGGCCTCTCCTCCCTTCCTCACCCTCTCCTTTAGTGACCTTCCACCCCTGGTGACCCCACATCCATGGTGACCCCTCCGCTGGGGAGCCCCTCCTCGGCCCCCTCACCATCCCCGTTGACGTCAATCTTGGAGAACACTGTATCGGTGAACTCCTCTGCAGTCATGGTGGTATCGCTGCAGGGGTTAATGGCGCGAATGGCCTGGGAGGGAAGAAGGGGCAGAAGTGAGAGGGGCCCATCCTTATCCTATCTCAGGGGTAGGATTGGGGACGGTCAGAGCTTGTCCGGCTCCCAAGAGCAGTGAGGAGTAGAGTGCAGGGTACCCGGGGGCCTAGGCAGAGCTGGGACTCAAGAGTCAAACTTCTATCGTCTTTTGGTATTGATGAGGAAACTGAGGCCAAGGAAGGGAAGGAACGTGGCCTGGGTCACGCAGCTGGTGAGGCCTACAGCTGCCACCAGGATCCTCAGTCCCACATCCTGTCTCAATCCTGAGATTGTTGTTCTAACCCTGGGCTCTCAGTTCCGGGTCCCACCCCAGACCGCTGCCCCCAGCCCTGGCCGGGCCCTCTGCACCTGGATGATGGTGAGCAGCTCATCGCGGTCAATGCAGCCGTTGCCATCTACATCATAGAGCTTGAAGTACCAGCGGAGCTTCTGTTCCACCTTCCCCTTGAGGACCAAGCTGAGCGCTGCCACGTACTCCATGAAATCAATGTAGCCGTCCTGGGCGAGGGGCGCGGCCGCCGTGAGCCCATCCGGGCCCCGCTCACTCCAGCCTCAGGCCCCGCCCATCATAACCCAAGGCTCCGCCCATCTCGGCAAGCCCCAAGAGACGCTGAGGGGAGACCCGGACCCTCGGAGATGCAGCGAGGGGGCCAGCCCTGTCTCCGCCGTGACCTATCTGTCTTCCTAGACGCCCTGTATAGCCCACCCTGCCTACTCCAGAGGCTGCCAATCAAATCTAATAAGCCAGCATCCACTGGGGTGTGAATGGCTGGCGCTGTCTGTTCACAGGCATCTGGGTTTTAGCGAGCGCTGCCTGCTTCCCTGTGATTGTCAAGCATGAGCCTTTCCAGTTAGGGGAAATGGGAGACATGTGCGTAGGTGGGAGGAGGAAGAACTGCACCCCCAGGGATGGGAGCGTGGTTTGGGTGAGCTTTTGGGAGTTTCTCACCCTGCTGCCTGAGGGGCTGAGGCCCCCGGAAGGCCTTAAACACTCTGAACCCCACAGTGGGCTCATTCAGTCCCAACCCACCTCCCAGGACTGTCATCAGCACAGAGCCCAGAGAGGCCCCTAGACAGCACAGCTTGAATAAGCAAGAAAACTGCTAAAGAGGTTTCCTCTGGGGGAGGGGACACCAGGTGAGGATACTTTTGCTCTTCATTTTTTATCTTTCTGTATTGCTGGAAATTTCTACAATGAGCTGGATTGCTTTTGCAGGTTTTTTTTTTAATGTCTAAAAAGGGGCAATGGAAAAGGTGTGGATTTTTGTGCCAGAAAGATCTAAATCACCTTGGATAAGTCACATGACCTTGAGTCTCCGTATTCCCAGGTATAAAATGGAATGACAGTGTGCACTTTTCAAGATTGTGGTATGCATTAGATTCAATGAAAATATATAGCAATACTAACTTTTCTTAGTGCTCTCCATGGACTTCCTAGGCTGAGTGCTTTATTCATTTTACTCATTTAATCTCAAGCCACCCCCAAGAGGTGAATATTTTTGTCTCTAGTTTGAATGACAAAGCCAAAGTTGAGAGAGATTAGGCCAAACAGCTAGTGAATGACAAAGCCTCTCCTAAATCATCCTATATCAGTACTCAAATGCAGATGGAGATTTGCATTGATTTGTGTGCACCTGTGTGATTGTCAGACAAACCCAAGCCCAGACAAACATTTGAAGTAAGCAAAGCAAATGGCCTGTCCCCCAGGTTTCACTCCCCAGTCACACTCTGTACTCCCCAGCCCTGCACATCTGGTGCAATACCCAAAGATACAACCATTTTTTAGTGCAAGGGCTGGCACTTGCACTAAAAACTTTTTAGTTTTTATTAGAAAATGGCAAACTTTTTCTGTAAAGAGCCAAAGAGTAAATATGCAGCTTTGCAGCCAAACACCCTCTGTCATTTTACGTGAAAGCAGCCATAGACAATTCTCTACGTAAATAAATAGATGTGGTGAGTTCTAATAAAACTTCATTTACAAAAACAGGCCTGTGTGCTGTCATTTGCCTGTCCCTGTTTAACTCCTCTCTGTATCAAAACTTCTGGACAGGTGCAGTGGCTCACACCTGTAATCCCAGCACTTTGGGAGGCCGAGGCAGGTGGATCACCTGAGGTCAGGAGTTCGAGACCAGCCTGGCCAATGTGGTGAAAACCTGTCTCTACTAAAAATACAAAAATTAGCCAGGCGTGGTGGTGGGCACCTGTAATCCCAGCTACTCAGGAGGCTGAGGCAGAAGAATCACTTGAACCCAGGAGGTGGAGGTTGCAGTGAGCCGAGATCGTGCCATTGCACTCCAGCCTGGGTGACAAGAGCAAAACTCCATCTCAAAAAACAACAACAACAACAAAAAACAAAACAACAACAACAACAAAAACTTCCCAATCCTGTGTTCCATCTCCTAGCCAATCTGCTAAACTGCTCCATGCTGATGACAATGGGTCAAGACAGTATTATGCAAAGTGTGATTGTGTGCCATGGGTGTAGATGAGGCAGGTTGGGTGTTACAAAGTCACTCTTCATTTTAATATTTGCAGAGTTAAATTGATGTATATTATAAAATAACTAGCCATTAAATTCCTGATTTCTCATATATTCATTCACTCATACAATGAATATTATTAAGCACCTGCCACAATCCAGGCACTGTTCTAGGAACCAGGGATTCAACAGTGAACAAGACAAAAATCCCTGCCCACATGGAGCTCACATTCCAGCAGGGGGAGACAGGCGATAAACGTAATGGTGAAATGTTATTTAAATCTGGTATTGGAAGACGACAGGTGCTTGCGGGGAAAGGTGGGACTAGGAAATGCAGAGGTGGGAACCAGTCCCAGTTTTAAACAGAGTTTAAACCAGAAGATCACGGCAGGGGTTAGTGAGGAGACTTCTAAGCAGAGACTTGCAGCAGAGGAAGGTGTAAGCCGAGCAGAATTCTGGGGGCAGAGAGGGTCCCAGGCAGCACAAAACCCCTAAGGCGGGGGTGTGTGTGGAATAAGGGAGGAGGCCAGACTGCCTAGAAACAAGGGGTTGATTTACTTTCAGTGGAAAGACAAGGGTCAGGTTTGGTACAGTACAGGTGGTGCTCGCATGGGACACACATTAAGACATGGTTGGCTCAGCGTGGTGGCTCACGCCTGTAATCCCAGCACTATGGGAGGCCGAGGTGGGCGGATCACCTGAGGTCAAGAGTTTGAGACCGGCCTGGCCAACATAGTGAAACCCCATCTCTACTAAAAATACAAAAATTAGCCAGGCATGGTTGTGGGTGCCTGTAATCCCAGCTACTTGAGAGGCTGAGTGAGGCAGAAGAATCGCTTGAGCCCAGGAGGTGGAGGTTGCAGTGAGCCGAGATCACGCCACTGCACTCCAGTCTGGGCGACAGAGCGAGACTCCATCTCAAAAAAAAAAAAAAAAAAAAAAAAAGACATGATTAGGCAAATACAGGGTCGATGTGCCCCAGGGTTGCCCTCCCCCACCCCCACCGGCGTCATATGTGTGACTGTAAGGGTCCTTCTGCAGACATGTCTTAACCCAAAGGGTTTTCTTAGCAGGTGAGAAGATGAGATATGTCGCTGTTTGGGGGTAAGGTGTGAGGCTCAACCATCCATTTGTCCTTCCCCTCCTGTTCAGGAGTTATTCCTTCTTCGGGAGCATTTTGAGTGTTGAATGTGATGATGCCATCCCTCCCAGTCTCTGTACACAGGCTCTGGACTCTGCTCACCTGCTCCCGCTTCGGGAAAGCCCTTGGGCTCCCTCATACTACACCTGAGGTTGACACTCAAAGCCCGTAATCTACTTTGGTCCCTTATCCTTAAATATTAGTGAGTTTTAAATAGCCACTGAGCCCCAGCTTTCCCAAGAAGCCCCACCCATGATGGTGCCTGGACCTTCTGGGCAGCGAGGGAAGGAACCTCTCCCGGGTCTGCAGAGGACACGCGGCAGCGCCTCATTGCATCCTCACTTTTCAAGTGAGGGGCCACAGGGTGGGGAGCCACGTTTGCAGATTTGGGCTCTTCCACAACTATGTCTTGACCAAATAGTTCCAAATGAATGGAAGATTTACTATGAAAACCAACAAACATCTTAACTAATGCTCCCAACATCCACGGCATCATGAATATACTGGGACTGAGAGGGGAAATGATGGGCTCAAGGTCACCCAGCGGATGAAAGCTAGGGACCCAAACCCACAGTCCCAAACTCACCTTTCAGTGACCCCTCTAGCTTATCAATTAGGAAGTCCTTACCTAATGCGTCCAGGTGGCTACTGAGGAGACACAATTTGACCACGGTGTGGACCTTCAGGCTCACTTGAGAAAAGGTGATATGAGGTCACTGGGTATTTTGAAGTTGGGAGCATTCTGGGTTCTCCAGGGACCAGGCAACCCTGTCTGTCTCCAGTCCTCATGTCCGCAGAATATTATAAGTGGCCTGCCCATGCCAGACAGTGAGGCTAGAGAATCATCATCTTGCTCCCTGCTCTCTGCCCCTCTGCCCACATCCTTGGGAGCTTCAAAGGGTGTTTGCAAAAGCACCACGTATAGGACCAGCACATCGCAGGTGTTCAATGACCATCTTGGAAGTGTTTACACTCGTTTTGGAGTAAACCAAGATATGCCTGTGGCAGAGGTGGAGGAAGCCATTGGATTCAGCCTCGGATTACACTAATGTGTGGGCCTCTCTGTCTTGCCCTAGAAAGTGAGGGCAGGGACAATGTCTGATACATTTCTAACCCCCCAGTGCCTGATTCACAGTTGGTGCTCATTAAAGCACAAACATTAGATCCGTTGAAACCCTAGTGTCAAAAACCCACCTATCAAATAAACAAATGACTGTATAAATGAAGTTGCTCCCCAGCGGACACTTCTATGCTCCTCTCTGCTCTTCCTCACCCCCAGCTGGTCAGGCTTCCAGAGGGGTCCCTCCAGCACTTCCCCTCCCTGCCACTGGGCCCCTGCTCACCTTGTTGAAGTCAAAAGTCTCAAACATCTGTTCCACGTACTGGCTGGCCGACGGGCTCAGGTTCTTGAGGCCGAAGAACTGGCGGAACTCATAGAGGGTGAGTTGGCCAGAGGGGCACTCAGTCATGAACTTCTTGTACCACTGGTGGCACTCGGTGCTGCTCAGCTCCTCCACTGACTTTCCCTCCATCACGTTGCCCATTGCTCAGGCCTTCAGGGGGCTGACGTCTGAGATGGACAGGCCCTGTTCGCTGCTCCTCGCCCAAAGGTGTCTTGGCCGACAACGGGGCCGTCCTCTCTCACAGGCCTGAGTCCTTCAGGCCTGAGCAAAGAAGGGCCTGATGGATCAGATGGTACCGGGAAATGTGGAGAGGGAGAGAGCAGAAGGAAGAAGATGATGGCCCACACTCAAACTCACAGATGCCAGAGAACTGGTGTTAAGAGTCTCCACTAAATCCTTGCAGCCCCAGGGGAGACTGTACCCTGGAGAAAAGAGTTGAAAATAGAACAAGGCTTAGAGAAGCAGAGTCCTTAGGATTACAGCCTTGAGCTGTAGGTGAGAGGATTTTTTAACCCAGTTTGCAATCTTCTAATCCCTTCTTACCACCACGGAGTGGGTGTCAGCTAGAAGCTGCTCTGATCCTATGACCTTTGTGACCTTCTTCTCCTGGTTTGAGTGGATTCACAGTGGTTTTGGATTCTGCCTTCAATCATGGAATTGAGGTATATATGAGATAGAGCTGGCTTCTTGTCCAGAGATGGCCAACTGTGGGCTCTTGACAGGGCTGCTGTGTACAGTTATCCAGGCTGTGCACTGCACTTGGCCATCACAACTGAGGGGGTCCAATCATACCATGAGTGTGCTAACATTTGAGGGCACCTGGGTGGATGCAGAGTCTGTGGGCTTCCAAGATAAGCCTTGAACAGCCAGAGAGAACCCCCTCCTACATTAGCCTGCACCAGTACACAGAGACGTGCACACACATACACACACTCGTACACACTCATCCTGTTCTGGCCACACTCTCATGTTCCTGAAGGTTGCATCTCTCCCTTCTTGAGAGCCCTGAATTCATCCTTCCATCTAATTCTGAGCCTCACATCATCACCATCACCTACTAGGGGCACAGGGCAGGGGACATGGAGTGTGCGCCTGGTGCCCTGGGGTATGTGTGAGTGTGAGAGTGCAGGCACACAGGTGCATGGGTGAGCTGCTACCTGCTGGTCCTGGAAAGCTCCCAGGCCAAGCCTGGGGGCCTGTCTATGCAGCAACAGCTTTCTCTGATGCCTGGTGGGATGCGTACTCCCTAGCCACACACTTAAAAGCTGGCTCATTTATGGAACCAGCATTTGGGTGCAGGTGCACTTAACCTGGATGCTGCCAGGAAAGCTTAAAGCCAGCGCTTGCCCTGCCCTGTCTTTTTCTCTTGTTTGCCTTCCTCCTTTACATATGGGGCACACCCAGGTCTCCTAACTCATCTAGAGGGAACCACTGCCCATATTTCTGCTTTCCCCACCAGGGCCTTGGACACTTGGTCAAGTTGTGCACTGATACACAATTTATATGATTTATATAAATAATATATAATTACATGTAAATAGATTTATATAAATATACAATTTATACAACATATAACATATATCAAATACATGTGCATACATATTTCAGAATGGGCTAGGTTATGCTACAGTAACAAACCACTCTAAAATCTCAGTGGCTGAAAACAATACAAGCTTGTTTCTTGCTTACATTACTGGCTGGGTGACCTTGAGCAAGTAACTTAACCTCTCTGGGCCCCAGTTTCCTCATTCTTAAAATAGGAATAATGGCGCCCATCTGATAGGGCTGTTAAGGGGAGTAAGTGGGGCTGGGCACGGTGGCTCACACCTGTAATCCCAACATTTTGGGAGGCCGAGGCGGGTGGATCACTTGAGGCCAGGAGTACGAGACCAGCCTGGCCAACATGGTGAAACCTCATCTCTATTAAAAATACATAAATTAGCCAGGCGTGATGGTGCACACTCCTGTAATCCCAGCTACTCGGGAGGCTGAGGCAGGAGAATCGCTTGAACCCAGGAGGCGGAGGTTGCAGTGAGCCAAGATCGCACCACTGCACTCCAGCCTGAATGACAAAGCGAGACCCTATCTCAAAAAAAAAAAAAAAAAAGAGTATGTGAGTTAATATAAGAAAAGCATTTAGAACAAGGTCTGCCCCAGAGTAAGTGCCCCATAAATCTTGGCTATGATGTTATGATTTTGTATCTATTACAGCAGCATGTCTGATGTGCTGTTCACTACAATCTAGGTGCACTTATACTGCATCTTGGACACAGCAGCATCCCTGGGTTAGAGCCAATCGTGCTCTTGTCCCTTTAGCCCCATTCACTCTGGGCCCTGGACGGCCAGAAGGGCTATGTGTAGGAACAGACATCCAACCTGCCTCACACAGGCCACCTACCAGCTGTAGTCAGGCCCTAGGGAAGGTGGAGGCCTTTGTTAAAGCCTTACCAGATCCAGGCTCACGCCTGTAATCCCGGCACTTTGGGAGGCTGAGGCGGGTGGATCACAAGGTCAGGAGTTCGAGACCAGCCTGGCCAACATGGTAAAACCCCATCTGTACTAAAAATACAAAAATTAGCCAGGCATGGTGGTGGGCGCCTGTAATTCCAGCTACTTGGGAGGCCGAGGCAGGAGAATCACTTCAACCTGGGAGGCGGAGTTTGCAGTGAGCCGAGACTACGCCATTGCACTCCAGCCTGGGCGACAGAGAGAGACTCCATCTCAAAAAAAAAAAAAAAAATTGTTCATAATGAACATATGTTGCTCACAAAATCAAAGAGGATAGTTATTTTTGAAAAAGAGACAAACTGGGACTGTTTTACCTCTACTCCACATGAATTGATTGACGGAAGGTATATGGGGGTGGGGAGCTGGGTTCTCCCTGCTTCAGTCAGCTTCTCCACAACAAGTTAAGGGACGGGGAGAGAAGGACTCCTTCTGTGAACTTGCTTGGGGCCCAGCTGGAAAATGTGTCCTTGCCGAGGACTCTCAGGCCCAAGATTGGGAAATGAAGAGGTTGGGGACAAGGCAGCCGCTCATCTTTCCCTTTCTATTTAAATCCCTCTCACTCTTCATGTGTGAGTACAAATGCCACCTCCTCTGTGAAGCCTTCCCAAATCTCTCTCAAATATCTTCCTCCCACAGCATACTGACATTTTGCTTATGTGTTGTGACAGTTAATTTTAGGACTGGATGAAGGGATTACCCAACAAGCTGGTAAAGCTTTATTTCTGGGTGTTTCTGTGAGGGTGCTTGCCAAAGAGACTGGCATTTGAATTCATGGACTAAGTAAGGAGAATCTGCCTTCAGCCTATGTGGGTGGGCACCATCCAATTGGCTTAGGCCTGGACAGAAGAAAAAGGCAGGGGAAAGGTGAATTCTCTCCCTCTCTCTCTCTCTCTCTGTCCTGGAGCTGGGACACTCTTCTTCTCCTGCCCTTGGACTCCAGGACTTGCACCAGTAGCAACCCCTCCCCACTCTCACGTTCTCAGTCCTTCAGCTTCAGACCCAGAGTTACACCATCAGTTTCCTTGGCTCTGAACCCTTTGGGCTTGAACTGAGCCATGCTACTGGCTTCCCTGGTTCTCCATCTTGCAGATGGCATATTGTGGGACTTCTCAGCCTCCATAAACATGTGAGCCAATCCCCCTAATAAATCTTCTCTCATACCTCTATATATAATCCTATTAGCTCTGTCTCTCTGAAGAACTCTGGCTAATGTGTGTGTTATATTAGTTTTCTATGTTGCATAACAAATAACCACAAAGTCAGCAGTTTTAAAACTACACACATTTATTATTATTATTATTATTATTATTATTATTATTATTATTATTATTTTGAGATGGAGTTTCACTCTTGTTGCCCAGGCTAGAGTACAATGATGCGATCTCGGCTCAGCACAACCTCCTGCCTCCCAGGTTCAAGCAATTCTCCTGCCTCAGCCTCCTGAGTAGCTGGGATTACAGGCATGTGCCGCCATGCCCCACTAATTTTGTATTTTTAGTAGAGACAGGGTTTCTCCATGTTGGTCAGGGTGGTCTCAAACTCCCGACCTCAGGTGATCCACCTGCCTCAGCCTCCCAAAGTGCTGCGATTACAGGCATGAGCCACCGTGCCTGGCCACACATTTATTATCTCACAGTTTCTATGGGCCAGGAGTCCAGGCACAGCTTAGCTGGTCCTCTGCCTAGCGTCTCACAAGGCTGCTCTCAGGGTGTCACCTGGGCTGTATTTTCATCTGGAGGCTCAACTGGGGAAGAATCCACTTCCAACTTATTCAGGTTGTTGGCAGAACTCATTTTGTTGTGGCTATGTGACAAGGGAGCTGGCTTTTCACTTGACATTGCCTGGGGGACACACTCAGGTCATAGAGGCTGCCCTCTGTTCCTTGTTACACCAGCTTCCTCACCACGCTGCTTATTTCATCAAGTCAGCGAGAAGAGTCTCTCTGCAATCTGCTAAAGTCTATATAACCTAACATAATCCACAGAGAGACGTCCCATCACCTTTGCCATATTCTATGGGTTAGAATCAAGTCAAGGGCCTCACCCACACTCAAAGGGAGAGAATTTTACAAAGGTAGGAACAACAGGAGGTAGAAATCACTGGGGTCACCTTAGGGTCTATTATGACATTCACTCTTCTACAATAACACGGACATAGCATTCATTTCTTTCCAGAAGTATTATATAGGCAACTCTTCTTGCCAGCCTGCTCTAAGGAACCCAGCAAGCTCACAGAGGGTGGAGACCATTCTGTTATTTGTGTCTCGCCTGCCCCCAGCTCCTGGCACCACACATTCCACATTGTCGTGCGCTAGTTGTTCTGTTTGCCCAGCCCCGACTCATTCTCCCCCTTTCTCCTCCAGCTCTGAGCCCCAAAGACTGACCCTACAGACTGCATCACCCAGACTCTGCTGCCCTCTTGTTTCAGGCTGGGTTCATCTGCTGAGAAGCTGGAGGAAGACTGGAGGGTGGAGAGGGAGAAGAGCTGGGACATTTGTTGTCCTCACTCCTCCCTGCCAGCTCAGGGTTGGGGCAGCGGTTATTTCCTTCCACCTTCAATCACCGCTCCTGCCATAGCTCTCTGGGCTCCTGTAATCATGGCTCCCTCCCTTTGCCCCGCCAGGCATGATAAGGGCTTCCCTCTCGCTACTGTCTGGGTACATCACCATTCCCTTAACTATGCCCAGCTCTCTGTTAATAGTCCCCACATCAACTCTCCTAAATTACCGTTTTGAGAGTAATATTTGACTGACGGGCTTGAGCCCAGTAAAATATTGAGTGCATGCATGCATGCACATATGATTAAAGAAAGAATTCTTGGGGCCGGGCGCGGTGGCTCACGCCTGTAATCCCAGCACTTTGGGAGGCTGAGGAGGGTGGATCATCTGAGGTCGGGGGTTCAAGACGAGCCTGGTCAACATGGTGAAACCCCGTCTCTACTAAATATACAAAAATTAGCCGGGTGTGGTGGCGGGTGCCTGTAATCCCAGCTACTCCAGAGGCTGAGGCAGGAGAATCGTTTGAACCTGGGAGTCGGAGGCTGCAGTGAGCCGAGATCGCGCCATTGTGCTCCAGTCTGGGCAACAAGAGCGAAACTTCGTCAAAGAAAAGAAAATAAAAGAGAAAAGAAAAGAATTCTTAGGCCGGGCAGGGTGGCTCACACCTGTAATCCCAGCACTTTGGGAGGCGGAGGCGGGTGGATCATCTGAGGTCAGGAGTTCGAGACTAGCCTGGCCAACATGGTGAAACCCTGTCTCTACTAAAAATACAAAAATAAGCCGGGCATAGTGGTGCACGCCTGTGGTCCCAGCTACTCTGGAGGCTGAGGCAGGAGAATCACTTGAACCTGGGAAGCAGAGGTTGCAGTGAGACGAGATCGTGCCATTGCACTCCAGCCTGGGTGACAAGAGTGAAGCTCCAAATCAAAAAAAATTCTTGCCAGGTATGGTGGCTCACGCCTGTAATCCCAGCACTTTGGGAGGACGAGATGGGTGGATCACAAGGTCAGGAGATCAAGACCATCCTGGCTAACATGGTGAAACCCCGTCTCTACTAAAAATACAAAAAAAAAAAAAAAAAAAAGTTAGCCAGGCTTGGCGGCGTAGTCCCAGCTACTCAGGAGGCTGAGGCAGGAGGATGACGTGAACCCAGGAGGCGGAGCTTGCAGTGAGCCGAGATCGCACCACTGCACTCCAGCCTGGGCGACAGAGCGAGACTGTCTCAAAAAAAAAGAAAGAAAGAAAGAAAGAATTCTCAAAAAGCTAAAATTGGATGAAACTATGCTTGTTGAATAGGTGCACAAGTCCTGTGGGGTGGGTATTATTATTGCCATGTGAGACAAAAGGGGCTTGGGGCAGAAAATTTAAATCACCTGCTCAGGTTCACGAGCACTTTAGTGGTGGTACCAAAGTTTTCCCACCTCATCATCATGCTTTTCTCCTAAGCCTTCACACCCTGCAGAAGGGCTGGATAGAGCCAGGGGGACCCCACGAGCCCCTCACTCCAGCGCCATCTCCCTCAGTCCTCCCCTTGTGGCCCTCTGCCCAACAATTCCATTGACAGAGAGCTTGCTCCCTTTGAGGGAGGAGGGCCCCCACCCCTTGTCTCCAGCCCAGGGTGGGAATGGAATCCCCTGAGACAGGGATGCCAAGGCAAGGAGGACTGAGATCAACACCAAGGCCCCAAGGAAGCAGTATGCACAAGGTATGCGTTAGGGCACAGAGGGCCAGAGTACAGGTCACACAGCATACACAGGGAGGATTCCTGCCTTCCCTGGCTGCTCTGCCTGCAGGAATCCCTCCTGGGACAGAAGCCAGATCAGAGGAAGAGGCTCCACCTGGCGGAATGGGGCCGAGGGGAGGGAGGATGGGGCAGCTGCAGAGAGGTAGGAAGACAAACCAGGAAGAGACAGGAGGGGCAGTGATCCAGGCCAGACTAATCCCCCCCTAAGGCTGCCTGCTTGCCCCTCTACTCCACAGAAACACAGAAGGACCCTGAGCACAGGTTCAGTTGCCTCCTGGGCCTATCTCACTCAAAACAAGGTGGTACCTTGGCCGGTTTCTTTAAAGGGTTTCTAAGGGCGTCCATGGAGGCTGCATTACCAAGGTGAACCTCAAGAGGGAGCCCATTCTCCAGGGTAGGGGAGGAGGCGTTTGTTGTGGGAGTGAAGACGCCTCATGGGGATCCTGCCCCTCACCCTACACAGGCTATAGGATCTGGAAGGGAAGGGACGGTTCCTGTTAATATCTTTGCATCTTAAGGACACAGCCCACAGGGTCTGTTGGGTGACTGACTGATTGAATGAGCAAGACTTCTAGTTATACATAGACTGAAAACTTCCACTTATCTCTGCTTCTTTTCAAAATCCCACTAAAATATGAATAAATGCATGTTTTAAAGACAAAAGGAGGCCGGGCGCAGTGGCTAACGCCTGTAATCCCAGCGCTTTGTGAGGCCGAGGCGGGCGGATCACCTGAGGTCGGGAGTTCAAGACCAGCCTGTCCAACATGGAGAAACCCCGTCTCTACTAAAAATACAAAAATTAGCCGGGCATGGTGGTACATTCCTGTAATCCCAGCTACCCGGGAGGCTGAGGCAGGAGAATCGCTTGAACCTGGGAGGAGGAGGTTATGGTGAGCCAAGATTGCACCATTGCACTCCAGCCTGGGCAACAAGAGCAAAACTCCGTCTCAAAAAAGGAAAAAGGGGCTGGGCACAGTGGCTCACGCCTGTAATCCCAGCACTTTGGGAGGCCGAGGCAGGTGGATCACCTGAGGTCAGGAGTTCAAGACCAGCCTGACCAACATGGAGAAACCCCGTCTCTACTAAAAATACAAAATTAGCAGGGCATGGCGGCCCATGCCTGTAATCCCAGCTACTCGGGAGGCTGAGGCAGGAGAATCGCTTGAACCCGGGAGGTGGAAGTTGTGGTGAGCTGAGATCCCGCCATTGGACTCCAGACTGGGCAACAAGAGTGAAACTCTTATCTCAAAAAAAGAAAAAAGAAAAGAAAGAAAGAAAAGAAAAGAGGAAAAAAGACAGCAGATACAGGGGTTCTAATAAAATTTTGGAAAACAAGACAGATGGACAAGTGGTAACTGTCTTTCTTATGAGAGTGGAGAAAGTCGAAACCTAAATGCTTTCAAAGAGGAGGAGCCTGCGGAGCTCGGGACAAACCTATTCCTGCTGCAGGAATAGGGAGGCAGAGATACCAGGTGCCCCTGAAGGCTGGGATGCAGCACAGGTGGAGCAGAAAATAGGGCTGGCCAAAGTTTGCATAAGGAACACTTAGCTTCTCCGATGCCCTCCGCAAGGCAGCAGAACAGGCATCTCCCGGCATCAGTCCCCTCCTGACCCTGATTGAAGGTTCTTCTGGAGATTTGGGCCAGAGAGCCGCTAGTCTCTAGGCACAGCCTCAGGAAGAGACATGTGCCATTCTATAAATGGAGCGTTAAAAGAAAGTCTACATATGGACAGTGAGAAAACCACCATGCGCCTTCCCCCACCCCAGCTCATTCCCGTGGCTGGCTCCTTGAACACTGATGACCAAGCAGAAGGAGAGACCTGGTACAGATGCCAGATGGTCTGAGGCCAGCCAAGGCTCATCAGGCATTTGAGGAAAACCTCTAACTCAAAAGAGAGCCTACAGCAAGCCAAGAGGAAAACGCGGATTCTATGCTGTTAGGGTCGCCTCGAGGGGTCTCCACTTCCCTCCACACTGCTTACCATCTTCTCAAAGAAAGGCCCACAGGACAGCCTGGCCTTGTTGTGGGCTGCTTGTCGGGGTCTCTGGACACCTGTCTCTCCTTCCCACACCAACCCCAACCTCTCCTGCACAGGAATTATGCCCCACAGAATACACCACCATACCTACAGAGGGACGAGACTCCTAGGAATGAAACCAGCTGAATTCACCCTGTGGTGTGCTGGTAAATGTTTAATGATGAGCTCTCTGGAAAAAAGAAACTCCAATTTGTAGGCATTTGCTCACTTCTGTGGTGTAAATGCTCCCACCACAGCTGATTCCAAACTGCCAACAGGAAGTCACTGATTGTGGGCCGGGTGCGGTGGCTCACACCTGTAATCCCAGCACTTTGGGAGGCCGAGGTGGGCAGATCACAAGGTCAGGAGATCAAGACCATCCTGGCTAACATGGTGAAACCCCATCTCTACTAAATATACAAAAAAAAAAAAAAAAAATAGCCGGGTGTGGTGGCGGGCACCTGTAGTCCCAGCTACTCAGGAGGCTGAGGCAGGAGAATGGCGTGAACCCGGGAAGCGGAGCTTGCACTGAGCTGAGATCACGCCACTGCACTCCAGCCCGGGCGACAGAGCGAGACTCCGTCTCAAAAAAAAAAAAAAAAGAAATCACTGATTGTGGAGTAGGGAAGACATGGGCACAACCAGCTCTTACAAGTCAGTACAAGCTGGCTCCAGCACACCACTGGGGTTCCCTCTGAATGGCAGTGACTGGGAACTCACTCAGGCCCCTGCTGTGAATCCAGTGCCCTCTGCCTCCATCCCCCTCTTCCATGCCCCATGACCCATGAGCTCAACTAGCCTCAGAGCCAGCTCTTCTAGACCAGAGGAGACGGCAAGGATGGGAAATCCTTCCCCCACCAACAAACTACAAGTCAGAAGCAGCAGCTTTATGTAAAACTGGGTCTGGGAGGGGACCTAGAGTCTGTGTTCATTCCCTGCATTCTTCCTCATTCTGCAGCAGCTGCTCCAACCAGGGTAAGATGACCTTGTAAGAGAGCAGGAGTCATGGCCAGTTGATGGATCTCTTCCTTTTTTTAAATTAATTTTTTTTTTTTGACGGAGTCTTACTCTGTCACCCAGGCTGGAGTGCAATGGCATGATTTCGGCTCACTGCAACCTCTGCCTCCTGGCTTCAAGGGATTCTCATTCCTTAGTCTCCCGAGTAGCTGGGATTATAGGCACCTGCCATCATGCCTGGCTAATTTTTGTAGAGACGGGGTTTCACCATGTTGGCCAGGCTGGTCTTGAACTCCTGACCTCAGGTGATCTGCCCACCTTGGCCTCCTGAAGTGCTGGGATTACAGGTGTGAGCCACCACACCCACCCTCTCTTCCTTGGAGGGGTCCGAGCCTGGACCATCGGGAGGCTGGAGCTAGGATGGGCTTTGCTTGGGACTCAGCTCTGGAGAAGGGTTGAGGTTACTTTTGGGGTTAGGGAACTGAGAATCAAGTCCTTCCAAGTCTTCAGAAACCTCTGGACATAACCTTACTGTATAACATCCCCATGGCCTGTTTACCTACCCACAGCCACCCATTCAGATGCCAGGGAAAGGAAGGACAAACTTTAACTGCTGCTGAGAAGAGAGACCTCCCTTTATCATTGTCAATAGGTGGGCATGGCACAGCTGTCTTAGCCCGAATATAGGTCACTCCTCCTGCAGTGAGCAGCCCTTCCCCTTGGGGACCTGAGGTCACAGGGGTGAGGGTGAAGGGTCGGGGGCTTCCGTTTGGCTCAGGCCTAGGAGCGCCACAAGACCAAGTTGGCAGGAGGCACATCAAAGCGCTTGCGGGTGTGGTCAGTGTCCCGGCGGTACAGGTAGCCACAGGTAGGCTTCTGCAAAGTGTAGAAGGGGTTCAGGGAGTTGGAGTACTGGGAGGTGTAGAAATTGAACCTGAGCTTGTCCGGATTCTGCCCCTTAGAGTCCACAACGACCGGCACATAGGCTGCTGCCAGAGACTGCTCGAGGTCCTGCTTCCACGCCCGGGGCCGGGACGAGTGTGGAGCCTTCACCCCCTTGCATGACGGTGTCTTTGGCCCATGACTGGGTACAGAGGGTTTCTGTGAGTCCTGGGAGGGGGGAAAGAAGGGGAGAGCTGAGGCATTGGATACTGGGACTTCAACTGCTATGCCAGGGGCAGAAGGGAGGAGAAAGAGCCACTGCTCAGAAGCCCCCAGAGCCACTCTGGAGCACTGCTGTGCTGACCATGGAGCCAGGGACCTCCAGAGCAGGGGAGAGCCATCAGGGTCCCCTGACCTGGCCCCCTGCTGCTGCAGAACTCTGCCTACCTACCAGAGGCAACTGCCAGCTCCCAGAGGCTAGGAACCTGGGGATTATCTTCAGTCCCTCCCCACCCCCCTTCCCTGCATCCAATCGTCTGTCCGTGTCCTTGGCCTGGCTCCTGTGTGGCCCTCCCCTCCCTCTTCCCTGCCACTGCTCCGTCAGGCCTTCGACCTCTCTATCCTGTGGGGCCCCTCCAGCTTGCCCTCCACCAGGGCTTCCTGTCTCCCACCCTCCTACTTGGTCACGCTGTGCTTCACACTCACAGAGCGAGACTCCATCTCAAAAAAAAAAAAAAAGAGTTTCGCTCTTGTTGCCCAGGCTGGAGTACAATGGCACGATCTCGGCTCACTGCAACCTCCGCCTCCTGGGTTCAAGCGATTCTTCTGCCTCAGCCTCCTGAGTAAGCTGGGATTACAGGCACCCGCCACCACGCCCGGCTAATTTTTGTATTTTTAGTACAGATGGGGTTTCACCATGTTGGCCAGGCTGGTCTCAAACTCCTGACCTCAGGTGATTCACCCGCCTCGGCCTCCCAAAGTGCTGGGATAACAGGCGTGAGCCACTGCGTCCAGCCTACTGTGTCTCAAAAAAAAAAAAAAAAAAAAAAAAAAAAAAGAATGTGGCTTCCACTCTCCAGTCCCTCCATCCCTCCACCTACCCAGCATTTCAGCCACACAGTCTACCTCTTGTTCCCTGCTCACATCCGGTACTTCCAGAGCCTGTACCTTGGCTCAGGTGTTCCCCAGCCTTGCGTGCTCTCCCTCCTGTGCACTAGGGAAATTCTGTCTTTCCCATTAGAGTTTCAGCTCCTTGAGGGCAACTATCTCATACTCTTACCCTTGACATAACAGCCTCCAAAATCCTATTTACTGTTTTACTCCAGAAGAATGCATTTAGAGAAAGCTTGATAAATGCTGGATCAATTGAACTGAATTCTAGTAAGGGGTACCCGCTCACTTTCCAGCCAGCCAGCCCATTCTATTTTATAACATATCTCATTGTTACCAAATGTGTCTCCTACTCACCCATACCTACCTCGTCCTAACCACCACTCTTGGTTGATTACTTATTGGGGTCTACTCAATCTCTAGGAGGCCCCCATTGACACATTTAGCGCCTCACATTGACATTTATTTATTCCTCTGTCACTACCCTTCCTGTGACCAAGCTATCCTGTTCACCTTCAAATCCCCACACCACGTTTCAGGTACCAGCTGTACATTTTACTAGGGACTGTCCTCACCGTGACAGCACCACCAAAGGATGAAGCATCTGTAGGCAATCATCCATCCTGCGTGTGTGTCAGGCTGGATCTATTCTGCTCCCCCAGGCTTCAGCGGTCAGGGGAATCCATTTCCTCTCCCCCAGCCTCACAGCCCTCCAGCCTCTAGGCACTGTGAGAGAACCCCTAGGTACAGGGTTAGTGGAAGTTGAGCTCCTGCCCTCTTACAAAAGAAGTCTCCTTTGCTCAAATCATGATGTATTTCCTCTGTGTTTTGTTTTGTTTTTTGTTTTTTGAGATGGAGTTTCGCTCTTGTTACCCAGGCTGAAGTGCAAGGATGCAATCTCAGCTCACTGCAATCCCCACCTCCTGGGTTCAAGCAATTCTCCTGCCTCACCCTCCCGAGTAGGTGGGATTACAGGCATGCGCCACCACACCAGGCTAATTTTGTATTTTCAGTAGAGATGGGTTTTCTCCACATTTGTCAGGATGGTCTCAAACTCCCGACCTCAGGTGATCCGCCCGCCTCAGCCTCCCAAAGTGCTGGGATTACAGGCATGAGCCACTTCACCCGGCCTCCTCTGGGTTTAATTTACAAACTATCTGCCCAGCCCAAACTTGTCCAGGGCTTTCCTCCAAAGCAGGCTTTGTTCCTATTGGTTCCTACCCAGGTATAAATGTGCCCTCAGTTTTGCAAATTTGCAGTTTTTGAAATTCTTCCTATTCTTCCAAGTTCAGCAGCAGACTTGAAACCTTCTCCAGGAACCACTGAAGACTCCTGCAGCCCCTGTCCCATCTTGTCCTCTTCTGTGCCTTCTGGACCCCTCTCAGGATGTGCTCCTTCGCTGGAGGGACTAAGGTGAGTCAGGCACACACATTTTGAAGAAGTTGTCATTCAGAGTCCTACAAGTGCACTGGGACCGCTTGCTGCAGTCTCGTCTCATCTTAGTCCCAGTATAGTCCTTTGCTAAAGTCCCAACAGGCTGTAAACGGCTCCAGCAGTCAGGACTGCGTTCTATGCATCTCTTTTTCCCTAGAGCCTACCCCAGTGCTGATGCACAGCCACAAGAAATGAGCAAGTGTTCTACAGCCTTCCCAGACTCTTCCAGGCTCAGCCCCAGGGCACAGGGGCTTATAGGCAGAGGGGCAAGCACTGGAAATGAACTGTGATAGTGGTCATCAAAGATTGTTTTCTAGCCAGGTGCAGTGGATCACACCTGTAATCCCAACACTTTGAGAGGCTGAAGTGGGAGGATCACTTGAGGCCCAGAGTTCAAGACCAGCCTGGGCAACATGGGGAGACCTTGTCTCTATAAAAAAAAAATTAAAAATTAGCCAGGCATGGTGGCATGCACCTATGGTCCTAGCCACTCAGGAGGTTGAGGCAGGAGGATGGCTTGAACCCAGGAGGTCGAGGCTGCAGTGAGCTGTGATCACACCACTGCACTCCAGCCTGGGTGACAGAGCATGACCCCATCTCAAAAAAAACAAAAGATTCTTTTCCACTTCAGTCTGTAGCACCGCACCAAACCCTGTCAGTGGATTACCTCTTCTAATCCTCACATTAACCCTTTGAGGAAGGTGTTACTATTATTAGCCCCACTTGTAATTGACAAAAACTGAAGAGGTCAGTCCCCTGTCCAGGGTCACATGACTGGTGAGGAGCAAGGCTGGGATTTGAACCCAGGTCTTTCCACACCCTGTGCTCCATGACGTGTCTTGTGCCCACTGTGGTATGTGAGCAGGGCCTGCCAGGGGCCTGTGGATCTTCTATTTCTTTCTGTCCTCATTTCATCAACCCACTGAGCTCCTGCCAGGTGTGCTGGGTGGCAGGTGATTAGCCAAGGCTGCCCTGCACAGCTTCCGGCTCACTGGAGGGCGGGGCAGCCAGATTTCCCAGTCTGGCAAGAACACTGTGGGATTTTGACTGCTGGATTTGGGCTCTGGGTTCTTGGACCCTGCATGGACAGAACAACACACTGGGAAGTGTGAGGTCTACACCATGAATCACCATCTCTTAGCAGAGCTGAGGATAGGACATGAGTTGCTTCATTCGTTCATTCACAACCATTCCTGGGCACCTCTTGGATGCCAGGCTCTTGGTGTGAAGGTGACAAAGACACCACGACTGAGCACAAGAGGGTCCCTGTGGAGTACAGTGGCTCAGCCTTGGTACCTCTGCCTCTTTGGGCTGGACAATCTTTGTTAGAGGGGTTGTCTTGTGTCTTGCAGAATTACAGTGGTGGCTTCTACCCACCAGATGCCAGTAGCACCTTCTCCCAGTCGTGACAACAAAAATGTCTCCAGTCATCGCCCAATGTCCCCTGAGGGCAGTGACAATCAGTGCTATAGGACCCATGGCAATCTCTTTATCCTTGGTAGAGGCTGACATCCTGGCCTGGAGAATGCGTCCTTTCCTGGGCTGCAAGAAGCGGCTTAGGTTTCTTTGTGTTAAGGATGTGTCTAAGCATGTGGGTTTTGTCCTCCTGACGCCACAGAAGGGCCATGAAGATGAGGGAGCTGCAGATACCCCACCCCCCATCCCTGCTCCCCACTAACCCTTCAGCCCCAAGGCTGCATCAGCCTCTTGGCCATCTTGGGCTCATGGGGTTGGGGCCAGGGGTGACAGAGGCAGGTGCTTTTAGAATGGCTGG
This sequence comes from Homo sapiens, assembly GCF_000001405.40. NCBI lineage: Eukaryota > Metazoa > Chordata > Mammalia > Primates > Hominidae > Homo > Homo sapiens. The sequence continues at coordinate 42,158,829 of NC_000006.12, read as the reverse complement.
GGAACTGAAGAGAGCAGCCCACAGATGGAAGGGTGGCACTCTTTACTCACAGGATTGAGGATCTGCCAAATGTCAGGCATTAGCCACTCAGCTCTGCAAAAGCTCCTAAGAGCCATTTGAGACATTGCCTCCATTTTTCAGATAAGGAAACTGAGGCTCGGAGGCATCAAAGCATTTTTCTGAGTTCACAGTTTGTAGAATAGCATGTAAGTAACTTGCAGAAGTCCCACAACTGGTTAGTGTGGGAACCAGGATTCAAACTCTCTCCTCCCTTTCTGCCCTAGCCCAGGCCCTGGCTTGGGCCCACCTGCCCTGGGTCCACACCTCGGCTGTGTTTAGAATGCTGCTGCTGCAACATACAGGACTCTGGGGGCAGCAGGGGTAGGGGACAGCCAGGGTCCCCGGAACATCCAGGGATGAAGCCCTCACAAAAACTGGGACACAGACAGTCTAGGGGAAGAGGTGGAAGAGGAGGAAGAGGGAGTCAGGCAGCACTAGCCCTCCCCTGCCCTTTCTAGGGGCCAAGCCAGCCTCCAAGTGACTAACCTCAGAGGGCTGAGGACACCCCATTACCTCCCCCAGGGCCTAGCAGAGCCAGCTCTGGCTGAGGGTGGGGCCTGACTGCATACTTTCCAGGTTAACATCTGGTTTCTTTTAACTGGCTATTCTTTGCTCACATGCTCCTCGTCAAGTGTGCTGGGTGTGCGCACACTGTGTATGTGACTTTAGATCATTGGTTCTCAGCCAGGGGTGATTCTTCCTCCAGAGGACATTTGGCATGCATGTTTGGAGACATTTTGGGTTGTCACACAGTGTGGGGTGGGTGCTACTGCCTTCCAGCGGGTAGGAGACAGGGATGCTGCTATGTATCCTACAATGGACAGCCCCCGCAACAAAGAATCATCAGCGTCCAATGTCAAAAGCGCCAAGGTTGAGAAACCCTGGTTTAGAGGGTTGAGGAAGAAGCCCCATCTCCCCTACTGCTTCCCTCATTTCCATTCTACAGGGAGTGATGAAGTTACAGGACAAGTAGAGATTCTCACCAGCCCCTCCCCTCCCTTGGGAATCCCATGATCCTATTTTCACTTGGGTTCTAAGCTAAAGCCAAAAGAAGGAATCTAGGTAGAATTATCCCTCACTGGGCCAGCGTGGTGGCTCATGCCTATAATCCTAGCACTTTGGGAGGCCAAGGCAGGAGGATTGCTTGAGGCCAAGAGTTCAAGATCAACCTGGCCAACATAGTGAGACCCCATCTCTATTAAAAAAAAAAAAAGAAAAAAGAGCCGGCACCATGGCTCACGCCTGTAATCCCAGCACATTGGGAGGCTGAGGTGGGCAGATCACTTGAGCCCAGGAGTTTGAGACCAGCCTTGGCAACGTGGCAAAACCCCGTCTCTACTAAAAATACAAAACATTAGCTGGGTGTGATGGTGCACGCCTGTAATCCCAGCTACTTGGGAGGCTGAGGCAGGAGAATCACTTGAATCAGGGAGGAGGAGGTTACAGGGAGGAGGAGGTTACGGGGAGCTGAGATCAGCCAATGCACTCCAGCCTAAGTGACAGAGTGAGACCTTGTCTCAGAAAAAAGAAATATCCCTTCATAACCCCCATCCCCACAGGCGGACCCCACAAAGGCCTTTCAGATGCACAGTACACATGTATTAATATGTACATATATACTAATATGCGTTTGTCCCTTATGCCGGGGTTTAGAGTGAGGAAGTGCATGACTCAAGAGTGGGGCTTTCTGAGTAGGGCAAGAAGATCTCATCTGTGATATTACTACAGGTTTTCTAGGAAGGCACCCTGTCCTCTCAAATCCTCCAGGGCCATAGGCACATGGCCTTGCCCAGTGAGAAATTCCACCTGTAGCCTCCTCACTCTGGGGGAAGGCCTTGTGCCTTATTGAAATGCAAATAGCACTTGGGTGTGAAGGCTGGTGAGGGCCCCCAGGGGCACGTGGTGCTGTCCAATGTGCCTTGGCTTTGGTGTTTGAAGGTCTGAGCTCTGGGCCTGACCCTGTTCTTACAGGTCAGGCGACCTTGGGCAAGTGGCTGAGCCTCTTTGAGCTTCAGGGGCCTCATCTGCAAAATGGGGATAATAAGGCTATCTAATTCACCAGCTTGTGGTGGGGTGCCATGAGTGCTGGGAACGGTAAAGGCACAGTGCAAATAGTCATTACTCTCAGCCTCTCGGGCAGTTACACCGTGGTTTCACACACATACCTGTCTGAACCTATAGGAGAGCACGTTTCCCTTTGGGGGAGCACAGGGGCTTTGAAGGGAGTGGTTAGGGAAGCCGGGGGTAGGCCTCAGCTTCCTCATGTGACTGGGTAGCATGAGAGCCTGGAGCCAGCTACCCCAGTTCAAATTCCAGTTCCCTGCAGGGCCCGGTGGCTCACACCTGTAATTCAGCGGGAGGTTGAAGTGGGAGGATTGCTTGAGCTCAAAAGTTCAAGACCAGCCTGGGCAACATTGAGAGACCTCATCTCTATTTTATAAAAAAGTAAAAAAAAAAAAAAAAGAAAAAAAAATGGCTGAGCACAGTGGCTCACGCCTGTAATCCCAGCACTTTGGGAGGCCGAGGCAGGAGAATCACTTGAGGTCAGGAGTTCGGGACCAGCCTGGTCAACATGGTGAAACCCCGTCTCTACTAAAAATACAAAAAAATTAGCCGGGCGTGGTGGCAGGTGCCTGTAATCCCAGCCACTTGGGAGGCTGAGGTGGGGGAATCATTTGAACACAGGAGGCGGAGGTTGCACTTAGCTGAGATTGTGCCACTGCACTCCAGCCTGGGCAACAAAGCGAGTCTCAAAAAAAAAATAAATAGAATTCCAGCCCTCTCACTCACTAGCTGCCTGATCCTTAGGCAAATTATAATCTCTGTACCTCAATTTTCCGAAGTATAATGTGGGAATAACAAGAGCTCTACCTCATAGGGTTCATGTGAGGACTTAATGAGCTAGTCCATGTAAGGTGCCTAGACCTCTTAAGCACTCAAACTTTAGCTACAATTATTATTTATCTCAAGTTTGCCTTGGAGATGGTGTAACACGAACCAAACAGTCCAGGACACACTTTACAGCAGTGAAGGGGCAGAGGAAGCAAGATGGAGGGTGTCCTGTTCCCTCTCTCCATCTCCCCAGAGAGATCGCAGAGGTCCGACAGCTGGGGAGTACAAGGCAGGCAGCAGCACCAGCACCAGCACCCAACTAAGCCTTTTGTAAGAGGACCTACCTCCCAGCCGCACATGTGAGGCTGGCTGGGGCTTTCATGCTCTTTCCTGCCCATCAGGCTTCTTGTGACCCCGAGCTGACCTTCCCCAGCCCTGTGATTTCATCACACCTTGCACATCCTGGACCAGGGCCTTTCTTGATGGTGAGGTGGAACTTCTGGTGGTCAGGGAGGACTCTTGGCAGGATACTGAGAGTGCCAAGGTGGGGAGAACTTGTATGGGGCAGGGGGCATTGTGACACCTCTTTACAACACAATTCCTTCTGTCTTCCCAAGGAGACATGAGGCCAGGGCTGGGGACTGACGTTTCAGGACCTGGAAGGGTCTTTTAACCTTGACACTGGCCCACTATGCTATTCCCTCTTCCCACAAACCCATAGAACCCTAAAACTGTGGGCAGGAGGTGAATGGAGAGAGATCATCCTAATTATCAAGGTGCCTCCAGAAGTCCTAATATCCCCCCATGTCCCAATATCACTGTCAGGAAGGAAATGTACCTTGGCAACTCTTCATTCTATCTATCTATCTAATCTATCTATTTATTTATCTATCTATTTATCTATCTATCTATCATCTATCATCTACCACCTGTCAATCATCTATTTATCATCTATCTATCATCTATCTGCCTTCCAAATTACAGAGATGAGTGGATGAATGGATGGGTGGACATGAGTGGGAGGGTGGATGGACAGGTGGATGGACTGGGTTGGCAGATAGATGGTGGATGGGCCAACCCTTGTGATTTGAGCCCTGCTCATCTCCTTAGCCTCATCTCTTGCTATCTTTCCCTTGCTCTCTATGGAGTAGCTAGTTTCTTAGACATGCCCCACTCTCTCCCCTCTGAGCCTCTACATATGCCATTCCTTCTCATGGATTGCTTTGAACAGAGGGTTGGGAGATAAAGGGATGGATGAACAGGTGGATAGACAGATGGCTGAATAGGAGTGACCATGTGTGAGTGGATGGATGGATGGTCAGTAAATGGACAGATGGTGATGGCTGTGGTATAGAGGATTGCAGGTCTGGGAGTTAGAATGCCTGAGCTTGAATTCTGGCTGTACTACTTTACTAGTGTGTAACTTTGGGAAAATTAATTGACATCTCTATGCTTCTGTTTTCTCATCTGTAAAATGGGTAAAGTCCCTACCTAATAGAGTTGGGCAAAGCACTTAGGACAGTGCCTGGTACAGAGTAAGCATTGAGTAAACATCAGCTATGACTATGTGTGGGTGGGTAATTGGATTGATGGGTGGGTGGTTGAATGGGCTGTCCTGTCCCCATCTTCAAAAATCAGCTCCCCTACCTCCCTAGGGTCCTGTCTCCCCAATACCACACTTGGTAGGCAGCTTCCAGGAGTAATGTCAGAAATCCCACATGTAGGAATGACATGGGCTTCTCCCTTGGTTGAGGGGAAGGAGAGAGTTCCAGCGGGAGGTAGATAGAGCTATTGGGTGCCTTCCTGCCACACCAGCTTGGGCTGGGCCCGGAATTATTTGTTTTCTTCCTGGCCCTGAGTCAACGCTGACAAGATGCACTTTGGGGCCGAAGGCAGACTGGAAATTGGGGTGTTGATGACTTGTGTGCTGTCCCTAGATCTCACACCCTGATGGTAATGACCCCTAATTTCTAAGGAGGCTGGGAGGCACCAGGAGAGAAAGAGAAGGAGCAGCGGAGCATTAACTGGGCTTCCCCTGCCACAGCCTCTGACCGGCAATCTCCAAGCGCTCTGGGGAGGGTGGAGTCTTGTTTGGAAGGGAGGCTGGGGACATGGCATTCTGGACAGAGTGCCCAGCATCTCTGCATCTGGGGGAAAATGGCCTGAAGGAGCTATCAGGAGGGAGCCCAGGTGTCTGGGTGTGGGTTTGGGGGAGCCACGGCTTAGCACACATTGTACTTTGTCTCAGCCAAAGTGGGGTGAGGTGCTGGGCTGATAACCAGGAGAACTGGGTGACCTGAGACAAGTCCTGTCCCCTCTCCAGGCTCAGTGTCTTATGTGTATCATGAGGACATTGTGTCCCTCCACCTTGGATACTTGATGTCCAAGGTGGGGAGAACTTGTGTGGGGCAGGAGGCATTGACATCTGGTGGTAGGCCCCTGCCAGCAGTGTACCCAGCCCAGGCCATGTCAGCCTCACTGTGGGGAGCTCAAGAGGAGGCAGTGGCTGGGGAGATCGCCTTTAGGAAGTCCTGGCCAGATGAGCCATATCTGCCTTATTTCATTGGTAAATTTCATAATGGTTAAGATCATGACATCCAGACCCACTCTGCCTGGGTTTCAAATCCCAGCTCTGCCATTTCTCAGCTGTGTGACTTGCACAAATTACCTAACCTCTCTGTGCCTCAATTCCTAATCTGCAAAATGAGGATGATAATAGAATTTATCTTGAAGGCTTATGGGGACTTTGTGAGCTTAGAGCAGTGCCTACTACGTGGTAGATGCTGTGATTTATGTTATAATTTCTAAACCCTGATAACTCCTGATTTAATCCTGCCTCCTGGAGCACCTCCTTCTCTGACTTACCTGCCAACTCCAGGGATGACCTCATTTTATGCATCATCAAAGTCCCTGGAAGGTAAGGGCTGCGGTCAATACCCCACAGTGCTCAGTGGGTGTTTGGGAAGAAAGAGAAGAGACATGGAGACTCAGGGCTGACTTGGAGCACAGAAGGATCCTCTAACCACCCCCACACCTTGCACACACACAGCCTCCTTTCCTGCCTTCTCTGCTCTTAAGGTGCAGGTTAATGGTTTTTAAGTGTCCTGCTATTGCCTTGCCCTAAGTAGGCCTGGTTATCTGGACATTCTCTTTACCCCTTCTTACCTGCTGTGTAATTTGGACAAATTACTTAACCTCTCTGATCTTTACTTGTTTTTCCTTTGTTGGACCTCAAGTACACAGGGCTGAGTTATTCACATTCCTTGCTTAGCGATGCATTATCATCACTGTTCCTCCTCTCTTCTTGTGTTAATTTTTCTCCTTATCTCCATTTTCCGACCACACTTCCCACCCACCCCAGCCAAAGGCAACCATCTGAATCTGCTTAATGAGTATCTACTTGTTCATATGTGTTATTGCAAAATATATATTGTTGTTTTTATGCAGGTGGTTTTCATTTGCATAAGTGGTATTGTGTGTTTTGGGTCTCATTCTGTTATTTACTTGTGGGACTCCCTGCTGTTGATGAGACCCTCTGTGTTGCCACATAAGCATCTGCTTCCTCGCTTCCAGCTGCTGCGTCGTCCTCCTCGGAGTGCACCCACCCCATTTTACCTCTCTACTCCCCTGGATGTGGATCCCCAACTGCCTCCGGCTCCCCATCCCCAAACAACACTTCAATGACGTCACATGCATGTCCCTTTCCAGACCTGGGTGAAAGATTCTTTGGGGCACATTCCTAAGAGCGGAATTGATTGGTCATGGAGTCTGAGTAAGCATCATTTGAAGTCTTCTTTTCTCCATCCATAAAATGAACATATGGGCCTCTCCCTCACAGGGCTCATATGGCTGTAGTGGGCTCTGTGACTGACGCAGAGGAGAAGCCCAGCCAATGACACAATGACAGGTGTAGCTGCTGGTCCCTCCAGGTACCAGAGAGAGAGGGAGACAAGCTGCTTCTCGGGCAAGCTGACCTCCATATCTTTTTTTTTTTCTTTTTTTTTTTTGAGATGAGGTCTTGCTCTGTCGCCCAGGCTGGAGTGCAGTGGCGCAATCTTGGCTCACCGCAACCTCCATCTCCCGAATTCAAGCGATTCTCCTGCCTCAACATCCTGAGTAGCTGGGATTACTGGCATGCACCACCACGCCCAGCTAATATTTGTATTGTTAGTAGAGACATGGTTTCACTGTGTTGGCCAGGATGGTCTCAAACTCCTGACCTTGTGATCCGCCTGCCTTGGCCTACCAAAGTTCTGCGATTACAAGCATGAGCCACCGCACCTGGCCTGAGCCACTGCGCCCGGCCAGTGTCCCATATCTTGAATTGGAACTTTGAGCTCTGAATTTACCCAGGCCTTAAATCCCAGTTCAAACTTTGGTCTCCAGAACATGTGAGACAGGTGTGGGGCTGTGTGATTCCCTGAGGCTCTACATAGCTGAATGGTAGGACCTCCCACAGCCTGAGCACAGAGCCTGACACAGAGGAGATGCTGTGCCCAAGACAGGCTCGCCACCCTCCCTTGAAACATTTCTCCCATTTCTGACCCCTCTTTCCTCGGAGCTGGAAGTAGCCTCCTCACACAGGAGGGAAAAGACAGCCTCATTTGCTGTTCTTCCTCTGCCCTGTCAGCCAACAAGCATTTTAAACAGATGTGAAACCACACCTGAGTATTAGATCCCACCATCCCATTTTACAGATGGAGAAACTGAGGCACAGGAAGGCTCATGGTCTCACAGGAGGTTAGTGGCAGAGGTGGCACTAGAATCCACATCTCCAGGCCCTCCTGCCCCCTGCTCTAGGGCTTTTTAAAAAAACAAAATGGGCCGGGCACCGTGGCTCACGCCTGTAATCCCAGCACTTTGGGAGGCCGAGCCGGGTGGATCACCTGAGGTCAGGAGTTTGAGACCAGCCTGGCCAACATGGTGAAACCCCATCTCTACTAAAAATATAAAAATTAGCCAGGCATGATGTGGGTGCCTGTAATCCCAGCTACTCGGGAGGCTGAAGCACGAGAATTGCCTGAACCCAGGAGGCGGAGGTTGCAGTGAGCCAAGATTGCGCCACTGCACTCCAGCCTGGGTGACAGAGTGAGACTCTGTCTCAAAAACAAACAGACAAACAAACAAAAATCCATTCCATATTAAATTATGTTATTTTTATTTGTTGAGTTTTTAACTTAAAACAAATGATAGAGCAACAGGGCACATCACTAAAAAGCTTTTAAAAACTCATATGTGGCCGGGCACAGTGGATCAAGCCTGTAATCCCAGCATTTTGGGAGGCTGAGGTGGGAGGATCACTTGAGGCCAGTTCAAGACCAGCCTGGGTAACATGGCGAAACCTCATCTCTGCTAAAAAATACAAAAATTAGCTAGGTGTGGTGGCACGCACCTGGAGTCCCAGCTACTTGGGAGACTGAGGCAAGGGAATTGCTTGAACACAAGAGGCGGAGGTTGCAGTGAGCCGAGATTGCATCACTGCACTCCAGCACGGGCGACAGAGCGAGATTCTGTCTCAAAAAAACAAATAAACGAAAAAAACCCAAAAATCCATATGTAATCCTGACATTCTAGCTGGACCATCTTCACAGTTTTGTTCCCTTCCAATCCCTGGCCATTCACAAATATATATTTATGGTTATAATCTACAAATAATTTTAATTTTATTTTATTTTTGCTTTTTGTACTTAATCCATTTTTTATTTTTTATTTTTTATTTTTTGAGACAGAGTGTTGCTGTGTCACCAGGCTGGAGTGCAGTGGCCCAATCTCGGCTCACTGCAAGCTCCGCCTCCTGGGTTCACACCATTCTCCTGCCTCAGCCTCCCGAGTAGCTGGGACTGCAGGCGCCCGCCACCACGCCTGGCTAATTTTTTGTATTTTCAGTAGAGACAGGGTTTCACCATGTTAGCCAGGATGGTCTCGATCTCCTGACCTCATGATCCGCCCACCTCGGCCTCCGAAAGTGTTGGGAGACATGAGCCACTGCACCCGGCCAATCCATTTTTTAAAATGTAGACACATGCCCTTGTGCACACACACATTGTTTCAGATTGTGGGATGTGTTTTACCACGGGATGTTTTTACCTGGCCTGCAAGGTGACCTTGTAGACACCTGCCCCACCCTGTCTCCCGGATCTCAGTGGAATTTTCCTTCTTGAGTTTCTTTGTTGAATTGACATGGCTCTTCTGCAGCCTCTCATGGTCTCTGTTGTGTTTTTGCTGTTCTCTGTTTAGCATCTCCATGCCCAAAGCAGGGTAGGGAGCTTTGGCTACCTACAAGGTAGGGGGACAGAGCACACAGGTACTGAGTATCTACCATGAGCTGGACCCTCTGCTGAGCACCTTAACCCACTCTTTCATTGAATCTCATAACAACCATGTCTTTTACAGATGAACCAACTGAGACTCAAGAGAGGTGGTAACTCTGCAAGTTCACTCCCTTGAGAAGTAGCAGAGCCAGGATTCAGACCTAGTCTGCAGTCAAGGATCTTCCCCACAGTATCATAATCCCACCAAACAGCCCATGGATGAAAAGGAAAATGAGTGCCTTCCCAGCACTCCCCGAACAAACAGGGCAGACCTCAGATCCCTACACCTCAGGCGCCAGCTACGCGAGAATCTCCAAGCCCCATCTCGGGATGTGTAGGAGTCTAGCCGTCCAGAGCCCCTCAGCCTGAGCCCCTCTCCTTGAATGCAGCCAGCCCAGAGGAAAACAGAGGTAGCCGGGATTGAAGCCCACCCTACTGTGAAGGCCTAAAGAAACAGCCTCAGGAGCTGATCTGCGATAAGATGTCTTCTGCCCGGAAACAAAAGGCCCGGCAGGATGATCTGCATCCCCTCATTATCTGGGATTTGAGAATTCTGATTGAGTTTCTGAAGAGCTAGCTGCAGAGACCCAGGGTGGGGACTAGGTTGACTCTCTGGACGTTTTGGCCTGTCCTTCCCTTACTCAAGAGTACACTCCCCCAGCCTGGACCCCTTGGTGGTGTGGGAGGAAAGGCCACAGACTTGGCCAGGTAGGGTGGCTCATATCTGTAAACCCAACACTTTGGGAGGCCAAGGCGGGCAGATCACCTGAGGTTGGGAGTTTGAGACCAGCCTGACCAAAATGGAGAAACCCCATCTCTACTAAAAATACAAAATTAGCTGGGCATGGTGGCACATGCCTGTAATCCTAGCTACTAGGGAGGCTGGGGCAGGAGGATCACTTGCACCCAGGAGGCAGAAGTTGTGGTGAGCCGAGATCGCGCCATTGCACTCCAGCCTGGGCAACAAGAGCGAAACTCTGTCTCAAAAAAAAAGAAAAGACAACAGACTTGACAAAGACCTGATTGGGTCTCTGGGGAGACTGCAGCTGTGGGCCCCCAATCCCACCCTGCATTCCAGAACTGCCCAGGAAAGTTGGCTCTCAGGAGGTTACTGAGTAATCGCTGAGCAGAAATGTAATGATAGGATTGGACTTTTGTCTGTTTTGAGGGGAGCCTGTTATTTGGCTGCTTCTGTTCCTGGGGGACAGGTGTGAGGTGTGGTTATTAGATGACGGAGTGGAGGCTGAGTATCAACAGTACAGAGTGCTGAGCTGGACAGAGGATGAGGCCCTGCCCCTGCCTCAGGGAGCTCAGCGTCAAAAGCTGCCAGGCTGATGAGATGAAACTGGCAGGTTTGGTGGGACTGCTCACTGCTGAACCTAGACCTTCTAAAGACTCCTCCTCCCACCCCTATGAACAAGCCCAAGAGGGGACAGTGTTATTGCTCTCATGCTGCAGATAAAGAAGCTGACTCAGAAGCTCTCCCCGTATATGCCAAGCCTTTTCTTTTCTTTTTTCTTTTTTTTTGAGACAGAGTTTCCTCTTGTTGCCCAGGCTAGAGTGCAATGGTGCGATCTCAGCTCACCGCAACCTCTGCCTCCTGGGTTCAAGCTAGTCTCCCACCTCAGCCTCTCAAGTAGCTGGGATTACAGGCACCCACCATCACACCCAGCTAATTTTGTATTTTTAGTAGAGACGGGGTTTCTCCATGTTGGTCAGGCTGGTCTCAAACTCCTGACCTCACCTCAGGTGATCTGCCTGCCTCAGCCTTCCAAAGTGCTGGGATTACAGGCGTGAGCCACCGTGCTCGGCCTTTTTTTTTTTTTTTCTTTCTTTCTTTTTTTTTTTTTTTTTTTTGAGATGGAGTCTCACTCTCACCCAGGCTAGAGTGCAGTGGTGTGATCCCGGCTCACTGCAACCTTACCCTCCTGGGTTCAAGAGATTCTCCTGCCTCAGCCTCCCCAGTAGCTGGGATTACAGGCGCCCGTCACCACACCCAGCTAATTTTTTGTATTTTTGGTAGAGACGGGGTTTCACTATGTTGGCCAGGCTGGTCTGGAACTCCTAACCCCAGGCGATCCACCCTCCTCAGCATCCCAAAGTGCTGGGATTACAGGGATGACCCACCACGCCCAGCCACTACTTTTATTAGTTTTTTTATGTAACTTTCTGAGGTTTCTCTGTGCCAAAAGAAACAAATAAGATCATGTTTACTCTGCCCTACCTCCTGCCCTTGACAAATGGTAGCACACTATACCGTTTGGCGCAGTGGCTCACACCTGCAATCTCGCACTTTGGGAGGTTGAGACGGGCGGATCACTTACCATTTGGCTAAGTTTATCAGGTTATCTTAGAGATAACTGGACACAGCTAGCAGCTAGCTGACTCACTTGTATTTAGGGTTGCATTATGATAATTTTTTTTTTTGAAACGGAGTCTCGCTGTGTCGCCCAGCCTGGAATGAAGTGGTGTGATCTCAGCTCAGTGTGCAACCTCCGCCTCCCAGGTTTAAGTAATTCTTCTGCCTCAGCCTCCTGAGTAGCTGGGACTACAGGCACACGCCACCACGCCTGGCTAATTTTTTGTATTTTAGTAGAGACGGTGTTTCACCGTATTGCCCAGGCTGGTCTCGAACTCCTGAGCTCAGGCAATCCACCTGCCTCAGCCTCTCAAAGTGCTAGGATTACAGGCATGAGCCACCACGCCTGGCCAGGGTTGCCTTTTTATTCCATTGTGTGGATAGGATGTGCCATGGTTTGTTTATTTATTTATTTTTGAGACAGGGTTTCATTCTCACCCAGGCTGGAGGGCAGTGGCGTGATCTAGGCTCACTGCAACCTCTGCCTCCTGGGCTCAAGCGATTCTCCCACCTTAACCTCCCAAGTAGCTGGGACCACAGGCATGCACTATCACACCCGACTAATTTTTTTTTTATTTTTGGTAGAGATGGGATTTTGCCACGTTGGCCAGGCTGGTCTCGAACTCCTGGCCTAAAGTGATTAGCCCACCTCAGCTCCCAAAGCACTGGGATGACAGGCATGCACTGTGGCACCCAGCCGGCTATAGTTTATTTAAATTTAACAATTCACCTCTTGGTGGACATTTAGTTGATTCCCATTTTTCCAGCTAGCCTTTTTTTTTTTTTCTTTCTTTCTTTCTTTTTTTTTTTTTTTGGACGGAGTCTCGCTCTGTCGCCAGGCTGGAGTGCAGTGGTGTGATCTCGGCTCACTGCAAAACCTCCACTTCCCAGGTTCAAGCAATCCTCCTGCCTCAGCCTCCCAAGTAGCTAGGACTACAGGCACACGCTACCATGCCCAGCTTTTTGTAATTTTAGTAGAGACAGGGTTTTACCATGTTGGCCAGGATGGTCAGGATGGTCTCGATCTCTTGGCCTCGTTATCCACCCGCCTCAACCTCCCAAAGTGCTGGGATTACAGGTGTGAGCCACCGCACCCAGCCCCAGCTGGCTTTTTCTTTCTTTCTTTCTTTTTTTTTTTTTTTTTTGAGACAAAGTCTCACTCTTGTCCTCCAGGCTGGAGTGCAATGGCGTGATCTCGGCTCACTGCAACTTCTACCTCCCGGGTTCAAGCGATTCTCCTGCCTCAGCATCCCGAGTAGCTGGGATTACAGGCGCCTGCCACCATACCCGGCTAATTTTTGTATTTTTAGTAGAGACAGGGTTTCACCATGTTTGCCAGGCTGGTCTCGAACTCCTGACCTCATGATCTGCCCACCTCGGCCTCCCAAAGTGCTGGCATTATAGGCGTGAGCCACCGCGCCCGGCCACCCAGGTGGCCTTTTTAAGCCTTCCACACCTTGGCCAACCTTGCCGTGACCTCCCACACACTGGATAATTCCGAGCTCCCCCATCCTCAGCCCCTGAAGAGGTCTCCTGCCTACCCTCCCCAGATCCTGCAGCCCCCAAATTGCTCTGCACTTTCCCCCCTTCATTTCCTTCCTTTCAGTTACCTCCCCACTGCCCAGCTCTCCACAGGTCACTGCCTGTCTCCACAGACTATATAACAACCTGGACTCAAGAACCATGTCTTTAATTTTTCTGGCTCTTTCACAGCCCAGCGTGTGGCACACAGTGGCTCTCAAGAATATTAGTTACAGGCCGGGTGCGGTGGCTCATGCCTGTAATCCCAGCACTTTGGGAAGCCAAGGCCGGTGGATCACCTGAGGTCCGGAGTTCAAGACCAGAATGACCAACATGGTAAAACCCCATCTCTACTAAAAATACAAAAATTAGCCGGGCATGGTGGTGGGCACCTGTAATCCCAGCTACTCGGGAGGCTTAGACAGAAGAATCACTTGAATCTGGGAAGTGGAGGTTGCAGTGAGCCGAGATTGCGCCACTGCACTCCAGCCTGGGTGACAGAGAAAGACTCCATCTAAAAAATATACATATAATAATAATAATAGTTATATAGTAGAAGTTGCAAACAAATGGAGCCACTTGGCTGGCAAGGTGGCTCACGCCTATAATTCCAGCATTTTGGGAGGCTGAGGTGGGTGGATCACTTGAGGTCAGGAGTTTGAGACCAGCCTGGCCAACATGGTGAAACCCCATCTCTACTAAAAATATGAAAATTAGCTGGGCATTGTGGCGGGTACCTGTAGTCCCAGCTACTTGGGAGGCTGAGGCAGGAGAATCGTTAGAGCCCGGGAGGCGGAGGTGGCAGTGAGCCAAGATTGCATCACAGCACTCCAGCCTCGGCGACAGAGCAAGACTCTGTCTCGAAAAAAAAAAAAAAAGGAACAAAAAAACTAAAATGACATTTGAGGGGATAATTGTGAAATTCTTTTTTTGTTTGTTTGTTTTTTTTATTATTATTTATTTTTTTTTTTTTTATTTTTTTGAGACGGAGTCTTGCTCTGTCGCCCAGGCTGGAGTGTAGTGGCACGATCTCGGCTCACTGCAAGCTCCGCCTCCCAGGTTCACACCATTCTCCTGCCTCAGCCTCCTGAGTAGCTGGGACTGCAGGTGCCCGCCACCACGCCTGGCTAATTTTTTTTTTGTATTTTTAGTAGAGACGGGGTTTCACCGTGTTAGCCAGGATGGTCTCGATCTCCTGACCTCATGATCCACCTGCCTCGGCCTCCCAAAGTGCTGGGATTACAGGCGTGAGCCACCGCACCTGGCCTGTTTTTTAATTTTTTTGAGACGGAGTTTCACTCTTGTTGCCCAGGCTGGAGTGCAATGGCATGATCTTGGTTCACTGCAACCTCTGCCTCCCGGGTTCAAGTGATTCTTCTGCCTCAGCCTCCCTAGTAGCTGGGATTACAGGCACACACTTCCACGCCCAGCTGATTTTTTAAATATTTTTGGTAGAGACGGAGTTTCACCATGTTGGCCAGGCTGGTCTCAAACTCTTGACCTCAAGTGATCCACCTGCCTTGGCCTCCCAACGTGCTAGGATTACAGGCGTGAGCCACCGTGCCTGGCAATGTTAGATCTCCTGAGTGTGACAGTTGTATTGTGGCCATGTAGGAGAATGTTCCTACTCTTAGACATCGATGCTGAAGTACTGGGGGAGGCTAAGAAATGGGCCACGGTATCTACAACTTCCAAGCTTCAGCAAAATGAAAAGGAAAAGAATCCGGGAGAGAGAGAGACAGAGAGAGAGAGGGATGAATTTAGCAATGAGTTAACAATTGGTGAATCCAGGGAGAAGGGTACACAGGTGGTCATTGTACAATTCTTGTAAGTTCTCTGAAGGTTTGAAATGTTTCAGAGTGAAAAGTTGAGGGAAAACGCCTTTGGTGTAAGATCTGGGGGAAACTGAGGGGAAATGTGGCAGTGGGCCCTGTCCCCCGGAAGCTCAGCAGAAATGGCAACTTGCACCAGCCTATGCCCCCTGCTGCCCAGAAAACATCAAACTCCACCCACTTGGCCTGCACCTCTGCTCTCAGCATCTTCACGCAGGCTCTCCCCCTCCTCATCGGAGGAAATTTCCCCCGTGGATAGCCACCCCTGGCTTGGCTAGGATGTTACCCTAAGTGCCTTAAAGTACCACTGTTTGTCTCCCTGGAGAGTGAACCCAACCCTAAGTGGGCTCTACCCACTTTAGGTTTTCAAAAATTATATTCACTTAACTTCACAGAAAAAAAAGAATGTGGGCCAGGCGCGGTGGCCGACGCCTGTAATCCCAGCACTTTGGGAGGCCGAAGCCGGCAGATCACGAGGTCAGGAGTTCCAGACCAGCCTGGCTAACATGGTGAAAACCTGTCTCTACTAAAAATACAAAAATTAGCCGGGCGTGGTGGTGCGTGCCTGTAATCCCAGCTACTCGGGAGGCTGAGGCAGGAGAATCGCTTGAATCCGAGACCGGGAGGTTTCGGTGAGCCGAGATGGCGCCACTGCACTCCAGCCTGGGCAACAGAGCGAGACTCCGTCCAAAGGAAAAAAAAAAGAAAAGAAAAGAAAAGAAAAAGAAAAACAATGTGATGTACAGACACAGAATGCCAAGATTTCGTCATCCCACATTCTCTTCGGAGCCCTGTCAATGAGGATGTTTTTCCACCCTCGTCATCAGATTGGTATACTAGTTTGTCATTTTCTTGCTTTTCCCAGCTTACTTTTCTCTTACAGGCACTTCCTGATGTTCCCCGAAGCCTCACGCCCCACATATTTGAGGGGCTATAGGATGCCGTGGCGTGCTCGCTTTGGCCATCCATGTCCCTCGTGTTGGACACTAGAGCTGTCCCCGATGTACCCATACTGACCTGGTCACGAATCGCCTTGAGAGGCTGGAAACTCACCCGCCTCCTTTCCCGGACTAGGGGGAAGTGGGGTGAAGGAGGCGTGCAGGGAGGAACCTGGGGGAGGGGGTGGCCCGTCTCCCAGGCTGGGCGTGGGCCGGGCGAGGTCCCCAGCCCACCGGGCCGTGCCAACAATGGCCTGTTGTAGAAGGAGGCGGGAAGGAATGCGGCCTGGGGAGCTGGGCGGCGGCGGGGCGGGGCCCGGCCAAGCGGCTGCCTTTTACCTGGCCAGGTAGCTCGCATTTCCCGGCAAGCGGCGGCGCCCGCAGCACCTGTTGCCCGGTGCGCGGGCGGGGAGGACGGCGGGGGACATGGCCTGGTAGAGTCCCCTGGGGAGACCGTGCTGAGTTCAGTCCGGGGCAGGGCAGGGCGAGGGAGGGAAGGTCCTTCCCTGGCGCCCGCGCGGGCTGCGGCAGCATGAAAAAGAAGCAGACGGTGCAGGGCACCTTCAGCAAACTCTTCGGGAAGAAGCACACCACGACCCCCAGCACCTCCCTCTACGCCACCAATCCGCCCTGGATCTTCACCCAGGAGGCCCCGGAGGAGGGGACCGGGGGCTTCGGTGAGTACTCCGGGGACGGAGGGCGCTGGGGCGGGGACGGAGGGCGCTGGGGCAGGGCCGGCGGTGCTGTCTCCTGGAGGCGCGGAGGGGAGGGACACGTTGGAACCTGCGGACTGGCCGAGAGCAGCCGCCGGGCAGGGGAGGAGGCACCGCACAGGGGTGTCTGGGAAGGGCTGTGCGGTGAGAGAGGTGTGGGGAACGAGGGGACCCCCCCCACCACCACGGGGAGGTGGGAGAACTTTGCCGCCCCCACCTCTGACCCCAGGCCTTATTCGGAGGTGTTTAATTCCCCCTCTTGGCGAATCCTATGCTTGTGTTACTGTTAGCGGAAAGGCTTCCGGAGGTTTGCGATATCTCCCCCGACCCCCACCGCTACACCCCCATTCTGGCTGAAGCAAAAGTGTTCCTGAAGAACTGGGGGCTAAGGGGCTAAGAACTCCTCCCTCACCCTTTGCACTCCCTGTTTCCCAAGCCCACGTGGCAGAGAGGGGCCTGCTATCTGGGTGCTCACAAACTTGGCTCTGGCTAGGTGAGGCCCAGGAAAAAACAACAGGCGCAGCTGCTACCAGGTTACCAGCCTGTTTGTGACACCAAGTCACTTATTGGGGCCACAGGCTCCTGCCAGTTCAACCTGGGACCTGGGCTGTCTCTGGGCTAAGACCGAGGAGCCAGAAATGGGACAGTGGAGGCCAAGGAACCCTCTCCCTGACTGCCAGCTGCCGCTGACCCTGGAATCAGACTGGTGTGTCTCTGCAGGCCTCTAAAAGCACCGCCTTGGCTCATCCCCAGGCTCTGGCTGTGGGTCATCTTATCATTGCATCGTTTTGCAATTTGTATTCTCTATAACTAGGGGAAGCCAGCGGCTGGAGACAGAAATCCATTTCTTGTGTATGACATGTGGCTCTGGAACGCCCAGGTTGGGGGGGCAGGGGGCTTCTGGGCCCAAGGAAGGTCACCCATCACTGCTTTAGCTTGCCTGCCTTCATTCTCACCATATTATCTTCACTGATCTTTATAGCCACTGTGCTGGGACCCACAGTGGATGTCATAGCCTTGGTGCCTGCTGTTGGACTCAGTTCAGCATGCAGGTTGCCACAGCCAGGACACAAGGCACCATGGATAGGAGCAGGACGGACAAAGTGTCGCCTCTTCCTGGCACAAAGATATCAGATCAGGGGGTGAACAGAACTAACCATATGCCATTTAGCCCTTTCTGAGCCTTTGCTGTAAATGATTATTAAGCATAAAAGCAAAGAAGAGAGATGACCTCTGAGTGGAACTAGCATTCGAGCTGACAGGAGAGGGCATTCCTGGCAAAACAAACAGTAGAAGCAAAGACCAGGAGGAGCAGGGCAAGTGGAGGCATGGTGTAGGCACTCCCAGACACAGGTGTGCAGGCAAGTGCCTGTGAGCCAGGACACTTCTTTCCCTCTCAACGGAGGCACCATGGAAAGACCATTTATTAATCCCTTCTTAGGTGCAAGATGCCATTCTAAAATCTTTGTGTTACTGATTCATTGAAATCTCATCTAGAGTCAGGCACTATTATTGTCATTCCTGTTTGACAGATGAGGAGACTGAGGCACAGGGAGGTTAAGTAATATGCCCAAGATCATACAGCTTTCAATGCTGGAGGCAGCATTTTTCTAAGTCCACAATTCAATGATTTTTAGTAGACCATTTACACAGAGTTGTGCCATTATCACCACCATCTGGTTTTAGAACATTTCGATGACCTCCAAAATCTCCCTTGTGAGGCAGAACTAGTATTTGAATCCAGGCAGTCAGGCTCCAGAGATCACACTCTTAGCGGGTTTGCTGAATTAACTCTGCAGAGGAAGGCGATCCAAGTTTACTTGAGGGGCATCTGCCTGGAAAATACCACACACATACACACACACACACCCTTCCTCCCTCAAGGGGAGACCTCAGCCATGCCTCTCAGCCACGCCTCTCAGCCACTTCTGCATTTTGCCTAGGCTGTGCAGGCTGCTAGTGGGCATCAGCACCTCTGGTGAGGGAAGAGGGCCTGGTGCCCTGTCATCTCCAGCCAGCTGCTGCCCTCATCAGCCTGGGCAGAGCTGGAGTCCAAAGGACAGCTCCTCCCGTTCCTCAAGGCAGGGCTGGGCCTCCAGCTGACTCAGCTTGGTCTTGCCTGCACAAGGAGCCATGGAAAACATCATGCACCCAGCAGAACAGCGCCTCAGTGTTTCCGGGGTGTTCCCTGGGGTGCCACTGGGCGTGGCAGAAGTCCTCCCTGCTCTGCTTGGAGTTAGGGAGAGGAGGGACCAGTGTTGGGGATTCTGTGATGGGATGCAGGTGCAGCCCTGCCTTGGCATCCTGTCTCTGTCAATACATAGGGCTAAGCACTCTCTGGGCCTCAATTTTTTCTTCTGTTAAAGGGGATAGTGTCCAGGCTGCCTGCAGGGTAACTGCCTGAAGCGGTATTTATGGTAGTGCTTTGAAGAGCATTAAAACAAAAAGCTCTAAACAGGGTGTCCAATCTTTTGGCTTCCCTGGGTCACATTGGAAGAAGAATTGTCTTGGGCCACACATAAAATACACTGACACTAACAATAGCTGATGAGCTAAAAAACAAAACAAAAAAACGCAAAAAAAAACCCCTCATAATATTTTAAGAAAGTTCACTAATTTGTGTTGGGCCATGGGTTGGACAAGCTTGCTCTAAAGCAAGGATTGGCAAACTACAGTCCTGGCTCCATTCTGGCCCATGGCCTGCTTTGAGGAATAAAGTTTTATTAGAACATAACCAACTATGCCCCTCATTTACATATGGTCTATGGCTAGAGTTGAGTAGCTACAAAAGAGACCTTATGGCCTGCAAAGGCTAACATATTTACTATCTGGCCCTGTACAGAAAAAGTTTACTGGCCCCTCCTCTAAGGCATGATTTATTATTGGATCGTTCCCAGCATGGAGCACTTCCTGCCCTTGCCTGCTTCAGCTCCTCTTCCTAACACTGCTGTAGAATAGAGGAAACTGAGCCATGAAAAGACTATTTCAAAGTCTCAGAGAGAGTGGGATTAGAGTTCCATAGGGCCCCTGAGTCTGTGACATTCCCCTCAAGCCTGGGGTGAGATGCTGGCGATATCCAGCCCTTAGAGAACAGGCGGTGGAATGGAAGGGAGGAAAATCAATGTAGGGATGTGTAAGGGAATTAAGGAGTAATCAACTGTTTGCTCTGTGGTTGCAGCCATGTAAAAATCTGTTTGCACAAGGGTAGGCTGGGTACAGCGGGTAAATGCAAACAGTCATGTGAGAGTGGTGATGAGCAAAAAAATTTTCTTTACAGAATTTCTCTAATATGTATTCCAGCAATTAGGAGGGCTTCACTGAATGCATTTGCAATCCTAACAAAGTCTTCTGCCCTCTCCCAGCCCAAGCAAGGCCACACGAGTGTGTGTGTGTGTGTGTGTGTGTGTGTGTGTTTAAATGCATGAGAAAGCAGAGATGTGGATCTTCGCAAATCCCAAGATAAAGGACTGGGCTGTTACTGGAGACAAAGCTGCCAGTCACTCAGGACTCCTCCCTTGCATCTTGGATTAACTGAGCCAAGATTCTTTATCTACCACCGCTGCACCCGCCACCAGCAATGGGACACCCTTGTTTGCTAGAGGACTCTCTTTCCTACCCCGTTCCTCTAAATGGGACAGCTCACAGCTACCTCAGACATTTATTTGAAATGCAGATTCTGGGCTGGGCGGTGGCTCACGCCTGTAATCCCAGTGCTTTGGGAGACTGAGGCAGGTGGATCATGGGAGTTTGAGGGCAGCCTGGGCAACATGGCAAGATCCTGTTGTCTCTACTAAAAATACAAAAATTTGCCAGGCTTGGTGGCATGCACCTGTAGCTGCAGCTACTCAGGAGGCTGAGGCGGGAGGACTGCTCGAGTTCAGGAGGCAGAGGTTGCAGAAAGCCAAGATTGCGCCACTGCACTCCAGCCTTGGTGGCAGAGCGAGACCCTGTTTCAAAACAAAAAACAAAAACAAAAACAACCCCAGCACTTTGGGAAGCCAAGGCAGGAGGATTGCTTGAGCCTGGGAGATAGAGGCTGCAGTCAGCTATGATGGCACCACTGCACTCCAGCCTGGGTGACAGAGCAAGATCCTGTCCTCCCCCACCCAAAAAAATTAATTTAATTAATTTCAAATTCCTAGGGTCCCACCTCAGGCACAGGAAGTCAGAATCTCTGGGCTAGGGTCTGGGCTCTGGGGGTTTTTTGAGACGGAGTCTCGATCCGTTGCCAGGCTGGAGTGCAGTGGCACGATCTCGGCTCACTGCAACCTTCTACCTCCCGGGTTCAAGCGATTCTGCTGCCTCAGCCTCCCCGGCCTGCGCCACCACACATGGCTATTTTTGTATTTTTAGTAGAGACGGGGTTTCACCATGTTGGCCAGGATGGTCTCGATCTCCTGACCTCGTGATCCACCTCCCCCGCCCCGCCCCGCCCCGCCCCGCCCCCGCCCCTGCCTCGGCCTCCCAAAGTGCTGGGATTTACAGGCGTGAGCCACCGCGCCCAGCCTTTGGGCTCTGGGTTTTTAACCAGCTCCAGGGGAATTGTTTTGTGCGGGAAGATATGAGAATCCTGGTATTTCCTTCCCCACATGGAGCAAGGCTATTCTCTTTCCCTTTAGGACTCCCTGCAGGGCACATGGTAGGTTCTACATAAATATGGAAAGAATGTCACCAGCTCCTTATCAGGAGGACCCTCGTGCCCTCTGGTGTGGCTGCAGGTTCTGGTGTTCCTGTTCCCTGGGTCTCCTGACCCTTTGTTTCAGGCCCGGCTAAAGAGTGGGAAACTCCCACCTCCTACCCCGGGAGTCAGGAGCTGAGCATATATTTCCAACCAGGGCCAGGCTGGCACCAGCCTACCAACTTTTGTTTACTCCTGTTCCCTGGAGGTGTGCTGTGGTTTGCCGGCAGTCCAGTGCACACATATACACCCTCCGCCGCCCCATTGTATAAGCTTCTCTTGTCACTCTAGTTCAACTCCAGAAAGCCAGGCCTGCCCTTGACCCCTACAGACCAGCTACAAGGTGCCCCTTCTCTCCTAGCCAATAGAGTAATGACAGTAATGTAATTATTGTCACCAGGCTCTGGACTAAAAGCTTTGAATGTCTTCTCAATTGAGGAAACAGACTCAGAAGCAAGGCTCAGATAGGTGAAATGACTCAGCCATTCCAGTCCGGGGTAGCTCAAACATCAAAGTGCACCCAGTCATCTGGAATCTTGTTAAGATTAGATTTGTTTCGGTAGTTTCGGGATGAAGGGAGAGTCAGCATTTCTCACAAGTTCTGGGGTCTGCACACTGAGTGGCGAGTCCTAGCTTGGAAGCCGAGGGCCCTGTTCACTCTGCTCCTCCCCCTTAGTCCCACCTGCAGGGCTGGGGGGGCGGCGCCATTCTGTTCCGTTTCTGTTCCGTCCTCCTCTACTTTGTGGCTCCCTGCCCCTCCTCCCCTCCACTCCAGTCGAATCTTCAGCATCCCCTCTGCCCTTGGACAAAGGCCTCTCTCTGGTCCTCAGGTCAGGCCTGCTGGGACTTGCTGGGAAAGACTGGCCTTTTTAGGCTCCTGTCCTGTGGACTTGCTAATTAGCAAGGAAAGGCCTCATTAAAGCCATCTGTGAGTTACATTCACATGGGGCCGCCCCCGCTGCTTCCCTGAAAGGCAGGGGGTCCCCTAGTGGCCGATGATTGGATGCCACACTTCATACTTCACTGTCCAGCACCCCCATTCTATATCTACGGTGAGGGAGAAGTAGAAAGAGGTCTGTTTTGGGATTCTGGGTTACTCTTAGTCAAGGCAAAAACTCCCCAAGCTAAGGCCCGAATCCTCCTAAGCCCCAGGAATCCAATTAGATCTGTAGCCGGTGCTCCTGAAGTCATTTAGGGGCTCCTGGCAATTTGGGGCCCCAGCCCTCCTCTCACTCCGGCTAGCTTCCTTCCCTCTCCTGATTTTGGGAGGCTTCCGGAAAAGTATCATCCTCATTTTACAGGTGGGGAAACAGCCCGACAAAGTGTTCAGTGTCCTCAGGTATTATATGGATGTGAATCCAGATATGATTCCTAGGCCCATTTCCTCCCCTCCAGGCCTTACCAACTTTCTTTTTTTTTTTTTTGGATGGCTTACAGGTAAGTTTTTATTTTTTTTTTATTATTTTTATTATTATTATACTTTAAGTTTTAGGGTACATGTGCACAATGTGCAGGTTAGTTACATATGTATACATGTGCCATGCTGGTGTGCTGCACCCATTAGGCCTTACCAACTTTCAAGTCTCATTCAGGAAAAACAAGAGATGGAGGGGAGAGACGCTGAATCCCTACATTCCTTCCCTGCCATGCTGGCTATGACATGAGGGAATCAGAGTCTAGAGTCATGTTGCCTGGCCTGGAATCCCGGCCCCTTTGACTCACCAGCTGTGGGAACTTGGGCAAGGGACTTAACCTCTCTGAGCCTCAGTTTCCTCAACTGCAAATTGGGAATAATAAGGGTACTTCCCCCATGGGGTGGTGAGGGCTTAGAATAGTGCCTTGCTCATAACACAGGCTTAATAGATGTTAGACATTTAAGTATTTAATTAATCAAATTAATTTTCTCTCTAGTTTGGACCTAGCTAGAATGTGGGGAAAGAACTAAATAACTGTCCCAGAATCTTTCTGACCTCAGCTTCCATGGAGATCCATGAGCAGCTTTGGGGCTGAGGGAGGAAGAACATTCCTTCCAACCCTGAACTCTGTGAGCAAAGAAATGCAGAAGACTCAGTGAGGCTCCTCCGCTCGGGGAGCAAGGGAGAAAAGAAGGGCTGGGCGTCCTGTGGCAGCATGTACCTAGCTCTCAGCTCGCCCGGAGCTGGCCCACCCGCCACATTTAACACGTACCCCAGCCCAGGCTGAGAGAGCCAGGTCTGCCTGTTGGGGAGAGGCAGGGAGCCACGTGCCCTGCCATGCGTAAGGCAGTGCAAGTCAGGGGCCATGTTTGACCCCTGCTAGGCAACCTTGATCCAGCCTCTCCCACTCTGGGTTGCTGCAAAGAGGGCTATTCAGCCCCAGGCATCAGGACTCAGAGTGAACCCGAACAAGAAAGCAAAGGGCCCAAAGGGCCGCCTGCCTCCCGGTGGCTCTCCCCAGTGGGGACAGGTGTCACCATGATTTGCAAGTGACACAGCCCAGCTCAAGCTCACAGCCCAAACTCTTGGTGGAAGGAAGTAAGGTGGAGCAGAGAGAAAATGACGATCACAACAATAACCAGCCCTCCCAATTATCATTATTATTTTTTTGAGACAGAGTCTCACTCTGTTGCCCAGGCTGGAGTGCAGTGGCGCAATCTCAGCTCACTACGACCTCTGCCTCCCAGGTTCAAGTGATTCTCCTGCCTCAGCCTCCCGAGTATCCTGAGTAGCTGGGATTACAGGCGCCCACCACCACGCCTGGCTAATTTTTGTATTTTTAGTAGAGATGGGGTTTCACCATGTTGGCCAGGCTGGTCTTTTTTTTTTTTTTTTTGAGATGGAGTTTCGCTCTTGTCACCCAGGCTGGAGTGCAATGGCTCAATCTCGGCTCACTGCAACCTCTGCCTCCCCGGTTCAAGCAATTCTCCTGCCTCAGCCTCTCGAGTAGCTGGGGTTATAGGCACCCACCACCACGCCCAGCTAATTTTTGTATTTTTAGTGGAGACGGGGTTTCACCGTGTTGGCCAGGCTGGTCTTGAACTCTTGACCTCAGGTGATCCACCCGCCTTGGCCTCCCAAAGTGCTGGGATTACAGGCGTGAGCTACTGTGCCCGGCCGCCAGGCTGATCTTGAGCTCCTGACCTCAAGTAATCCTCCTGCCTCAGCCTCCCAAAATGCAGAGATTACAGACGTGAGCCACCACTCCCAGCCAACCCTCCCAATTATTGAGCATAAATATCTGCTAGGCACTGTGCTGATGACTTTTGCACACTTTCTCTCACTCAACCTCACATCAGCCTGCCCAGCAGGGACCACTGTTCACATGTACAAAGATAAAGAGACAGCCTCAGAGAGACCAGTGAGGCTCCCAGGATCCCACAGTTAAGTGTTGGAGCCGGAACTGGAACCCAAGTTCAGCTGGGCTCTAAACCCATAGCCTTGACCCCATAAGGTCCTGCCTCCCGTCCCAGCCAGGAGCTGTTCGACTACTGGGTGTTTCCGGCCAGGGCAGAACCTCAGCCATGGTCTCCTCACAGCCCAGGCAGCCTCAGCCACAACTCTGCTGCCCTCTGGCCCATGGCAGAGCCAGGTTCTCCTGAGGGAGAAGGGGCAGGAGGGGAGCTGCCTGTACCCAGGTTGAAATCTGGGGTGAAGTCTCCTGCTTGGCACCAGGAATTGTTTTTGGAACAGGTTTTTGGATGTTAGATGGTATTAATATTTATGTCAACTCAAATCCTTGAGGGAGTGTAAATCCACCTCCCCCGCCCCGCCCCGCCCCGCCCCCGCCCCTGTCTCCTTCTATGAGGGAGAAATTGTTAGGGAGAAACTCTAAAGTAATCCTATGCATAATCTTGTCATAAATAGGATTCCATTTGGGGGGAAATTTGGTTCATTTAAAGATCAGGTTTGGGTCAATGGAGGCAGACCTGGATTTACCCCTATTTTATCACTGCATTATTTGCATGTGAGTTTGTCAGAAGTTTGTATCTTGACAGGACTGTGGTCCATCTGGGGCTCAGGCCTTGCTCAGAACCTGCTGCTGGGGTCTCACAAGGCTTCCTGGCTGCTGGAATTGCCCCAGGACTCTCTTTCTCTGGAAGCTCCTGGGTCCAGGGGCATCTCCCTTCCTTTTCCAGCTTTCTGAATCCCACCTGGATGTTCCAATGCTGCCTCTGTGGTCCATGCATGTGGCAAGCATAAAACCTCTGAGATCCCGAAGGACTTTTCCAGAAAAAGCCAGACACCAAGGGAGTTTGCAAGTTTCAGAGTGGATGAGACACGGGGCTGTGCCCCTCTTTCTCACTGCAGTCTTGTTCCGAGAGCAAATCATCCAGCCTCCTCTCCAGGCACCCCCTTCACCTCCTCCTCGCCCCTCCTTCCTCAAGGGAAACCAGGATGTTCCTAGCCCTCCTTTAGCTCCTCGACTGAGGAGGGAGCTGCTTCTCAGGAAGGCCTCAGCATCCCTGACCTGTGATCTGAGCAAAGTTCATCACTTCCAATAGGAAATTCCCCAAGGTTGAGCTCTGTTGTCTTTGTTTAGTTTTGGGCCTTGACCTTGAGGCTGGGAAGACCCCAGTTCTGACCTTGAATGCTTTGAGGATCTAGCTGATGGAGATAGACACACGCGCCTCACCTCATGCTGTGCCTCCACCCAGCAGGAGCTAGGCCAGGTCTGAGGGGCCCAGAGAGTTGGCCTGATTGCAGCCACACCTCCTTTTCTTTTCTTTTCTTTTCTTTTCTTTTTTTTTTTTGAGACAGAGTCTCACTCTGTCACCCAGGCTGGAGTGTACTGGCACAATCTCAGCTCACTACAACCTCTGCTTCCCGGGTTTAAGCGGTTCTCCTGCCTCAGCCTCCTGAGTATCCTGAGTAGCTGGGATTACAGGTGCCCACCACCACATCCGGCTAATTTTTGTATTTTTAGTAGAGACAGGGTTTCACCATATTGGCCAGGCTGGTCTTGAACTCCTGACTTCATGATCCACCCACCTCGGCCTCCCAAAGTGCTGGGATTATAGGTGTGAGCCACCGCGCCCAGCCCCACACCTCCTTTTCTTATTTTCTTCTTCTTCTTCTTCTTCTTATTATTTTTTGAGACAAAGTCTTACTCTGTCCCCCAGGCTGAAGTGCAGTGGCGCAATCTTGGCTCACTGCAACCTCCGCCTCCCTGGTTCAAGTGATTCTCCTGCCTCAGCCTCCTGAGTAGCTGGGACTACAGGTGCATGCCACCACACCCAGCAAATTTTTTGTATTTTTAGTAGAGACGGGGTTTCACCATGTTAGCCAGGATGGTCTCGATCTCCTGACCTTGTGATCCGCCCGCCTCGGCCTCCCAAAGTGCTGGGATTACAGGTGTGAGCCCCCGCACCCAGCCCCTTTTTTTATTTTGATAACAAATTTACTATCTTACAATTCTGCGTGTCAGAACTCTGACACAGGTCTCTGTGGGCTCAATTAAGGTGTTGGCAAGACTTTGTTCCTCTGGAGGCTCCAGGAGAGTCTGTTTCCTTGCCTGTTCTGGCTGCTAGAGGCAGCCCACAGTCCTTGGCCAGTAGCCTCCTTCCATCTTCAAAGCCAGCCATGGCAGCTGAGCGCCTCTCACAGCGCATCACCCCACCTCTGCTCCCGTATCACGTTTCCCTCTCTGACCCCTACCCACTCCTCTTCAGACTGGGAAATCAAATCCGATTTTCCAGAGGTGCCTGGTAGCGAGAGGAGCCACCTGGGCCTTCCAACCCGGCCTCAACTACAGCCACTACCCTTCTATATGTTTTACAGAGAACAATTATGTTCTTAGAAAGGATTTCACTGCTTAAAACAACCACAAAGCAAGCAAAACAACAATGGCTCAGAGTCAGGGCTGAGTCATGGGATCTGTGAGGCAGTTAGAGCGCCTGCTTGGGGGTCAGACGGCCACAGTTCAGATCCGACTCCATCCTGACCAGCAGGCTTCGAACAAGCTGCCTCACCTCCCGTTGCTTCCCAGAGCTGCTCCTTGGCCAGAGCCGAGCCGAGCCTTCCTCACCCCCGTACATGGTGGGATTATGGCTCTTCCCTTTAGGGGTGTATGTATGGTAGTTTAGAAGTCAGGCCCTTTAGGGAGACCCTGGCTTCAACACTTACTGTGAGTCTTTGGGCAAGTTATTTGACCTCCTTGTGCCTCAGTTTCCTCATCTGTAAAACAGGGATAATGACTACCAATTTGCATGGGGCTGTTTTGAGAATTAAATGAATTAATAATGTGTAAGATGCTCAGAACAGTGCCCAGACCATTAAAGGTGCTCAGTAGGCTGGGCGCGTGGTACACACCTGTAATCCCAGCAGTTTGGGATGCTGAGGTGTGTAGATCACCTGAGTTCAGCAGTTTGAGATCAGCCTGGCCAACATGGTGAAACACCATCTCTACTAAAAATACAAAAATTAGCTGGGTGTGGTGGCGCACACCTGTAATCCCAGCACTTTGGGAGGCCAAGGTGGGTAGATCACCTGAGTTCAGGAGTTTGAGACAGGCCTGGCCAACATGGTGAAACCCCGTCTCTACTAAAAATACAAAAATTAGCTGGGCGTGGTGGTGCACACCTGTAATCCCAACTACTTCGGAGGCTGAGGCAGGAGAATTGCTTGAACCTGGGAAGCACAGGTTGCACTGAGCCGAGATCATGCCACTGTACTCCAGCCTGAGCGACAGAGCACAGGGATCCACAATGGCTCAGGCCTGTTGTCTTGGCACATAAAGAGGCGAGACAAGGCTTTTGAGGACAGCCTGGGCAACATAGAAACCTCTCATCTATATAACCAAAAAAAAAAGACTCCATCTCAAAAAAAATAAAGATAAAAAAAAGATGCTCAGTAAGTTTTTACCTTTTATTATTATTACTATTACAGTTATCATGCTTGCCAAGTTGCTCAGGTATAACACTTCTAAAGCTCCTAGGCACCCAATAAGAGTAGCCATTAATATGACAATAACAACTGTAGGAAGGAGGCTCCCTAGATCCCAACATCGGTGCAGAGATGAAATGATTAGGGCCTTGCCTAGGAGCGTGGCTGTCGTGCAGTCCCTGTGGCAATCCCCGCCCCACCCCAGTCCTGTTAAGGGTCCAGGTAGCCACATCACGTCAGGTCTAGGGCCTTGGCATCCACACAGCACTCTCTAGAAAATGCCCCAGGAGATCCTAGTGTCAACACGCAGACTCTCGGAAGTGAGGGAATTGGGGGCTTTCGTGGTGGCTGTTGGGTGTGAGCTACTTTTGTTGTTTCCCATTGAGTCAGATCTTACAGCTCCCCTCCCGCATGCCCTGTCTGATCTTGGTCTGCAGCCTCAGGCATGGAGACTGGCAACTGGGACTGGAAAATCATATTTGCCCAGAGTGCATGGGGCAGGGCAGTGCTGGGAACTGGAGTTTCCAGGGACGTGCGGAGCACACGGAGAACCCGACGTTCGGGCCCCTTTTGAGACGTGGAGAAGCTTGAGTGTCCCAGCCAGCTTCCTGCCTTGGGAGGGCAGCACACGGAGGACACCACCTCCAGCTGCTGGGGCGCTCCCAGGAGCCTCCCTGTCACATCCAAAGCCCAGATGCTCGCATGGGGTGCTGCGGCTATCGGTGTGGGGATTTGGGATGGATGTAGTCTGATCCCAGGATCTTCCTGACAAGCCCAGTCTCTTGAATAAATCATTTGGCTTTCTTGCAATTTTCTCCTAAAGTCATGTACAAGGAGAAAAGTAATCATGATTAGCTCAATGTCCCAGTTAGCAGACTTCTGGCTAACTGGGATTCTAACCTTTCTTCTCTCCTCTTTGGCTATCGAGGAAAGTCCTCCACACTTCGTTAAATGGAAGAAAGCCCTCTTTGCTCATGAGCCACATAGCAGGAGGGCCACAGCGATCCCTGCCAAGGGAGTGTGAATTTCTTGTCAGTGTGTATCAAGGGTCATGAGGGAGTTGAGAAAGGGATGTGATGTGATGTGAGTAGCCCCTCACATCCTCCCACTGCCATAGAGCAGCATGGAGCACAGACTCAGTAACTGGAGGAAGAGGAAGGTCCTTCATATCATCTTCCTACAGGGGAAGCAACCATGTTTGCTGAGCACTTACTATGCCCTGGCCACACTCACTCCTCACAACAGTGCTATACGGCACTATCATCACTCCCACTGTACGGATGGGAAAAACTGAGGCCCAGAGAGGTTAAGCCACATGGGCAGTCAGTGGCAGAGCTGGGATTTTTTAACCAGGTCACACTGACCCTACTGTCCCGTTTTTTCTGCTCTGCCCTCAAGGGTGCATTAAAGCAAGCCATGTACATAACCATCTGTGGTTTGGTGGTCAGGGAAATCTTGAGTTAGGGAGTCCAGATGATGGGATATTGGCCACTGCGGACAGCAGGTGGCCTCATCTGCTCTGCATGTTTCAGATTAGAAATTCAAACACTCGAGGGAAAAGCCAGCTTGTTTTCCTCCCTCTCTGAGATAAGCTTCAGCTGGGCCCTTAGCCGGGCTTCCTGGGCTCCAAAAACGAGGGACCATTGCTGTGGGAGAGAAGGCTCAGGACGGTACAGCGTGGTGGTTATGGATTGGGAGAGAGATGGCTGCAGAGGGCTGAAAGCCCCACGAACACCGAGTCCCTCACCCAGCGCCACCTCAGCTGGCCCCATTAGTGCACATCTCATCCATAAGATCTGATTATGTTAGAGGCGCTTAGCTGAATCCAACACTGGGAGACACGCAGGCCCTGGCTTTCCTCACTGGGAGCTGAAGGGCAGATTAAACTTGGGTGGCCGGATGCCTTGGATCTCCAGCTTATGGTGTCCCCTCACTTGTGTTCTCTAGATGGCATCTATTATGGAGACAATCGGTTTAACACAGTGAGCGAGTCAGGAACAGCCACGCTGAAAGCTCGGCCAAGAGTCCGGCCCCTGCTGACCTTCCTTCCGCTGGTGAGTACGGTTCTGCTCTGAGGTTGGAGAGTCTGCTCTGGCTGGGGACACCAAGGCTGCCCTAGCCCGAGTGGACATCAGCTGCACCCTCTGTCCACCCCTTCCTTCCTGATGCTGACCCGGCGGGAAGGGGGGCTACTGGAAGGAGGCATGGTCGAGGCTCATGGTAGGAAGTCTAGGATTAGGAATGCCAGCTCGTTCAGGGCCAAGCCCAAGGAGAAGTTATGGAGAACTTGTGTGCAGGAGTGATACAGCAGTGGGTACCCTCAGCCAAGCAGGGTTCATTTTCCACAGTCACAGATGACTGTCTGCTTTGTGCCAGGCCCTGCATTAGGTGCTGGATACAGAGATGACTGGGCCAGCCTTGCTGTTCTCAAGGAGCTCCCTGCCCACTGCAGGAGACAAATATATTTTGCTTAACCCGGTATATTCAAAAGAGTGTCATTGTGGCCAGTGCGGTGGCTCACGCCTGTAATCCCAGCATTTTGGGAGGCCAAGGGGGCAGATCATGAGGTCAGGAGATCGAGACCATCCTGGCTAACACGGTGAAACCCTGTCTCTACTAAATATAAAAAAAAAAAATAGCCGGTGTAGTGGCAAGCACCTGTAGTCCCAGCTACTCGGGAGGCTGAGGCAGGAGAATGGCATGAACCCAGGAGGCGGAGCTTGCAGTGAACCAAGATGGCGCCACTGCCCTCCAGCCTGGGTGACAGAGCAAGACTCCGTCTCAAAAAAAAAAAAAAAGAGTGTCATTGCAACATTTAATCAATATAAAAAATACTAATGGGCTATTTTACATTCTTTTTTTTCATGCTAAGTCTTAAAAATCTGGTGTACTACTTATATAGCACATCCCGCTTCTGACAGACTGAGACATTTTAAGTGCTCAACGGCTGCTTGTGGCCAGTGGCTGCTGTACTAGACAGCCCAGGCCTAAACAGCCAGGCTCCTAGATTTAAGGCTCACTCCTGTCTGTCGGAGCTGGGTCATGGGTGGCACAATGCTGTCACTGGGGTCACGGCATCCTCTTGCCTCCATGAGGGTTTAGTATTGCCTGGACTGAAAGGCCCCTTGCCCTGGTCTGAGCTCTCAGGGGCCTGTTAGACTTCATGGCACCCCACACATTGGTCCTGGGTCCCCATACCTGCTGCCTAGCACTGCCTGCCTGGCACAACCACCTTCCTCTCCCCATCACCGGTTTTTTTCTGCTATGTCCAACTTCAACAATCAGACCTAAGATTCTAGATGGGACAGAGGCAGTCTTACATTCTCCTTGGTGCATCTCTAAGTCCTCTCTGTGGAGGGCTGAGCACACAGCTCTCTGGGAATACAACTTTAAATAATTAATTTTCTGCTTATAAAAGCAGTTCGTGGATATTATAGATAAATATAGAAAGTGCAACACCACCACCAACAAGGTATAAATCAAATAAGTCAGCTTGGAATCCTAGCACTTTGGGAGGCCGAGGTGGGAGGATCACTTGAGGCCAGGAGTTCAAGACTAGCCTGGGCAATATAGCCCAACCCCATCTCTACAAAAAATTTAAAAATTAGTGAGGTGTGGTGGTGTGTGCCTATAGTCCCAGCTACTTGGGAGGCTGAGGCAGGAGGATTGCTTGAGCTCAGGAGGTTGAGGCTGCAGTTAGCTATGATTGCACTACTGCACTTCAGCCTGGGTGACAGAGTGAGACCCTGTCTTAAAGAAAAAAACCAAATGAGTCAGCCCCTAACTTGGTTTCCAGAGAATGCATAAAACTCTGATAGAAGTGATTGCACCCATAAATGCAGATAAAATTGTTTGAAATATTCTTTTTTTTTTTTTTTGCAGACTGAGTTTCATTCTTGTTGCCCAGGCTGGAGTGGTACAATGGCGTGATCTCGGCTCCCTGCAACCTCCACCTCCTGGGTTCAAGCGATTCTCCTGCCTCAGCCTCCCAAGTAGCTGGGATTACAGGTGCCCACCACCATGCCCGGCAAATTTTTTGTATTTTTAGTAGAGACAGGGTTTCACCATTTTGGCCAGGCTGGTCTCGAACTCCTGACCTCAGGTGATCCACAAACCTCAGCCTCCCAAAGTGCTGGGATTACAGGCGTGAGCTACCGCGCCCAGCCTGAAATACTCTATATTGGGAGGTTAATTAGATTCTCTCCTATCACTTACCCTCAGCACACATACCCAGATTCATAGCAGTGTGGGCCCAGAGTTGACACACCTCTACCAGTCGGTAAAATACTAAAACATTCATCTGTAAAATGGGAATAAAAAAAAAAAAACAAATAAAATACTGAAATACAGCCAGGTGTGGTGGCTCATGCCTGTAATCCCAGCACTTTGGGGGCCAAGGTGGGTGGATCATGAGGTCAGGAGTTCAAGACCAGCCTGGCCAACATGGTGAAACCCCGTCTCTACTAAAAATACAAAAATTAGCCGAGTGTGGTGGCACACACCTGTAATCCCAGCTACTCAGGAGGCTGAGGCAGGAGAATCGCTTGAACCTGGAGGCGGAGGTTGCAGTGAGCCAAGATTGCACCACTGCACTCCAGCCTGGACGACAGAGCGAGACTCCATCTCAAAAAAAAACAAAAAACAAAAACAAAACAGAAATACTTCTCTACACAGTAGAAACGGATGTTGCCCCTGGAGTGGCTCCTGCTGTCCTGCCCCTCGCCTAGATCTGGACCACCCCCAAAAGCAGCAACTAAAGAGTTAATGTGGGCCCAGCTGAGTTCGTTCTGATTGGTGGGCATCCTTATCTCCCCCCAGCTATCTGCTATGGGCCCCTCAAAGACCAGAGCAAATCCTCACCTTCCAGCCCTCTCTGGCTCTGGTTTGGATCTGGTCTGGGCAGAACATGACTCAGGGGCTGCATAGACCCCAGGCAGACCTGGCCAAAGGCTCTGGGGCCCCTGGAGTGGGCTGGGCTGGCTGGTCAGGCCTGAGTTCCAGGCTGTCCTGGGGAAATACTTCCTGGGAGCAGTTCTTTTGGGCAAGCCTCAGAACCAGTCCCAGGAAATGGGGGCTTCTCCCTAAAAACTCACACCCCCTCACTGGTGAGGGTGAAAGAATGGACACATGGTGAACCGACGGCTGAAAGGGGCCTCATTTTACAGAGGCAGGAACTGAACCAGGAAGGGGAAGTTCACTCGTTCCCTCGGTGCTGGCTAACCGGGGAAAGGCAGATGGAGCCACTTGCCAACCCCATCCAGTGGCACGGCCTGTGATCGTGGCCACCGTATGCTGAGCACTCACTGTGTGCCAGGCACCATTCCACGTGGACCATGTGTGTTAACAAAGCCACCCTCCGAGCAAGGTGCTGTCATTAATCCCCATGTTACAGGCAGGGAAACTGAGGCACAGGGTGGCGTAACTTGCTTAAGGTATTGCGGCTAAGTGGCAGAGCGCGACTGGAATCCCTGAAGCCAGGCTCCAGGGTCCAAGTTCTATTCAGACCGTTCTACTCTCCCTCCACCTGCTACATAGAAGCTTTTTCCTTCTCCTTCCAGGACCAGGCGGCAAAACCACTCCCACCTCCCTTGCCTGCCTCTCTGAATCCCTGTCCAGCAGCCTGGGCCTGCTGGGCACCAGGCCTCTTGCCACTTTTGGCTCATAGATGCTTTTGACGCCATGATGAGGCTGTGAGCCACATACATCTAGTTTTGCTTACAATTTCAGCAGGGGACTGAAGCCCACCCATGATATGCCTTTAGATTAGGAACCCTTGGCCCAGTGGCCCACATCACAGGGACTCTTCTGTGCTCCTCACTCAGGTCACAAGATAGGGCAGCTTCCATGTCGTTCGTCGCTTGCTCCCGGGTGGAGGGGAATCCGGCTGGCGGCTTAATTCTCTCCTGTCTGAGCTTCTGACTCCTCTCCTGTAGGCCCTAGCCAGGTCCTTTGCTTTCTTTCAGCAGGGACAGAAGGCCAGAAGGATGGGGAGAAGAGGGAGGACAAGCTCTGTGTGGGTGTGGGCTCACACACACATGCACACGCACACACCCCGTCCCCCAGCCCCACCAAGTCAGGGTGGGTGGGGAGCTGGGCCGGTGCCTAGCCCTGCCTGACACTGTCCCAGCCGGCCAGGCCTCCACCCCTCCCTGTCCTCCCTTCCCACATTCAGAGGCACCTCCCAGGCCAGGCTGCCCAGTGGGTAGGGGAGGTACGAGGTAGCAGTGCCCAAGAAGTCAGGTGACAGGCCCCTCGAGGGCCTGTGAGCTCTCTCCAGGCCTGGGCCATCTTCTGAGCCTACCCTCCCTGTCAGTGCCCTACAGGAGCCTGCCAGGGGACAGAGCTAGAGAGAAGGAGACAAGGCAGCAACAGGCGCTTCTGCCCCCTTCCCCAGAGTTCCCTTGTTCTGTGTGCTGTGGGTGCTGGGAATTACGAAGTGTTTATCAGGCATCCAGCAGCCAAAGGCCAGCTAGGAAAAGGACCTCGGGATCCCTCAGTGGCTGGGATGGGACCAGGGGCTAATACTCCAGCAGCTGACACCAGTCCCAGCTCTGCTGCTGGGATGCGGGGTGGCTGCAGGCCAGTCCCTTCCTCTCCCTGGGCCTCTGGCTCCTCACCCAACAGTGGGGGTCACACTGCATAGTCCTCAAGGGTCTCCCCAGCCAC
Source organism: Homo sapiens (assembly GCF_000001405.40). Lineage (NCBI taxonomy): Eukaryota > Metazoa > Chordata > Mammalia > Primates > Hominidae > Homo > Homo sapiens. The sequence goes on along the minus strand of NC_000006.12, from coordinate 42,124,059 downwards.
GACTTTCTGTGTTAAAATGACTTCCTAACGGAAGGGTAGATGGTGTGGTCAGCTCCCTGGAGGGCCACCGGAGAAGCCAGGCCCTAATGACACATGGACCCCTCCTTGAGCTCTGCTTCCGCCTCTGGAAAGGGAGGTTTTCCAGCTACTGGCGCAACCCCACCTTCCAGCTTGGGGAGCCGTGAGGAGCTGGATTTGAGCCACCAAACTTCAGAGGGGGTAGGACTACAGCAGTTGTCAAGATGAGAATACTGCGGCCTGGGGAGGGGAGGGCCCTGTCCAGGCCACTGGGCTCGATAGAAGCAGGGATAGGAGCCAGGCCTTCTCCCCAGGCTGGTCCCGGGTACAACATCGGAGGCCTGGCTGAGTGAGGGGTGATCCTTTCTCCCTCCTTCTCAGGGAAGACTGGGCCCAGAGAGCAAGCCAGAGCCTGTCCCTCTGTTTCTTCTTCTTCTTCCTTCTTTCTTCTTCTTCTTTCTTCTTTCTTCTTCTTCTTCTTCTCTTCCTCTTCCTCTCCTTCTCCTCCTCCTCCTCCACCTCCCTCTCCTCCTTCTTCTTTCTTCTTTTCTTCTTCTTCTTCTCCTTCTCCTTCTTCTCCTTCTCCTTCTTCTCCTTCTTCTCCTTCTCCTTCTCCTTTCTTCTTTCTTCTTCTTCTTCGTTGTTTTGTTTTTTTTTTTGAGATGGAGTCTGTCTCTGTCACCCAGGCTGGAGTGCAGTGGTGCGATCTCGGCTCACTGCAGGCTCCGCCTCCTGGGTTCAAGCCATTCTCCTGCCTCAGCCTCCCGAGTAGCTGAGACTACAGGCGTCTGCCACCACGCCCGGCTAATTTTTTGTATTTTTAGTAGAGACAGGTTTTCACTGTGTTAGCCAGGAGGGTCTCTCGATCTCCTGTCCTCATGATCTGCCCACCTTGGCCTGCCAAAGTTCTGGGATTACGGGCGTGAGCCACCGCGCCCGGCCTGTCCCTCTGCGTCTGAGAGCTGGGTCCATAGAACAGTGGGTGGCAGCAAGGTTGTGTTTTCTGGGGTTCTCTCTTGCCCTCCCCAGTCTGAATCAAGCCATCGCCAGGGTGATGCATATGAGGAATTAAAAATTAAATGCCAGTGTGGCAAGTATGGGAAAACTGGCCCAACAGGTCCCCAGGGGTGCCCTGGGCGGTGAGAGCTGCCTGGGTCACCCCACCCTCTGAGTCAGACAGGCCTGGCTCTGCCAGAGGAGGCATCCCTAGGCTCAGGCAGGAGGCCTCGCCTGCCCTGCACCCCTCCCTTAGTCCTTGCTGCTGAAGAGGCAGCTGGAGTCAGCCCCATCTCTCCTTTCCACCCACCCCGCTGCTGCAGGAGCTTTTCTCTAAACTCAAGGCCTAGGCACCTTTTGGGGCTGGAATCTGAGCTCTGTAGGGTGAGCCAGGCAAGGCAGCCATGATTGGCTTTTAGCTGGTTTGTGTGGATGATGTTAGGCCAAAGGGTTGAGGGGTGTGGGGTGTTAGGCCTGCCACGAGAGTGCAAATGGAGCTCCACACCCCCTTCTCTACCCACCTGGTTCCTTCCCTCTCAGTAAGGACCTCAGCCTGAACCTCCAAAGCTCCATCTAGGCCCATAAACCTCCATCCTTCATCCTGGCCCATAAACAGCCGCCTCTTTGTCCCCATGGACTCACAGATGTGTGCCCCCTCAGGAAGACTGGCCAGAGAAGAAGCCCTTGAAGTGGGCTCAGGGCCATTTAGGCAGGGTCTCCAGGGACGTGGTGCGCCCTCTGAGGGCATGTCCCCTTGATCCTACTGACTTCTTGCCCCAGAGAGAGAGCAGACCTGGGCCCGCCATAATACCTGGTGGAGGGCAGAAGCTGTGGTAACCTGGGTCTAAGGGTGGTTCTCAGATGGTAGATAGGTCCAGAGGAAGATGCTTCATGGGTGGACACTCTTTTCTGGCCCCCAGGAGGGGTCTGAGCTGTGGCACAGTGTGGGGCTGTGTTGGGGAAACCATCCTTCTCCTTTATAAACTGTTCACTGGCTCCCAACTTCATAGCTGCTCTGCAGGATACACACAGCCTTTCTCCATCCTTGATCCTCTACCACGTCCACCAGGCCAGCACCCCCATACTGCACCCCTAAGCCAGGAAAACAACTGGCTGGGCTTCATCTAGTTGGGTATGTTGGGTGCCTGGAGGGGTTTCTGTGTAGCTCTTGCTCTAGGGCAGGGGTGGGGGCTCCCAGCTTCCTTTTCTCACAGCCTGCAGTGGTGCCCCCAACCATGCCTGCCTCTAACTCAGGTTCAGGGTCATCTCCCTCCCACTCTGCAACTCCACACCCCGCCCCACAGGGCCAGTGCCCCAGACCAGGCTCCAGGAGGAGTCTGGTGAGGAAGTTTGCATTCCACGATGCGTAGCTAAGACTCCGAGCTGGCTGCTACCCAGGGTCAACCATGCATTGCCCACTGGCCCAGCCCCTGGTGACCCACCCTTGAGACTTGGCTGAGCTCTGAGGAATCCCAGGCATGAGGATGTGTGTGTCCCAGGCATGAGGAGGCCAGTGGGGTGGACTGGGGCCATCAGTGGGTAAGCCCTGCCCTCCTGAACTCTCAGGGGTGCAACAGGTGAGCAGTGGGCCCCAGCCCCCACAAAACTGCAAAGGGAAACTAGCCTCATCCTTGAATAGCGAGTGTTTTCTTCCCTGCCTTCTTCCCTCCCTTTCTTCCTCCTTCTCAACTCTGAAATGTTAGCAGTCAATAGGGCAATAGGGGATTCCTGGTGACCTGTCCCTGACCATGGGGAAGAACCCATTTCCTCAGATGCAACCAGAGAGACACACCCTGAAGGCTGTGCCCGGAGCAGTGGCCCAAGTCCTTGATTAGAATCCAGGGGAAATAAACTTTCTTGAGCACTACTCTGCAGGACCTCTTAAGGTGTGCAGTGGCCTCTGGTATCACAGCAAACCTAAGGGAGGTGGGATTATTCCCATTTTACAGATGAGAAAGCTGAGCCTCAGAAGGCAAGAAAGGGACACACTTCTTGAGCACCATCTATATGTCAGCTACTATCTCTGACTCCTTTTAGATAAGTCAGTTAAGATTGCAAATCTGGTCTGCCTGACTCCTAAGTTGATGTTTTTTCCACTCAATCACAATAATTAAAAAGAAAACTAGGCCAGGCGCGGTGGCTCATGCCTGTAATCCCAACACTTTGGGAGCCCGAGGTGGGAGGATCACAAGGTCAGGAGTTTGAGATCAGCCTGGCCAATATGATGAAACCCCGTCTCTACTAAACATACAAAAAATTAGCCGGGCATGGTGGCATGCACCTGTAGTCCTAAGTATTCAGGTGTCTGAGGCCGCAGAATCGCTTGAACCTGGGAGGTGGAGGTTGCAGTGAGCCAAGATCGTGCACTCCAGCCTGGGTGACAGAGCGAGACTCCGTCTCAAAAAACAAAAACAAAAAACCCCAAAAAACACACTATTATTGTATTGGGTATTTTTTTTTTAATTATAAAGGAAACAAAAGTTCATTGTTAAGAACCTCAGGCCGGGCACGGTGGCTCAAGCCTGTAATCCCAGCACTTTGGGAGGCCTAGGCGGGCGGATCATGAGGTCAGGAGATCGAGACCATCCTGGCTAACACGGTGAAACCCCGTCTCTACTAAAAATACAAAAAATTAACTGGACGTGGTGGTGGGTGCCTGTAGTCCCAGCTACTTGGGAGGCTGAGACAGGAGAATGGCATGAACCCGGGAGGCGGAGCTTGCAGTGAGCCGAGATCGCGCCACTGCACTCCAGCCTGGGCAACAGAGCAAGACTCCGTCTCAAGAAAAAAAAAAAAAAAGAACCTCGCAATAAAGACAAGGAAGGAAATACATATAAATATTCTTGGAATGGTAGTTTCCTCCACCCATGCTTCCTCCCTAATCATTGCTGGGAACTTTCCAATATACTAGGCTGTGATGATGGGTTTTTTTTGTTTTTGTTTTTGTTTTCGAGGTGGAGTTTCGCTCTTGTTGCCCAGGCTGGGGTGCAATGGCATGATCTTGGCTTACCGCAACCTCTGCCTCCCGGGTTCAAGCGATTCTCCTGCCTCAGCCTCCTGAGTAGCTAGGATTACAGGCATGTGCCACCATGCCCTGCTAATTTTGTATTTTTAGTAGAGACAAGTTTCTCCATGTTGGTCAGGTTGGTCTTGAACTCCTAACCTCAGGTGATCAGCCCACCTCGGCCTCCCAAAGTGCTGGGATTACAGGCATGAGCACCCGCCCCTGGCCACTGTGATGGTTTTTAAAGGGCTGCTTTGGCCAGGTGAGGTGGCTCACATCTGTAATCCCAGCACTTTGGGAAGCAGAGGAGGATCACTTGAGCCTTGGAGTTCGAGACCAGCCTGGCCAACATAGCAAGACCCTGTCCCACAAAAAATATAAAAACAAGCTGGACAGGCTGGGTGCAGTGGCTCACGCCTGTAATCTCAGCACTTTGGGAGGCCGAGGTGGGTGGATCACTGGAGGCCAGGAGTTCGAGAGCAGCCTAGCCAACATAGCAAAAACCCATCTGTATTTAAAATACAAAAAAATGAGCCAGGTGTGGTGGTACGCGCCTGTGGTCCCAGCTACTTGGGAGGCTGAGGCAGAAGAATTGCTTGAACCTGGGAGGCAGAGTTTGCAGTGAGCCGAAATTGCACCACTGAACTCCAGCCGGGGCAACAGAGTGAGACTCTGTCTCAAAAAAAAAAAAAAAAAAAAAGCTGGAAAGCTGGGCATGGTGGCTTGCACCTGTAGTACCAAACTTTGGGAGGCCAGGAATTCTCCCTTTTTTTTTTTTTTTTTTTTTTTTTTTGAGACAGAGTCTTGCTCTTGTGCCCAGGCTGGAGTGACGTGGCGCAATCTCAGCTCACTGCAACTTCTGCCCCCTGGGTTCAAGTGATAGCGATTCTCCTGCCTCAGCCTCCCGAGTAGTTGGGATTACAGGCGCCTGCCCCACACCTGCCTATTTTTTTTTTCTTTTTTTTTTTTTTTTTTGTAGAGACAGGGTTTCACCATGTTGGCCAGGCTGGTCTCAAACTCCTGACCTAAGATCCACCTGCCTTGGCCTCCCAAAGTGCTGGGATTACAGGAGCTCAGGAATTTGAGGCTGCGGTGAGCTATGATCTTGCCACTGCATTGCAGCTTGGGTGACAGTGAGATCCTATCTCTAAAAAAAAAAAAAAAAAAAAAAAATTAAAGGGCTGCTTCAACTGAACTGAGTTGCTGGCTTGTACACCTCTGTGAAGTAAGTGAAGTGACCGATGGTCTTAGCTTCTGGGTGTTGTCTGGGTGTGAGGACGAGGAAGTGCTGAGGCCCAGTTTCGTGGAGTTCCCAAGCTGGTAGAGCCAGGGCTGGACTCTGCCCCAGGCAGCCACAGTGCAGGGAGTGGCTGTGGCCGGCTGCCCAGGCTGGCCCAAAGAGGGAGGTGCTGCAGCCAGGCCCACCAGGAGCACGCTCAGATGCTCTTTTGCATGTTCTTTGCTTCACTGTACACAGGTTGGTCTGCCCCTTTCGATGTGGGCTGCCACACTCGGAGGGCCATGCACTCCACTCCCCTGAGAATGTTTGAGGCACATGGCAACCCCTGCTGGCAGCACCCTGGGCTCCTAAGTCTGTCATTTTCCTGATGCCAAGGGTGGAGCAGTGTAAGGTTGGGACACAGCAGGCTCCCCAGCTGACTGCAGCAGTCAGAGCCCTGTGTCTGAGGCCAACAGTGACCTCAAGCCCAGCCCTGCCTGCCTGGTCTGGGGCTCCTGGAAAAGAACTTTGAGAACTCTCCCTCCCACCTACTCCTGCCTCTACCCTGCTGCCCCTTTGGCATCTCTGGAGTCAGAGGACAACCTCGAGGCAATACAGTTGTCTGTCCCAACACCCTGTCATCGAGGGGTGACCCTGAGTGTCCAGGTCACTGCCCACACGACGCAGGTGAGCTGACTCACAGAAGGGACACTTTATGGACTGACAGAACGCTGTAGTCAAAGTGATCCTTGGAGAGTATTTACAGAAGGGGCAGAAAACTGAGACCAGAGTGAGAAGTTACTTTGCTCCAAGTTAATTGGTAGCAGAGCTAGAGCCATAACACAGGTTTTCTGCCTCTTTGTCCCATATTCTTTTTTTTTTTTTTTTTTTTTTTTTTTGTGACAGGGTTTTGCTCTGTCACTCAGGCTGGAGTGCAGTGGCACAATCTTGGCTCACTGCAATCTCCACCTCCTGGGTTCAAGTGATTCTCCTGCCTCAGCCTCCCAAGTAGCTGGGATTACAGGTGCCCACCACTACACCTGGCTAATTTTTTTGTATTGTTAGTAGAGATGGGGTTTCACCATGTTGGTCAGGCTGGTCTCGAACTCTTGACCTCAGATGATCCACCTACCTTGGGCTCCCAAAGTGCTGGGATTACAGGCGTGAGCCACCATGCCCGGCACTTGTCCCATATTCTTTCTGCCACTCTCACTCATCCAGGAACATATTCATTCAACAAACATTTGTTTAACTGCCCGGTCTGTGTCAGGCACATACAAAGAAGCAGCCATCACCGAGCCCTCAAGTAGACTGGGCTGGGCAGCAGGGACTACAGTCATCAACTCTATGTCTATAGACATAGAGTTGTGTTAGAGGGAAAGTATGAGAGCAAACACTGTACTGGCAAAGGAAGCAGGCTGTCAGGTCCCAATATTGGCCCTGGCACTTACTAGCTGTGTGACCTTGGGCAATGTACTTAGCCCTCTGTGCTTCAGTTTTCTCATCTATAAAATAAAAATAATAACTTGTCTCTTAGGGTTACTGTGAAAACTAACAGTAAGACTGGGTTGCTATATGTGAAGTACTCAGAACAGTGCCTTGCACCTAGTAGATGCCTAATAAATGTCAGCTGCAATAATAATGCACACAGAGCCTGAGGATCACACAGGGAGGAGAATTAACTCTGGCTGGGGTTGCCAAGAAGGACTTCACAGAGGAAGGGCATTTAATCTGGGGCTTAAAGGATACCTAGGAGTTTGCCAGGAAAAGAAGAGAATCCTAGGCAGAGTAAGAACAAGAACAAGGCTGCGGAAGCTTGAGGTGTGGAAATGGATCGCAAGTGGGAGCAGTGACTTTCGGGGGTTGGGAGAGGCAGATGTAGCTGGATCATCTAGAGGGCTTTTCAAGCTACCCATCTGCCCCTGGGACCTCTGAAACCTCTGCACAATTCCTCCAACAGGTGGTTTTTGTGCCCCACTGAGGACCCCTGCTGCAGGGAGCACACTTGTTCATGAGTCGGTCAGGTTCCCCCAGCTACAGTGGGATAGGAAAAAGACAAGAACCACCAGTGGGAGCCCAGGGTTTGTGGAGTAGGTGGGGAGAAGATGGTAGGAGCTGCAGAGGTCCAACTTATGAAAGTTCTCACAGGCCATGTGAAGGTGTTTGAATTTCTTCCTCTGGACCAATGGAAGGATTCTGAGCCAGAAAGTAAGCTGCTCTGAGATACTTTTGGGAAAGAATATCCCCGTGGCAGCTTTGGAGAATGGAGTGAGGCGGAGACTGGGAAAGTATCTGGCATCAAAGGGAGTCTGTTCATCTGGGTGAGGGATGGTGAGGACTGAGGAAGGGCTGAGGTGGAGGGGCAGCAGGAAGGAAGGATTCAGGAAGTGATGGGCAGAACTGGATGACCAGCTGGGTTTGCAAGGTGCCCGAAAAGACAGTGATCCATAACTCGCTGTGGGACCTTGGGCATGTCACTGAATCTCTCTGAGCCTCCATTTCCTCATCTGGAAAATGGCGGTAGCAATGACAGCACCTGTCTCATTGGGCTGTTGTGAAAAGCAAATGAGTTAAGTGATAGAAAGTGCTGAAAGAGGCTGGGCACAGTGGCTCATGCCTGTAATCCCAGCACTTTGGGAGGCCACGGCGGGCGGATCACAAGCTCAGGAGTTCAAGACCAGCCTGGCCAACATAGTGAAACCCCGTCTCCACCAAAAATACAAAAATTAGCCGGGTGTGGTGGCAGGTCCCTGTACTCCCAGCTACTTGGGAGGCTGAGTCAGGAGAATCGCTGGAACCCGGGAGTCAAAGGTTGCAGTGAGCCGAGATCTTGCCACTGCACTCCAGCCTGGGCGACACAGCGAGACCATCTCAAAAAAAAAAAAAAAGAAAAAGAAAAAGAAAAAAGAAAAAAAAAAAAAGAAAGTGCTGAAAGAGTACCTGATACAGAATAAGTGCTGGCCAAGTAGCAGCTGTTGTTCCTACTGTTAAGATTGGGAGTTTAGGGGATGGAAGAAAGAGGTGATGTCTAGAGGTTACACACATTCTAAGTTGCCCCCAACACTTTTTCTTTTGATTTCTTGTCTTCTGTTTTGTTTAACTTTTTTATTATAAGATATACATAAGATAAAATTTACCGTTTTAACCGTTTTATTTATTTATTTATTTTATTTTTTTGAGACGGAGTCTCGCTCTGTCGCCCAGGCTGGAGTGCAGTGCCTCCATCTCGGCTCACTGCAAGCTCCGCCTCCCGGGTTCACGCCATTCTCCTGCCTCAGCCTCCCGAGTAGCTGGGACTACAGGCGCCTGCCACCATGCCGGGCTAATATTTTGTGTTTTTAGTAGAGGCGGGGTTTCGCCGTGTTAGCCAGGATGGTCTCAATCTCCTGACCTCATGATCCGCCCGCCTCAGCCTCCCAAAGTGCTGGGATTACAGGCATGAGCCACTGCGCCCGGCCTTTTAACCATTTTAAAATGTACAATTCAGTGGCATTAAGTACATAACTTTTTCTTTTCTTTTTTTTTTTTTTTTTGAGATGGAGTCTTACTCTGTCGCCCAGGCTGGAGTGCAATGGTGCGATCTTGGCTCACTGCAACCTCTGCCTCCCGGGTTCAAGTGATTCCCCTGCCTCAGCCTCCTGAGTAGCTGGGATTACAGGTGCCTGCCACCATGCCCGGCTAATTTTTGTATTTTTAGTACAGATGGGATTTCACCATGTTGGTCTCCAACTCCTGACCTCGTGATCTGCCCACCTCAGCCTCCCAAAGTTCTGGGATTACAGGTGTGAGCCACCATGCCCGGCTTTTTTTTTTTTTTGAGACAGAGTCTCTCTCTGTCGCCCAGGCTGGAGTGCAGTGGCACAATCTTGGCTCACTGCAACCTCTGTCTCCTGGGTTCAAGCAATTCTCCCTGTCTTAGCCTCCCGAGTAGCTGGGATTACAGTCGCTTGCCACCACGCCTGGCTAATTTTTGTATTTTCAGTAGAGACAACGTTTCAACACATTGGGCAGGCTGGTCTCAAACTCCTGACCTCCAGTGATCCGCCTGTCTCAGCCTCCCAAAGTGCTGGGATTACAAGCGTGAGCCACTGTGCCCTGCCTCAAGCCCTCTTCTTAAGGAGGCTTTTCCTTTGTTCTCTGAGGTGAAGAGAGGCAGGTTAGGAAATTCAGCACCCATGGAGATGGATGCTGTCCACACCTGTGCATTTGCACACTGAAATATGTCACCATCCACGCCAGTGCACTTGATGCCAGCTGCCTGGGTGGGAAGCAATTTACCTTCTGAGTCTGTTTTTATGGGACTAAGATTAAAATGAGTTTGCATTTGCCTTCCCTGAAAAAACATCAGTGAAAGGGACAGCTAAGTAAGCCACAGGAGCCCATGTGGGCCCATGTGGGCCCAAGTGGGAAAGAAAAGGGCCAGACAGGGGCTTGGAGAGCCAGAGAGACTATGTTCAGTTCAATACTGGAAGCTTCTGAAGGGATGAGGCTGGCCTTTGGGACTTGCTCCAAGGGCAGACCATGGTGTGTCACAGCACCGCAAGCATGGTGGTGAGGTGGTGGGGGTGCTGTGGGATCCCCTTGTGTCAGAATAGGGACCTAAGAAGCCAGGGCTTGGACTGAGCTGTTGTTACAAGCCGCTCCAGAGATGGATTTTTGCCCTGTGGTCTTGGGAGTCTAATGTGTTTTCTAAGTGCTTTAAGATCAAAGGGCATAGTGAGTAATATTACCTTAGGCCTATAAAGTCTATCCGTCTTCCTCCCACACACACCATTAAGCATTCAGGGTAACCCAGAAGGTGCTACTAGACTTACAGGGAGCTTAGCTTTGATTGTTCACGATTTTTTCACTTTTCTGGAATAGAGGATTACAAGATATAATCCTTCAACTAGCATTGGTTTCCTGGGTTAGGGATATTATCTCATTTGATTCTCATAATAGCCCTGCAAAGTAGGAACTATTGGCTCAATTTTCTTTTTTTTTCTTTCTTTTTTTTCTTTTCTTTTTTTGAGACAGTCTTGCTCTATCGCCCAGGCTGGAGTGCAGTGGCATGATCTCAGGTCACTGCAACCTCTGCCTCCCTGGTTCAAGCAATTCTCCCTGCCTTAGCCTCCTGAATAGCTGGGATTACAGGCACCTGCCACCATGCCTGGCTAATTTTTGTATTTTTAGTAGAGATGGGGTTTTGCCATGTTGGCCAGGCTGGTCTTGAACTCCTGACTTCAGGTGATCCTCCTGCCTTGGCCTCCCAAAGTGCTGGGATTACAGGCGTGAGCCACCATGCCCAGCTGCCTTGGTTTTCTAAGTGAAGAAAATGGGTCTCAGTGATCTGTAGAAAAGGTAAGGTGGAAAGCCTAGGTTTGCACCCTGGCTCTGTGAAGGGATTTGAGGTGACACCGGTCACACTCTTAGTATAGGGCTATTGCACAGGAGGAGCCTGGACAATGGCTCAACATCACTGTCCCCATCCCACATCTCCACTGCTCATCCAAGGCTACACTGCTGGCAAGCCTGAGCATGAATGGAACCCAAGACTTTTGATGCTAAGTCCCCAGCCTTTCCGCTTTTCAATTATGTTGAAATTAATCAGAGATCTCAACCCTGGCTTTTGAAGGCCTGGCCTCCATCTCATCAAAATCAGAGTGTGTGTACTTGATGGAGGTTATTAGAATGTCAGTGATTTGCATGTGTGTGTGGCACATCTCAGGATGTCATGGGAGACACACTTCTGATGGGCTGGGTCCCTATACCTGCCCCTGGTTCCCAATCACTGGGTTTGAGAAAAGTTGAGAACAGGTATGTTGTTGGCCATGCAAATCAAGTAAAGGCAGGAAAAAAAAAAGACAAGTTGATGGCTCAAGGCCATTCCAGCTTCAGAATTCTTCAAGAACAAGATGAGTGGTTTGCTGATCCCAAGTGACCAGAGTAATTCTGAGATGGCCCTTGGTAACCCAGGGTCTCATAGATATTTCTGTAACATCGACCTTGAGTGCCCTTCTTGTATATTAAGTCCAGAGGGTTAGTACCATCAGCCCATCACTAACAACTGGGCTCACTATGCATCCAGCTTTGGGGGATACCATAAGACATGGTCCCTGGGCTCCAAGGAGCTCCCAGATCTCACTGAAGGAACTAGAGGACAATCTGGAGTGCAAACAAGTGTCTCCCCTCTTTTGGGAGCTTGGCTGTGGGTTGCTCTGGGTAGCAGTGGGTCAGTGTGGTGCGGACAGGGGATGGCTCCCAAGTGCTTTTTGTGCATTGCATCATTTAGTCCTCACAGCTTCCCTACTATGGGTAATTGTATTGTTATCACCATTTCCCAGATGGGGAAACTGAGACACAGGGAGATTAAGTAACTTGCATAGTCATACACCTAATAGGTAGCAGATCTGATATTCAAATCCAGACAGGCTGGAAAGCCAGAGCCAATGCTCTTATCCCCTACCCCTGTTCCATCATCCTAGAGGGGCTCAGCTAATCCTTGAAGGATAAGGGATTTTAGGGAGGCAAAATACTAAGGAGTGGGAGCTCCACAGACCTGGGTTTGGTAGTACTGGTTGTGTGACTTTAGACAACTTACCAAAGGTCTTTGAGCCTCAGTTTCTTCATCTGGTAAATGATGACATCCTCTTCTATACAGAGTGGTGTGACTGAGATAATGTGTTTAGTTAGAGCACAGTGCAAGGAGTATTATGACTATGATTATTGTTATAAATGGAGAGTGGGAATGACAGGTACAGCTGACCAATGCCCAGCATCATGGATGAACACGGACTATATGGGGTGGTTGAAAAGGTGGCAGGGAGGGAGTCGGTGAAGCTACAATGTGGGATGGGTGTAATAGGTGAGTGGGAAATAACAGTTGGCTGGGAAGCATGAGGCCAGGTCATTGGGGACCTTGAAAACTACCCTAAAATGCTCTACAGCTCTTCAAAACAGCAGGTGTGTGGACTTTGTTGACATATGGAAATGTGTGTTTGGAAAAAAAAAATAGAATGCAAAATAGTATGTACAAACTGACAGCTGTGTAAAAATATTATAGCCTCTTAAGCTTAGCGATCAGAAGGGCATCTGTAGAGCTATAAATATTCAAGTTCAGGCTGGGAACAGTGGCTCATACCTGTTATCCCCACACTTTGGGAGGCCAAGGTGGGCGGATTACTTGAGCCCAGGAGTTCAAGACCAGCCTGGGAGACATGACGAAACCACATTCTCTAAAACATATACAAAAAATTAGCCAGGGCTGGGCGCGGTGGCTCACACCTGTAATCCCAGCACTTTGGGAGGCAGAGGTGGGCAGATCACGAGGTCAGGAGTTCAGGACCAGCCTGGCCAACATGGTGAAACCCCGTCTCTACTAAAAATACAAAAAATTAGCTGGGCATGGTGGTGCACGCCCCTGTAATCCCAGCTACTCGGGAGGCTGAGGCAGGAGAATTGCTTGAACCCAGGAGGCAGAGGTTGTGGTGAGCAGAGATCATGCCATTACACTCCAGCCTGGGTGACAGAGCAAGACTCCATCTCAAAAAAAAAAAAAAAAAAAATTAGCCAGGAATGGTGGCACACATCTGTAGTCCCAGCTACAGATGGGAAGATTGCTTGAGCCACGAGATGGAGGCTGCAGTGAGCCATGATTGCACCACTGCACTCCAGCTTAGGTGACAGAATAAAACCCTGTCTCAATTAAAACAAAAAAAAATTCAAGTTCATCACTTTTTATTTTTCTGTAAACACCTAATGAAAACTAAGAACACACAGGAGGCCAGGCTGAGGAGTTTGGCTTTTCACCTGTGGACCTCCATGGAGAGTCAATGCAGATTCTATTTGTTTGTTTTGTCTTTTTCATCGAGATGGAATTCATATACAGTCAATCCTCCCTATTTGTGGATTCTGTATTTGCAAATTTGCTTAGTGGCTAAAACGTATTTGTAACCCCAGAATCAATGCTTGTGTTGCTTCTGTGGTCATTTGCAGACATGCACAGAGCAGTGAAAATTTTGAGTTGCTCAATGCACATGTTCCCAGCTGAACAAGAGGATTCTATGCCTTCTTGTTTTAGCTGTCATACAAAAACAAGTGTCTTTTTCTGTTTAGTGTCATGTGTTATAGTGCTATCGGCCATGAGTTCAATGTTAACCAACCAACAAAATATATTAAAATGTCTTTAAGCAGAAACACAGCTAAAACAAGGTTATGGTTATGTATTGATCAGTTGACAAAAATCTTGTGACCAGAGGCTCATAGGAACCTAACCCTGTATTTCCCCTAGGAGCAACGGGTCAGTATTTACTAATACTATGTTCATTGCAACTTTATAGAACATAACTATGACAAATAGTGATGATTGGTTGACTGTACCACAAGATTCACTTTTTAAAATCAGCCTTTTATATTTTGGTATATGCACAAGGTTATGCAACCATGACCGTCACTGCAGATTTTCAAGCAGTAAAATGGCCTCAAAGAGCAGCAGTTTGAGAATTATCTGTCCATCTTTCCCTGTCCCCTGATTTCTTTCTGGTCTCTTTCAGAATGCCCAGGAAAACCATGGGCTGGCTGTGCCCACCCCCTCGGTTCCAGATGATTTTGCAGACAAAGAAGTGACAGGTAAGTGAACCCTGGGCTTGGGGCTTGTCCATCTTTCTTTCCTCCTAGGGCCCTGAGTTCAAAAGCTAAGCATCTGCTCATCTTCACAGCTGGTGACAAAGCCAGAGTCCTCAGGCACAGCCACTCTCGCCATCCTCAGTCATCTTGATTACTGGCCGCAGTGGGCTAGGGCAGTGGGGCTGGGAGTTGAGGAGAGCCACGGTCAGTGAAGGCCCCTTTCTGGCGGGGGAAGGATGGCAAGGGGACAAAGCCAGAGCAGGAACAAGTGCAGCATAAAGTGGAAGAAGGGCCTGGCTTTGAATCCCAGCTCCCCACATATTCACTTTGCTCCCTTGGGCAAGACACTTCACCCCTCCTACCTCTGTATCTTCCAACGAACGATGGGAACAACAGTTCAGTTTGGAGGAGTAAATGAAGTGGTGGATGGGATGTATGTCATGTCTGTCACACCTCTCAGAGGTGCTTCAAACTCACTAATGGCTTCCCGTGTCACTCAGAGAAAAGGTTCTTGCAAGGACTGCTGGAGTCTGACCGGAGTCTGGCCACTTTGCTTGCTTGCTTTCCCCTCCCACACTGCCCCGGCCACAGCATCTCCTGTTGCTCCTGAAATACCCCAGGCACATTTCCGCCTTGGGGTCTTTGCACTGCAGACCTCTCAGGTTAGAATGCTCTTCTGCGAGGCATCTGTGTGGCCGTCTCCCTCACTCCTCCCTTCTTTGCTCAAATGTCACCTTCTCTGCGAGGCCTTCTCAGACTGCTTTATTTATTTATTTATTTATTTATTTGAGATGGAGTCTCGCTCTGTTGCCAGGCTGGAGGGCAGTGGTGTGATCTCAGCTCACTGCAACCTCTGCCTCCCGGGTTCAAGCAGTTCTCCCACCTCAGCCTCTGAGTAGCTGGGACCATAGGTGCACACCACCATGCCCAGCTAATTTTTGTATTTTTAGTAGAGACAGTGTTTCACCATGTTGGCCAGGATGGTCTCTATCTCTTGACCTCGTGATCCACCTGCCTCAGCCTCCTAAAGTGCTCGGATTACAGGTGTGAGCCACCGCACCCGGCCGGACTGCCCTATTTAAATTGCACCTGCTGCACCCCTCCCCTGCTGGTGTTTTTTCCCATCGCACTCATCCTCTAATGTGATAATAATGTACTCACACATTATGTTCATTGTCCCGTTCAAGCGTAAGCTCCCTAGGAGGACCAGTGTTTGTCTGTTTTTTGTTTTGTTGGTTTTTTTGCTGCTGTACCCCAGCTCCTAAGTCCTGCCTGACAGTTGGGTGCTCAGTGAATGTTAGTTTTCCCCTTCCCCACTCTTGGTTTCTTCAGTTTGAAGTCAGGCAGCTGGGAGGAGCCCTTCAGAGCCGCACACTCCCCAGGTTCGCCACACTGTTAGGGACTGAGAGGAGGGGAGCAAAGGATGGGTGCCCCTAAGAAGGAAGTAGACTCTGGGAGAGGGGCTGGGGACCTGGTCCGAGGACAAGAGAGGGATGTGCGCTGCTGGGGCCAGGGGCTCTCAGCATCTCTTTAGCACCCAGATTGTCCAGGCCACCTTCCTTCTGCACACCCCTGTTCTATTCTGCAGTCCAGAATCTGCCTCCATTCTCTATGAAGTGGACAGCTGGGTTCTTAATAGTTTCAGGGTCTTTAGAAAGCAGGAGTAGTTTGTGCAAATTGCTCCCTCCTGCGGGTCTCTCACCCAGCCTTCCTCACTGAGGAGGTCTCTCGCCCCTGCCCCATGACTTCCTATCTCTTTCCCACCTTCCCTGTCTCACACAGTCTGAAAAGTTAAGCACAGATGGTAGGAATCAAAGTGGTTCCATTTTATTAAATGCCTACTGGAGGCCTGGCACCATGACAAGCCCTTTCTGTGTATTTGCATGGATTCTCTCATTTAATCCTCACAACAGCTGTAAGAAGCGAGCACTGACATCATGCCCCTTTGACAGATGAGGAAACTGAGGCTCAGCAAGGTTAATTAGTGTGTTCAAGGTCACTCATCTAATAAGTGGTAGAGCTGGGATTTGAACCCTGGACTTTCTGGCTTGGCCAAGGTCAAGGTCCCAGCAAGAAACAGATGGCGCACTCAAAGGGGATAACTGAAGAGAGTTGAGTAAAGGGACAGTATACCAGAGTGTGAGCTTGGTTAGGCGACTCTTGTCTCCTGGGGACAGTGACACCCAGGGACTGAACATAGTGGGAGAGGGACACCCCGACAGGACCTGTGTCTGCGGGGCAGGAAAGACAGCTGCTGCCAACCTGTGACGCAGCCAGGAGGCAGCCAGAGGAATCAGTGCCCTGGCCCTCTTGTCCCCACCCCCCATCTCAGGGGGCAAGGGAGTCCCGGCACAGGTTAGAGGGTGACTCTGGGGAGGCAAATGGAGGTAATTCCATACAGGCTTCAAAGGCTGTGCCAGGGACAGGCAGGAGACGCTCCCTAGAAAGAAGGGGGGACACCCCCAGGACAGCTCAGGAGACTGGACACAGGGCTGCTCCCTCTCTTGGTGTTCAGGAGAAAATGATCCAGTCATTCTCTTGGGTGCCCACCCCTGCCCCTGCCCTGGGTAAACAGAAATTGGCAGGGCTAGTCTGCCTTGTTCCTGCCCCCCATCTTTGCCTCTCCTTCTTTCAGGTACCAGCTCACTAGTCAATGGCAACCTCCGACTGTACAGCTCTGTGGGTGACCTGAGGCCTGGACAATATGGCCAGGATCTACTCATCCCCCCACCTCCCCCAGGCCCAGCCCCAGGGCCCCCTCAGGACATTTCAGAACCTCCAGGGGGGTCGCCACTGCCATCTCCACCTTCCACAGCACCCCCACCACCTCCCCTGCTGCTGGAACCCCCACCCCCGCCCAGCATGGCCCCACCTCCACCCCCAGTATTGGAGGCCCTATCCCCACCACACACTCTTTCCTCCCCATCCATACCCACCCCTCCTGACTTCATTCCCCCTGCCCCACCCTTGGCCTTTCTAGCCCCCCCACCGCCTCCTGTGCCAGCCCCAGCACCCCCAGCTCCAGCATCTCCTCACACAGTGGGGACTCGTCTCTTTCCCCCTGGGGGTGTCACCAAGTGGAAATCAGATGTAGCACTGAATGGCAGGCAGGCAGAGGCCACCAGAGCCAGCCCCCCGAGAAGCCCTGCTGAGCCAAAGGGGAGCGCCCTGGGACCTAACCCAGAGCCCCATCTCACCTTCCCCCGTTCTTTCAAAGTGCCTCCCCCAACCCCAGTCAGGACTTCGTCCATCCCAGTTCAGGAAGCACAAGAGGCTCCCCGAAAGGAAGAGGGGGCCACCAAGAAGGCTCCCAGCCGACTCCCACTGCCTCCCAGCTTCCACATCCGCCCCGCCTCCCAGGTCTACCCAGACAGGGCCCCCGAGCCAGACTGCCCTGGGGAGCTCAAGGCCACAGCACCAGCCAGCCCAAGGCTTGGCCAGTCCCAGTCCCAAGCAGATGAACGAGCTGGGACTCCGCCTCCAGCCCCTCCCCTGCCCCCTCCTGCACCCCCCCTCCCTCCCCCAGCACCCCCACTTCCCCCAGCTGCACCTCCTTTGCCCTGTGCTCAGAAGGCAGCCCATCCACCTGCTGGGTTTACAAAAACCCCTAAATCCAGCTCTCCTGCTCTCAAACCCAAACCCAACCCCCCCAGCCCAGAGAACACAGCGTCTTCAGCACCTGTGGACTGGAGGGACCCCAGCCAGATGGAAAAGCTGCGGAACGAGCTGGCAGCCTATCTCTGTGGCTCCAGGAGAGAGGACCGATTCCTCAGTCACAGGCCAGGCCCAACAGTGGCCCCTCAGAGCAAGGAGGGCAAGAAGGGCCCCCGCCTGCCTGAGAAGGAGACTCTCCTGAGCCTGCCAGCAAAGGACACTCCCCCAGGTGTTCCTGAAAAGAGTCTTGGCGGCAGCAGCCTGACAGAGACAGAGGCTGCCCCCAGCCTGACCCTGCCCTCTGTGGACTACATTCCCCAAGACTCTCCAACTCCCAGTGTGCGGCAGATCCGGAATGAGCTGGAGGCCCGGCTCTCCTCAGCAGCAGAGAAGGAGGCTAAGCCCAGCATAGGATCTCTGCCCCCTAAGCCTCGGCTAGAAGGGGGAAGAATTTGTGAAAACGGGGCTGATGATGACAAACTCTCCAAGCCTGTGGCCAAGAATCTGCCACCTCAATCCACCACCCTGCTGCCAACTACATCACTCCAGCCCAAGGCTATGTTGGGACCAGCCATACCACCCAAGGCCACACCTGAGCCAGCCATACCACCCAAGGCTACACTTTGGCCAGCCACACCACCCAAGGCCACACTTGGGCCAGCCACACCACTCAAGGCCACATCTGGGCCAACCACACCACTCAAGGCCACATCTGGCCCTGCCATAGCATCTACAGCCACAACTCTGCCCACCACCACATCCCAACTGATGGCAGAGAAGGACTCAGGCCCAGCTGGCCAGCCAGAGAAGCCAGCATCTCAAGAAGTTTCCACTCCCTCCCAGGCAAGGGGAGAGGGGTCCCCCTCAGAGGCCACTAGGCTGCCCACACAGGGAGCCCGCTCATCTGCAGCCTTCCCACCAAAGACATCTCCTGGTGGAGGAGAGGTGCCATGTCTCTACAAGCCCCACTGCCACCAGAGCAGCCTCAGCCGTGAGGTTGCTGTGGTGATGCCCACCCTGGCCAGAGGAGGGGCTGCAGGGCCAGGGGAGCCCGTGGAGGTGAAGGAGCCCCCAGGGCTGCCAGCCAAGCCTCCTGCCTCGGCCCAGCCCACTGATGAACTCCTCAGGCACCCGGTGACTGGGGAGGTGGTGGAGCGGGGCTCGCCGATGGCCCTGCTCCTGGCGGCCAGGCAGAGGGCTCAGAAGGGAAGGTCTGTAGGGGCTGCCCTGGGTCGGTCCTCTCTGCCAGGAAGTCTCCGTGACCACAGCCACCAAGCCGAGGCCAGCTCTGACAGCATCTTCCACAGCCAGGGCACGCCCAACTCCTTCACTGTGGTGCCCAAGTTACCCAAGGAGGCTGAGAAGGACTCCCCGCTGACGACCGAAATACCCAATAAGTGGGGGCCGCGGCTGGGAAGAGACGCAGAGGGCACAGAGCTGAGCCGCAGGCACAACTGGACAAAGCCAGAGCCCCAGGCCCCTGTGGCCTGGGAAAGAGTAGCTCCCTCCAACCTCCCCCAGGGCCACCCGCTGCCCAAGTCCTTCTCCTCCCCACCTTCTCCTTCGAACAAGAGGGAGGAGGAGGAGGAGGAGTTCAACTTCGAGGTCATCCCACCGCCGCCAGAGTTCAGCAATGACCCTGAGCCCCCGGCCCCGGCCCTCCAGTATCTGGGCCGCCAGAGCTCCCCTCCCCGGAACAACTACTCAGACTTGAGGCAGCTCCCGAACGCTGGCCCCGGGGCGCCCCCGGCTCTCGGCTTCTCGCGCTTTCCCGCGGGCGCGCGCTACGCCGGGGCTGGGGGCCTGGAGCGCTTCTCGGGAGGGGGCCGCTCGCTCATAAAGAAGCGCCTGTACGTCGGGGAGCCGCACCGAGGCCCAGGGCTACCCCACGGTGGCACCGGCCGCAGCCTGAGCTCTCCCAACTGCTTCGGGCCGCAGCCCGGAGGCCCCGAGATGCGGCGCGTGAACTCGGCGGGTCGCGCGCCCCCCGGAGGCCTGCACGCGCCGAGGCTGTCCCTGGAGGGCGCCGCCCGGGGCGCCGCGGAGGCCAAGCACAAAGCGCCCGGCAGCGCCGACTACGGCTTCGCCCCAGCTGCCGGCAGGTGAGCTGCGGGCCCGGCTGGTGCGGGAAGCCAGGAGGGGTGGAAAGCCAGGCGAGGGCCAAGGAGTCCCGGCCATCCGTCAAGAGAAAACATTTGGTTTTCTCCCTTCGGCCTTGCAGGTAGAACGCGGGAGGGAGGCCCACTTACCGGGAGAGGGCGCTGTTGGCGCCTTCCTGACCTCCCTCCTGACCTCCCTTCTCTTTCCCCACCAGCTCCTCTCGTCTGTCTCTCTCCTGCCCGCTAGATCCCAGAGGTCAGGCTAAGTGTGGGGCGGGGAGAGATCTGAGTGGCCCTTGGGTGGAGGGATTTCCCAACACAGAGTTGGATCCCGACACAGGCCAGGAGTGAAAGAGTTCTGAGTGAAAGGCTGTTAGGCATGTTCTCCGGCCAGCAGGGCCCAGACCAGAATGGGAGCCCTGTTTGTGATGTCTGCGGTCCCTCCCTGGGGTCGATAAGCCCAGGGCTTGTCGGGGCAAATACAGAAGTATGAGCAGCATCTTTTCCTCTCGGTCCCTCGGGGAGATGAGAGACGTGTTGGCTAACCAGCTGCAGATATTCACCTCACATCTCTTGCTCTCCCCCAGGTCTCCCTACACCACCACCCGCTATGGAAGCCCCATCAACACGTTCACCGTGAGGCCTGGGACCCGCCATCCCATCTCCTATGTCTGCTCAGGGGCCCATCGGAAAGCCACCTCCTGAGCCAGGGGTTCTCTTAGCTCTACTCCAACAAACTGTGTCTTTAAGGATCTGGGCACTTGTTTCTTGTGGGGGGTGGGAGGTACACAGCAGGTGTTGGGCGACCTGACTCAGACACAGAGGAGTCTTTGATCCCCAAAGACCAACGATGAGAAGCAGTGGCCCAGGAAGACCGAGAGTGGGCTTCTGTTTCCCAAAGCGCTGGTGTGACTGTGGACTGTTTACACGTGGGGGGTGGGAGGGGAAGGAGGGTAGAGAGAAGGAACCATTAAGGACCTGGGCGCTGAGTTTCTGCTCTCTGGTACTATCTGCTTTAGCAAGAGTTATTTAAAACAGTTTTACAAGCACGGCCTACTGAGCAGGTTCTGAAAGCAAGGGGTGGGGCACTGACTGAACTGGAACCCATCGAGATAGCTGTGATTGCCTGTCAGGCCCTTGCAAAGGGCTGAGGCCCAGCTCTGTCTGGTGGGTGTGCAGGGCACCGAAGGGAGATCTTTAGCCTCCATCACCTGCCATCCCAAGCAAGAGTGGACACCTGGGGTTCCTAGCCGCATTGAGGTGGGACCAGGAATGTGTATGTATAACATGTGGAGAAGGACCATGTGTGGGGTGGGGAGTGAAGCTCCCACATGTGGAATGGAAGCCCTTTGCATTGGCCAAGGGCAGAGGTGGGAGATTGATGGTTCATTTTTCCTTGGCCCTAGCCCTTAGCTACAGGGAGGCCTAGAGAGAGGACACTTGGCAAGTTTAGGATGGGAAACAAGGTTAAGCCTGGCTTTGCTATTCAGACCTGTGCAGCCCTGATTTTGGGGACTGGGCCCAAGGAGCCATGAGTCTTAGGCTTGACACTAGGGGCCTTACATGGCCAGGTCTCATATGGGATTTGGAGAAGGCATTTTTCCTAACACTGATACTACAAGTCACCAATACTCTTGATGCCTTAAGATGCTAGAAAGCCTTGGAGAGTGGAGGCAGCAGAGATGGGAATGGAGGTCTGAAGAAGCTTGCTGCTGTTGGGGAATGTGTTTGGGAAAGTCAAGAGTGGTAGGATTGGTTGGCTGGGCGCGGTGGCTCACACCTGTAATCCCAGCACTTTGGGAGGCCGAGGCCGGTGGATCACTTGAGGTCAGAAGTTCGAGACCAGCCTGCCCAAATGGTGAAACCCCATCTCTACTAAAAATACGGAAAAAAAAAAAAAAAGAGTGCTAGGATTGGGCCAGTTAAGAGCAGGGGAGACCTGGCTGGGCATGGTGGCTCACACCTGTAATTCTAGCACTTTGGGAGGCTGAGGCGGGTGGATCATGAGGTCAAGAGATTAAGACCATCCTGGCCTACATGGCGAAACCCTGTCTCTACTAAAAATAAAAAAATGACCTGGGCATGGTGGTGGGCGCCTGTAGTCCCAGCTACTCGGGGCGCTGAGGCAGGAGAATCGCTCGAACCCAGGAGGTGGAGGTTGCAGTGAGCCGAGATTGCACAATTGCACTCCAGCCTGGCGACAGAGCGAGACTCGTCTCAAAAAAAAAAAAAAAAAAAAAAAAAGGAGCAGGGGAGACCTATCAGTAGGGTGACCACGTGTCCTTTGCCTGGGCAGTCCAGGTTTATGCTTGTTTTCCAGTGAATTAGACCCCCTTCCACTTTTCAAAAAAGTCCTGGTTTAGATGCTGTGATCACCAAACATATCAGGAAACAATATTCCTTGGTCTTGCTTCCCTATCTTCAGGTACTGGTGGGCCAAATTCCTGGGACCAGGTCAAGGTGGGCTGCCTCAGTAAGAAGGAAGGACTGGAGAGTGCCCATTTCAGAGGAGCAGGCTGGTGGGGGCCAGCCAGAAAGTAGTTCCCTTTGGGGGGAAGATGTTGGACCTTTATTATTTGTGGTAACCAGCCGAGGCTGGTTGTCAGGACAGCAGGTGAGCCACTTTAGGGAAGAAAGTGCAGGGGTGGGTGGATGCCCAGATTACCAAGGCCAGCCACCCTGATGGGGTAGGGTCTGGTTATCTGTGTTCAAGAAGCAAATCCCACCCCAGCCCCAGCACTAGCTCTCTATGTATGTATTTTCCCTGTACAATGTTTTATAAAAGAGATCATTAATTTATCTGCTATGTTAAGGCTCGAGGGGTGGGGCGTAGACTCTCAGCTGTATATTGCTCTGGGGTGGGCAGGGAAGGCTGAGTCTCACTTGACTTGGAAGATAAACAGGCCAGTTTGGACTGGCCTCCAGCTCCGTGGCTGTGTTTGTCTAACAAGGATTTGGGTAACTACTGGATACAAGCCACTGTGCTTAGTATGGATAGACTGCCATCAGCTCACCCACATGACTCCTGTTCATGGCAAGCTAATAGTCTGTCTGGTGGAAGAGGATTGAAAAAGCACACAAAAACATCATAAATTACAAGGAGTAGTAAGAAGGAAAAAACAGGGAACGTGAGAGAATAACTAGCGAGTGGGGAGAGGAGTGGATTTACTTTAACAGGGTAGTCAGGGAAGGCCTCTTGTGGTGGTGACATACTGATTTAGGCAAAGCGTCCAGCACGTGCCTAGCGCTTAGTAGTTGCTCAGCAAATGGCATCTTTGGGTGATGAATACCTCACATTTGTATATGGCCTGTCACAGTTTTCCATAAAGCTTTTTTTTTTAAGGCCATCTTGACGTCATACTTTTAGAATATTTTATTTTATTATTATTATTATTTTAGACGGAACCTTGCTCTTTCACCAGGCTGGAGTGGAGTGGCATGATCTTGGCTCACTGCAACCTCTGCCTCCCAGGTTCAAGCGATTCCCTGCCTCAGCCTCCTGAGTAGCTGGGACTACAGGCATGCGCCACCACACCCAGCTAATTTTTGTATTTTTTAGTAGCGATGGGGTTTTACTGTGTTGCCCAGGCTGTTCTTGAACTCCTGACCTCATGATCCACCCACTTCGGCCTCCCAAAGTGCTGGGTGGGCGTGAGCCACCGCACCCGGCCCCCAATTTTTTTTTTCCAAAAAAGTAACCAGAAAAGTCATCTCAAGACAGTGTTAGAGAAAGCGTTGTGTTTCCTCCTCTGAGTCTTTTGTGGGGGCTTTATGGGAAAGGGAGGATGACTCACTTACTCTGAAATCTGGGCTTCCAGGAAGGGCCTCTCCCATCCTTGGAGCCTCCTCATTCTCCTGTCTCTCACTGTCCCCCCACCTCTACCATGATGTCCTCATTCTGGAAACCCCGAGCAGGGATAGTGGCTTGGGCCCTTCGTCTGGCTTTTCTCCCCACACTTGCTCCCTTCTAACATTTTCTCCCTCATCTGACATGGAAGGGGCAATGGTTAACCCAGGAGGGAGGGCAGAGAACAAGGGCCCCACATCCTGGCTCTGCCTCTGACAAGCTGTGTGACCTTGGGTATCAGCTGACTCATCGGAGAAGTGAGGAGGACGGACTTGGGCCGTGTCTGGATATTAAACTTTGTTGGGTCCCTGACCTCTTTGAGAAACTGATGCATGCTTCTCAAGAGGCCGCAAGTGCATTTTACACACTATTTCAGGCACCCCACAGATCCCCCAGATTCAGGCTCCACAGGCTTCATGTTGAAAACTCCTTAAGTGACAGTGGTCAAGGTACCCACCAACACTTATTTAACCTTGACAGTTTGCAAAGTTCCTTCTCTCTCTCGTTTACCTGTGACAGTCCTCTAAAATGTGCCAGCCGTGTAATACTCCTAATTGCATTTTGTTGTTGAGGAAATGAAGGCCCCGGGAAGAGACGTGAGTTGCTCAGAATGGCCCCTCTGACTGGAAACCCTGTTCTTTCTGCGTGAATCATCACAGCTGCCTCCCTTATAGCTGTAACCACTCTCCCCACCCACTTATCCTCTCCCGGTTGTACTCCCCAAACTTTACCTCTATTAGAGTGGTGGAGAAGAGGCTGAGTAGGCTAAAGCTACCCTGGTGCCAAAAAAGGTTAATGGGCATGGGCGGGGCAGATGTTCCTGGATCAGATTAGCCACACCTTGGTTTCTGAAGCCGTTTCACTGTTCCCTGGGCCAGAACTCCACCCCACCTCTCTTGTGAAGCCCAGCCTGGCCGAAAGCAACAGCTAGGACAGGTCCCGGGAAAAGCTGAGCTGGAAGCCTGGGGCCTGGCGCCAGCAATATATAAAGGGGCCTGTCGTGAAAAAGGTCAAGCTCAGCTTTTGTCACGGCCAGGCTTGTTCAAGGAGAGAGGCTTCCCCTCACTCCCGGTGAGCCCTTCTGTGCAAAGCTGTAGGACAGAGGTGACTCCGGAACCTGGAGGGGTGAGGCAGAGGCCACCTCGCTGCTGAGCTGTCAGGCAGGCCTGCCCCCACCTGCCTACCCAGGCAGACTGTGGCCACTTCCCTTTCAGCAGCTCAAAGGCCATGCTCATGCCCCATCATCAGTCAGCTGTATGGGAAGGGTGGACACTGGCACCCATCAGAGAGCCTGGGCCCCCTCCCTCCGAAGCCCCAGGGATGGCCAGAGTCTGAGCCCTGCTGTTGGGGCCTCTGGGATGCTTTTTGCCAGCAATGTGAGAAAAGGTGCTCTTCTGGGAGAGAGGAAGAGACCCAGGCAATTTATTATGAATGCTCCCCGTTGTATGGATAATCCTGTGCTCCTCTGCCCAATTCCCGCACCTCTGGAAACTTCATTCACATTTGGC
Source organism: Homo sapiens (assembly GCF_000001405.40). Taxonomy (NCBI): domain Eukaryota; kingdom Metazoa; phylum Chordata; class Mammalia; order Primates; family Hominidae; genus Homo; species Homo sapiens. The sequence goes on along the minus strand of NC_000006.12, from coordinate 42,099,110 downwards.
ACAGATGAGCCACTCCTCCCTCCTTCCCCTTGAGAATCGTTCTCTGAGCCTGTGCAGAACAAGGTGCTCCGATCCTCTATCTTGCACACTGGCTCCTTTCCTCCCCCCAACTGTCTCCCTGTCCACCCTGTCGTCGGCTCTCCAGTCCTCCTTCTGTAGTTTCTTCCTCAGAAGACAGTGTCGCCCCTCATGCTCACCTGTACCAGGGGTCCATATTTCTAACTTTGGAAGTGCCTCCTGGACATGTCCATGTGGTTGCCTGGCCATCCACTCAAATCCAGCCTCTCCAAAAGGAATGATTCTCCCCTACTTCCTTCTCACACAATTGTGTGGCCAGAGTAGCCGGACCAATGGCTCCAAACTACCCCCAAATACTCATCCCCGCCTCACTGCTTGGGCCCCCTTGGCTTCCCCTAGGCCAGCTCACACTCAAGGTCCAGCTTGGATCGGAGCTCCTACAGGAAGCCTTCCCCAGCCCTGCTCTGCTCGGAGACCTCTTCCTCCTCCATACCTACCTCTCCCACTTCTGTGGCAGGCTCTTCTTTATCCTCAGGCTTCAGCTCAGACATCCCTCACCTGCTAGGCCACAGCAGCTCCTGCAAAGCTTCCCACGGTCCCTGCTGCTCTCCCTCCCCGCACCTAGTGTTACTTGGTCTACATCTCTCTCCCAGCAACTTGTAAGCTCCACAACGTAAGGACGCCTCACTCATCACAGTATCCCCAGCATCTGGTGCTGCTCCTGGCACCAGCAGGTGCTCACTATATTGAGTTTATTGATGAATACAAGTTAGTACTTAATCAAATATCATCAAGCACTGTGTAAGTTCCTTGGCTGGGCGCGGTGGCTGACACCTGTAATCCCAGCACTTTGGGAAGGTCGAGAGGGATGGATCACGAGGTCAGGAGTTCAAGACCAGCCTGACCAACATGGTGAAACCCTGTCTCTACTAAAAATACAAAAAAATTAGCCAGGCGTGGTGGTACACGCCTGTAATCCCAGCTACTCAGGAGGCTGAGGCAGGAGAATTGCTTGAATCTGGGAGGTGGAAGTTGCAGTGTGGAACTTAATCTAATGCTGAGGTTATCAGGCTGAGGGAAGGTTTAGTTTTAGGGATGAGTCTCTAAGGTCTCATCATAAAGGTGTCCAGATGCCTTGGAGTGGCTCCTGCCTGGTGGGCTGAGATACTGCATCCTCTAAGTAGAGACATGAGCTAGGATGTTATGGCACCAGGTGAGGGAGTCCTGGTCCTCAAAGGATCTCAGGCAGCCCTCTACACCCCACCAGTGAGCCAGCCACAGGGGCGGCCAGCTCCAACAATCCAAGTGACTTGCACTCTGTTGCTTTTTCCCTTTTGAGCTCCTTTGGTCTTCAGCAAACTTACTTGGTGCCACAGCCTATCTCAGCTGTGGACCAAGGGTAAAGTTTCCATTACATGTGGGCGGGAGAATTGAGAAGGAAAGCACCTCTGGGGGCCAGGGTGGCAGAAGCCAGCCAGGTCCGACCTGTTCACCAGCCCTCCCCACCTGCAGAGCCCACCTTCAAGAGGAAAGCCTTACAGTTCTAGGTTTGGTTTTTATTAAGGAGTGAGCTCCCTGCACAAGGTTTTGAGGGCCTAGCAGGGGTCTAAGCACAGAGTGGGGACCCAGTAGACTTGCTGTTTTGAATCTCTTCCATCTCAGCATAGGATCATTAGCCCTAATGCTACTCTCAGAAGTGGGACACTGGCTTCTCATTTTCTTTTCTTTCTTTCTTTCTTTTTTTTTTTTTTCCTGAGGCAGGGTCTTGCTCTGTCGCCCAGGCTGGAGTGCAATAGTGCCATCATAGGTCACAGCCTCCAGAGCTCAAGTGATCCACCTCAGCCTTCCTGGTAGCTGGGACTACAGGCATTCACCACCAGGCCTGGCTAATTTTTTTTTTTTTTTTGAGATGGAGTCTTGCCTTGTCGCCCAGGCTGGAGTGCAGTGGTGTGAGATCGGCTCACTGCAACCTCCACCCCCCATGTTCAAGCAATTCTCTGCCTCAGCCTCCTGAGTAGCTAGGATTACAGGCGCCCGCCACCACACCTGGCTAATTTTTGTATTTTTAGTAGAAACAGGATTTCACCATCTTGGCCAGGCTGGTCTTGAACTCCTGACCTTGTGATCCACCCGCCTCGGCCTCCCAAAGTGCTGGGATTACAGGCGTGAGCCACCGTGCTCTTCCTAATTTTTGTCTTTATTTTTTGTAGAGACACGGTCTCGTTAGGTTGCCCAGGCTGGTCTTGAACTCTTGGGCTCAAGCAATCCTTCTGCCTCAGCCTCCCAAAGTGCTGGGATTACGGGCAAGAGCCACCGCACTTATACTCCCTTCTCATTCTTGAAAATGGAATATTTTCAGTCTTGTCTTCTACAGACTGAGCCTTCTGACTCCTTTCAGCTTTCCTCACTGCAGAGAAGCATCTCCTGCCGCTTTTCATTGTTGCCTTAGTTTATTTTCTGAGCCATTCAAGAGGGTTTGGTAGGCTCCTACTTTCTCTGTCTCTCTCTGGGCTACCCCATCTGTCATCTTCCTGCCTTTTGGTTCACAACTTTCCAGCATTTGTTCTAATAGCTAAGGGCAGCACAGAATTCCACCAATGCAATTCAACACTGCGAGGGGGCGCCACTCAGTACAAGCCAAGGAACCTCGCAAGAGGCTCACAGTTGAGTGTGGAAGACAGACGTACACACAAATAACTGGACTATGGAGCAGGAGAATGCAAAGCTCTTCCACCCAGGAGAGCCCGGTGGCCCAAGAGAGCACGGGACCACATGGGGCACTGTTGGGTTGTCCTTGTGGGTGTCCTCTCTTGCTGGCCTGTGACCCTTGTGGGAGCACGTGCATGAGCTGGGCAGAGGAATGAGGGATGCCCTTTGTGTGCTTATTTTTCCTACAGAGTGAGTTGTGGTCTTTCGGTGACCTCTCTTGGCCATTTAAAGCTGCCCTTGACATTCACTTTAACTGGATTCTCCAGGGAGAGGAGAGGGGAGTGCCAGAAGGCACCTGTGTAATTTACCCTGGTGTCCAGCACCGCAGTCTTAGCCTGGCATCCCCGTGTGTGCATGTGGAGTGGGCATTAGCCAACAGGTGGCACTTTGCTCACAAGTGCCTGAAGTTTGTGTGACTGGTGGGGTTCAGGTTCAGACTGAGATCCATCTGAGGTTGACATGGCTTCTCCTAGGATCCAGGCACAAAGCTAGGTGCTGTCTGGCACACCAGTCATTCTCAAAACTCAGAAGTGCATCAGAAGCACTTGTCAAAACACAGGTGTGTGGGACTTGTTCCAAAGCTCCTGATTCAGTGGGTTTGGGATGGGGCTGGGGAATTCACATGTCTTTCTTTTTTTGTTGTTTTTTGAGATGGAGTCTCACTCTGTCTCCCAGGCTGGAGTGCAGTGGTGCGATCTCGGTTCACTGCAACCTCTGTCTCCTGGGTTCAAGCAATTCTCCTGCCTCAGCCTCCCGAGTAGCTGGGATTACAGGCACCCACCAACATGCCTGGCTAATTTTTGTATTTTTAATAGAAATGGGGTTTCATCATGTTGGTGAGGATGGTCTCGAACTCCTGACCTCAGGTGATCCACCCACCTCGGCCTCCCAAAGTGCTGGGGTTACAGCGTGAGCCACCACACCTGGCTGGGAATTCACATTTCTAACAAGTTTCCAGATGAGGCTGCAAGTCCTGATGGTACAGGGATGGCACTTTGAGAACCCCTGCTGTGCAGTGTCATGTGTCATCACCTCATCTCCCTTAGGGCAGATAGTGCCACTCCCAGCTTACCAAAGAAGAAACTACAGCCTCCACAGGCCAAGTGACCTTGCCAAGGCCACACAGCTGGAGGGTGCTAGGGAGCCAAACTGCACCTGCTGCACTGCCTTTTGCCCCCAGGGCAATGTGGCTGGGGTGGGTGTGACAGCATCTCTCCAAATTTTTGTTCCAGAGAGGGCAGTAAGTAGAGAGGGCAGGCTTGGGGTAAGCAGTACTGGGAGGTGGTCATAGAGTCACTGTTAGGCTAACAGTCATTCCTTGGGTGGCCATAATGTTTTAAAGACACTTTCAGCAAGGCACAGTGGTGCATGCCTGTAGCCCCAGCTACTTGAGAGGCTTGCTTGAGCCCAGGAGTTTGAGACTGGCCTAGGCAACATAGTGAGACCTCATCTCAAAAAATATTTAAAAATAAAAATAAGATACTTTTGCTTCTATCTATCTATCTATCTATCTATCTATCTATCTATCTATCTACCTATCTTAGAGACCGGGTCTTACTGTGTTGCCCAGGCTGCTGTGCAGTGGCATGACCATGGCTCACTGAATCCTTGAACTCCTGGACTCAAGTGATCCTCCCACTCAGCCTCCTGAGTAGCTGGGACTACAGGTGCACACCACCATGCCTCACTAATTAAAAACATTTTTTTTTTTAAAGATGGGGTGTAGGCCGGGCACGGTGGCTCACGCCTGTAATCCCAGCACTTTGAGAGGTTGAGGTGGGCAGATTACGAGGTCAAAAGATCGAGACCAGCCTGGCCAACATGGTGAAACCCCATCTCTACTGAAAATACAAAAATTAGCTGGGCGTGGTCACGCGCACCTGTAGTCTCAGCTATTCGGGAGGCTGAGGCAGGAGAATCACTTGAACCCAGGAGGCGGAGGTTTCAGTAAGCCGAGATTGCGCCACTGCACTCCAGCCTGGCGACAGAGTGAGACTCCATCTCAAAAAAAAAAAAAAAAAAAAAAAAGATGGGGTGTCGCTGTGTTGCTCAGGCTTGCTTCTGTTTCAATCAAGCCTCATGATACTGGTCAGCAAGCACTCACAATGGGTGCTACACTGTCTCCCTGACCCTCTCCCTTTCCAGGACTGAAGCTTTCACACCCCCAGCCAGCAGCTGGCAGTCCCTCCCCAGGAACTGTCCTTCCCGGGAGAGCCACCTCACCCAAGGTCACGCCCACACCCTAGAGGCAGCTCACATTCACTAAGTCCCTCCCCTCAATGCGGGACAACTCTGAAGGTCCTTGCAGACCAGGGCGCCCCTCCATTGCAAGTGCAGGCAGCCCAGCTTTTCCCTGTGCTCACTTCTCCCTCTCCCATGCCAGTGTGCTTCTTGAGGGCACTCCCAGCAAACTTGCTGCACACAAACCTCAGTCTCCTGGGGAGCCTGTCCTGCAACAGCTTATTAGGTACCAGGCACGATCCTAGGCACTTTACGCATATTATTTCATACTATCCTCCCAACAACCCCAAGAGGCAGGCACTTTTATTATCAAAGGCTATGTAACTTGTCCAAGGTCACAGAGCTAGCAAGCCAGAGAGCCAGGGTTGTCATGCAGGGAGTTGGGCTCCGGGGCTCTGAAATGTTACAACACTGTCTTAATTCCTATAGTCTAGCTTGAGGAAATTAGACAGAAGAAACAGTGAAGATGTATTCTGATTTGAGGGGGGAATAAATCTCAGCCGGGCACGGTGGCTCATGCCTATAATCCCAGCACTTTGGGAAGTTGAGGCGGGTGGATCATTTGAAGTCAGGAGTAGAAACTAGCCCCATTTCTACTAAAAATACAAAAGAAAAAATTAGCCGCGTGTGGTGGTGGGTGCCTGTAATCCCAGCTACTCAGGAGGCTGAGGCAGGAGAATCGCTTGAACCCAGGACACAGAGGTTGCAGTGAGTCGAGATCGCGACACTGCACTCCAGCCTAGGGGACAGAACAAGACTCCGTCTCAAAAAAAAAAAAAAATCTCTGTTGCCCCAGTTTTCTACCAGTCTCACTTTAGTTTCTGAATATGCAGCCCCCTGGTGTCTTAGTTGACTTTAATGGTTCTTATCCAGGGCCAATTTTGCTTCCCAGAGGATATTTGGTGATATCTGGAAGATCTGGAGATATTTTTTCATTGACATCCTAGGGGGATAGTAAGGGCATTCAGCAGGTAGAGGCCAAGGGTGCTACTAAATGTCCTACAATGTACAGGGCAGCCTCCCACAACAAATCTAGCTAAATGTCGGTAGTACTGAGGTTGAGAAACCCTGTGCTCTAGCTGGAAGCCTGGTGTCCTGGCTGGTTTTACCCTGAAGGAGTCCCAGTGTGATGACTGCTTGGGAGTGGACTTTGGTGAAGGTGGTGAGAGATACTTGAGCATGGGAGTGGAGAGAAGGTTTGGAGGGCAAACCTCCAAGGATTTCATGATCCTTGAAGGACAAATATTATCCCAAGTTAGTTCAAGGGAAGATCACACAGAGCTTCTGGTTAATAGCAGTGGCTGAGCTCTGAAGGCACCCCTTTTCCTCGACCAGGAAGCTCCTAGGGTAATGTAGTGGACCAGGCATTTCCTACCCTCCTCCCAACTCCCCTGTAAACGTGTACACTGATGGCCGGGCACATCTGTAATCCTGTGTAGCTCACACCTGTAATCCCAGCACTGTGGGAGGCTGAGGCAGGCGAATCACTTGAGGCCAGGAATTGGAGACCGGCCTCACCAACATGGCAAAACCCTGTCTCTACTAAAAATACAAAAATTAGCCAGCTGTGGTTGTGCACGCCTGTAATCCCAGCTACTGGGGAGGCTGAGGCAGGAGAATCGTTTGAACTCGGGAGGTGGAGGTTGCAGTCAGCCGAGATCACACCACTGCACTCCAGCCTGGGTGACAGAGCGAGATACTGTCTCTAAAAAAAAAAGAAAAAAAATTAAATAACCTAGAATGGGCAGGGGGTTGTGGGGGATCCTCCTCCCTAAGCGCTTATCTTGGTGCTTCCAGCTCAGTCTGGCCAATTCCACCTCTATGAGATAAGGAGGGTTCAGAGAACCCAGTCACTTTGCTGTTTTTCTGCCCACAAGTTTCTCTAATAAATCTTATTCTATGTCTACACAGCATGGCTAGAGGTGAGTGTTCTGAGCCCCTGCATGCCCAGGCCTTACCAAGGAATACCACCTTAAACAGTCAGTTCACTACTTCCCTACCACATGGTACATTTGTCTAGGGCAGCTAAGAGGGGGCAGGGAATAGTGGCCCACTGCAGAACAAAACAAAATAAAACAATATGACAAAAACAAAGAGAACACAACCACCAGATGGGATCAAGCTGTTCGGGAAGGCAGGGAACTGCAGCCCAACAATCCTTCCAAGTATTCTAGATGGGTTCTTTCCTTGGATCTATCGAGAGGTAAGCCTGGGATAACAGACATGACGTCCTCAACTCTCACCCACCCTGATGACTTCCAGCCCTCCCCCGAATGCCACTCATGGAGCCAGCTACCAACTCAGTGTTTCCACTTGGCTGCCTAATGGCATCTCGCACTTAACAGGTGCACAGCTGAGCGAGCACCTGAGTCCCGCCTGGCCTCCCACACCCAGAGCCTTCTCCACCTCAGGGCGCAGAGCCGCATTCTTCCCTGACCACTCTTCACACACCACTTCCAATCCCTTGGCAAATCTTGTCAGTTTAACTTTAAGATACACCCACCATTTCTGACTTTTTTTTCTTTTCTTTTTTTTGTTTTGTTTTGTTTTTTGTTTTTTGTGTTTTTTTGAGACAGGGTCTCACTGGAGTTCCGTGATGCAATCATAGCTCACTGCAGCCTTGACCTCCTGGGCACAAGTGATCCTCCTACCTTAGCCTCCCAAGTAGCTGGTACCAGAGGCACACACCACCATGCCTGGCTAATTTTTTTTATTGTTAATTTTTTGTAGAGACGGGGTCTCCCTATGTTGCCCGGGCTGGTCTTGAACTCCTGGGCTCAAGCGATCCTCCCACTTTGGTCTCCCAAACTGCTGGGATTACAGGCGTGAACCACCACACCTGGCCCCTGATTATCTCTTACCTCCTCAACTGTCACACAGTTAGTCCAAGCCACTATCATTTTTTTGCCTTCTGCCTGGTCTTCCTGCTGCTACATTTATGATGGAAGTCAATTCTTAACACAGCGTCCAGGATGAGCTTGTTAAACCTAAGTCAGGTGATCTCACTCCTCTGTTTGGCCCACCCCTTCATGGTAAACACTGTTATCATTAGGATGCCCACAAGACCCCACATGCTCCAACGCTCTCTTACTCCTGCCCCTTACCACTCCATGCTGGCCACACTGAACTCCTTAAATACGCTAAGCCCACTCTTGCCTCAGGGCCTTTGCACTGGCTATTCCTGTGTCACCCAATGCTCTTTTCCATTGGTCTCAATTCAAATGTCACCCTCTTGGAGAGGAGAGGACTTCCGTAATCACTCCATTAAAGGGCCATACCCCAGGCTGGGCACGGTGGCTCATGCCTGTAATCCCAGCACTTTGGGAGGCTGAGGTGGGTGAATAGCTTGAGACCAGGAGTTTGAGACCAGCCTGGGCAACATGGTGAAACCTCGTCGCTACTAAAAATAAAAAAATTAGCAGGGCATGGTGGCGTGCGCCTATAGTCCCAGCTACTTGGGGGGCTGAGGTGGGAAGACTGATTGAGCCAGGGCAACTGAGTGAGCTGAGATCACGCCACTGCACTCCAGCCTGGGTGACACAGCGAGACCCTGTCTCTAATTAAATAAATAAATAAATAAATGGCAATGCCCTTCCTCCTCCACACCCTCTATTCTCGTTACCCTGCTTAATTTTTTCCCTCAGCATTTATTGCCATCTTATGTATATTTATTTGTTTATTCCTGGCCCTCTTCCTCCTCACGCCCAAATTGACTTATCTAAAGTCCATTTTCCACTGGTTCTGCTTTTTAATTTCTTTCTTTTTCTTTTTTCCCCAGATGAAGTCTCACTCTGTTGCCCAAGCTGGAGTGCAGTGGCGCGATCTCGGCTCACTGCAACCTCCACTTCCTGGGTTCACACGATTCTACTGCCTCAGCCTCCCGAGTAGCTGGGACTACAGGCACGTGCCACCATGCCTGGCTAATTTTTTTGTATTTTTAGTAGAGACGGGGTATCACTATGTTGGCCAGGCTGGTCTCAAACTCCTGACTTCGTGATCCGCCCGCCTCAGCCTCCCAAAGTGCTGGGATTACAGGCGTAAGCCACTGCGCCCGGCCTGCTTTTTAATTTCATAGATTGTTGTTATTTATTATTTTTGTTATAAGCTGTTTCTAATCCATTATGGAATAAAAAGATATGTAACAAAGGAACCAGATCATTATCACCCGGCTTAAGGCAGAACCATTAATTAGACCAGTGCTTCTAATATTTTTCCTCCCAGATTGCCAAAACAAACAAAAAAAGGAGCAAATAGACATGCCCTCCCACCCCCTCGAGCTTTAGGAGAGAAGCCTGAAGCTGCCACTAAAAAAGCAAAATGTCCTTGAGACTTTACTTTTCATGGGCATTCTACACTATATTTCCTAATATATTTACATGTATTCAATTATAAAACTTCTCCTCAAAATTTTCCAGTAAAAATAACCCCACCAATAATGTGTTCCATGTAAAATGCTACTGATGTGGAGTCCCAGGGCTCCCTGTCCACCCACGCCTCAGGGACCTTCACCCACGGTTGGGAGTTGGCCAGGAGGGACTGGAAACATCCTTTCCTTTGGGCAAGTGAATTGGCTGGATCTGGGTAGGGCCTCGCCGGAGTCTTGAGTTCTAGTCCCAGCTCTGGCACCTATTACAGTAGCTCAGTGACCTTGGGCAGGTCCCTCCATTGTAGTTTGGCCTGAGTTTCCTAAAAGGTTTGGGGTTTTGTTCGTTTGTTTGTTGAGACGGAGTCTCACTCTGTCTCCCAGGCTGGAATGCAGTGGTGCCATCTCAGCTCACTGCAACTTCTGCCTCCTGGGTTCAGGTGGTTCTCCTGCCTCAGCCTCCCGAGCAGACGGGATTACAGGCACCCGCCACCACCTCTGGCTAACTTTTGTATTTTTAGTAGAGATGGGGTTTCACCATGTTGGCCAGGCTGGTCTTGAACTCCTGACTTCAGGTGATCCGTGCACCTCGGCCTTCCAAAATGCTGGGATTACAGGCGTGAGCCACCGTGCCTGGCTGTGTTTGGGTTTTTAAGCTTAGTTCCCACCAGGCTGAATGTAACCATGGGCCTTACACTTCTGAACACAATCAGATGGAAGAAGAAAGAAGATGGTGTCCGGGCACGGTGGCTCACGCCTGTAATCCCAGTACTTTGGGAGGCCGAGGCGGGCAGATCACCTGAGGTCGGGAGTTCGAGACCAGCCTGACAAACATGGAGAAACCCTGTCTCTACTAAAAATACAAAATTAGCTGTTCATGGTGGCACATGCCTATAATCCCAGCTACTCGGGCAGCTGAGGCAGGAGAATCGCTTCAACCAAGGAGGCAGAGGTTGCAGTGAGCCGAGATCGTGCCACTGCACTCCAGCCTGGGCAGCAAGAGCAAAACTCCGTCTCAAAAAAAGAAAAAAAGAAAAGAAAAAGAAAGAAGATGGTGGTGAGAGTGGGACTGGGGCTGGACAGCTGGCAATTGCATTGGGTGGCTGGTGGATGCCCTGGCAGGGCATGGGCTGAGGCAAGGAGGCCTCAGGGGGTTGGTGCTCCTGGGAGGACCCAGAGCTGGGGCCTGCTCAGGCTTGGATCTCTTCTGTGCCGTAGAAAGCTCTGCAGTGAAGGGGGCTGGAGGGCCCAGGCTATTTCTGGGGCAGGGCTTTCCTGGAGGTGGGGAGGGTGCCCATCCAATCTTCCAAAAGAGGGCAGAGCTACCAACTCATCAGTGCCAACATCTGAATCACAGGCCAAGAATGCAGCCCTCCTAGGTCACCTTCTCTCCCTCCCCGCTGAGGCACCTATGAACCACAGTGCAACACTTCCCATTCCTGCATGTCACTTGCACTCTCAGGAGGGTGTGCTTGGTCCATAGCCCAGCCCCTGCCCACCCATCAGGTGACGACATCTCTGGGGAGGGAGGAAGCTTGCCTGGGAAGAATGTCAATTAATTCTTCCACAAGGATCACGCTGGTCATCTCTTCTTCTTCTTTTTTTTTTTTTTTTGAGATGGAGTCTTGCTCTGTCGCCAGATTGGAATGCAGTGGCGCGATCTTGGTTCACTGCAACTTCTGCCTCCTGAGTTCAAGCGATTCTCCTGCCTCAGCCTCCTGAGTAACTGGGACTACAGGCACAAGCCACCACGCCCAGCTAATTTTTGTATTTTTAGTAGAGACGGGGTTTCACCATGTTGGCCAGGGTGATCTCTATCTCTTGACCTTGTGATCCACCTGCCTCTGCCTCCCAAAGTGCTGGGATTACAGGCTTGAGCCACTGCGCCCAGCCCACACTTGTCATCTCTAATACCACATCTCTCCATGACACCTTTGAGGCATTACGAGCCTGCTTTATCGATGAGGAAGGTGAGACTCAGAGCAATTTGGTCACTTGCAGCTAACTGAGCTGTCAGGTAGGGACTGGCCACAGACCTGCCAGGCATCTTTCCTCCCTGTCACCGTGCTCAGAGTTTAGGGGTGGGAAAGGGGGTAAGAATTTCAGGGGAGTGAAAAAGAAAACCAGGAAAACTTAAACAAGGATACGGAACATGCATTTCATAAGCCACCCCTTGTGTAATAACGAAAGAATAGATATCTGTGTGCTTATATATTCCTGGAATGGCTTTGAAGGCGCACATAAGACCAGTGATAGTAGCTGTTTCTGGAGTGGGGAATGGGGTGACTGAAGAAATGGAATGAGAAGGAAGAAGGCATAGTTTTTAACTGTTTTATTCTTTTGTACCTTTTGAGTTTTGTGTTGTGTCCATTTATTATATGAGTTAATATAAAGTACTTAAATTAGTACATCGCACATAGTAAGTGCTATATAAATGTAAGCACTATGTAAATGAAAGCTATTATTATTTTAAAATCATGTAAAATTCTTTTGAGGAGAGACCAGGAGAAGGGAGTGGGTGAGGCACTGTGCAGGGCTTTGGGTTGGAGCTGGCTATATGGCCAGGCCCTGTGAGGAGAAGCAGGGTTCCTGGGCACCTCCAAGAGCTCAGGAGGGATGCAGGCCTCCTCCAGACAAGCTGAGGACACACTCCCTGACCAGACCCCAGAGTTCCAGAGCATTCTGTGAAGCCAGAGGAAGGCTTCAGGCGAGGCCACAAGACATGGTGCACTCAGGCTCTCGAGGGAGGGCTCTGAGAGGAGGGAGAGTATTTCAGAGGGCACGGCAGAACTCGCCCTGCACTTCTTGAGGACAGGGTCTACATCCTCTGGGTTGGCTGAATGACCTTCCCGATGGCTGCGCCTGGCCCGTCACCTGGGCGATCTGACAAGCTTGTGGGGTAGCATCTGCACCAGCAAGGGCTGGAAGGAGCACAGAGCCTGGGTTTGCTTCCGTGTGTGTCTTTCTTGACCTTTGTGGCTGCTCTCCTGGTGACCGATCTCCTTGGGGAGCACTTGGCAGCTTAGGGCAAAGTCTCACAATTCTCTAGAATGTATCTGGCCTGAGGAACGTAGGGTGAAAAAAACCGCTTTGCTCATTCTATTTGGATTGTCAGGAGAGGGTGGTGGAAGAGGGGGCAGCTTCTGGCATTGGAGAGGGGGTGCCGCAGATCAGGGGAGCTGCTTGTGATGATTTAAAAGGTTTGTTTCTCCCCAGGAGAACTCAGAGTTCCTGAAGGAGTTGCTCACCTCACACATGTGCACCCCTGGAGGACAATCCCTGAACTGAAAACACGTGGTGGCCACGGTGCTCCCGGCACAGGAGAGAAAGCCACATTCTGTTCAGAACTTCTTGGCTCTCTCCTCAGCCACACTTACCGATGAGGACACCGTATTTCAAAATCACAATATGGAAAAGCTCACCTCAATCATAATAACAGAAATTCAAGCGAAGGCTATTCCAAAAAAGCACTTTTCACTTATCAGATTGGCAAAAGTGTAAAACACATGGCGTTGGCTAGGGTGTAGGGAAATGGGCTGTTTTTCCGGAGGAAGGTGACATTGGCATGGCCTCTATGGAGAGCATTTGGCAATAGCTGCTGTCCTAGTCTGCTCAGGCTGCTCCAACAAAGTACTAGAAACTGGGTGGCTTATGAACAACAGAAATGTATTTCTCACAGTGCTGGACGCTGGGAAGCCCAAGATCAAGGCTGATTCGGCGTCTGGCTCTCAGATAGTGTCTCCTCACTGTGTCCTCACATGGTGGAAGGGGAGAGGCAGCTCTCTCTTTTCTTTTTGTGATGGAGTCTCGCTCTGTTACCAGGCTGGAGGGCCATGGTGCGATCTTGGCTCACTGCAACCTCCGCCTCCCAGGTTCGAGCAATTCTCCTGCCTCAGCCTCCCGAGTAGCTGGGATTACAGGCATCCGCCACCATGCCCGGCTAATTTTTGTATTTTTAGTAGAGAAGGGGTTTCACCATGTTGGCCAGGCTGGTCTTGAACTCCTGACCTCAAGTGATCCACCCACCTCAGCCTCCCAAAGTGCTGGGATTACAGGCGTGAGCCACCGTGCCTGGCCTCCCTGGGGGCTTTTAAACTAATTAATTGATTTTTAATTTTTATGGAGATAGGGGTCTTGCCATGTTGCTCAGGCTGATCTCAAACTCCTAAGCTCAAGTGATCCTCCTGCCTCAGCCTCCCAAAGCACTGGGATTGCAGGCATAAGCCACCGCGCCTGGCCTAGAGGCACCAATCCCATTCACAAAGGCTCTACTCTCATGACTTAATTACCTCCTCAAAGGCCCCACCTCCTAACATTATCACCTCGGGGATTTTAACATAAATGTTGAGGGGACACAAACATTCAGACCATAGCAGCTACCAACACAGGCTGGGAATTCTGCTTCTAGGAAGTTGGCCTGCAGATACCCCAACGAACGAGCATCATGTCAGCGCAGCATTGTTTGCTGGAAATAGTCTCAATTTCTCTAAATAGAAAACCGGTCATAAGTTAGGATAAGACATACAATGGAACACTCTACAGCCATGAAAACAAATGAGGAAGTTCTTTACATATCAGGAGTGACCTCCAAGAGATAGTAAGTGGGGAAAGAAGCAAGTGCAGAAGAGCTTATGCAGTATGCTACCATTCATGTATAAAAAAAGGGAAAAATGTGTCCGTATTTGCTGGATATGCACAGACTGCCTCTAGAGGATGCTTCAGAAACTGGTATCACTGGTTGCATATTTCAAGGGGACGTGGAATCTCAGAACAGCTTTTGCTCTTATGGAAGTCTCCATCTCCTTTAGTCTGGAGAGAGGCAATACGCCCCAACTCATCCAAGAAAGGAGTCCATTCTGCTGCTCTCCAGATGCGATGGGTAGCCACATGGTTAGGAGAGAGCAGGGCAGGGTCATGCCATGTAGTGGCTTGGTGACCTCCCACAATGTACTTAGCCTCTAAGTCTCTGTTTCCTCTTCTTTTAAACAGCAAAAATAATACTACTATTAATAAATGAGGCCAGGTGCAGTAGCTCATGCCTGTAATCCCAGCACTTTGGGAGGCTGAGGCAGGTGGATCACCTGAGGTCAGGAGTTCAAGACCAGCCTGGTCAACATGGTGAAACCCCATCTCTATTAAAAATACAAAAATCAGCCAGGTGCGGTGGCATGTGCCTGTAATCCCAGCTACTCGGGAGGCTGAGGCAGGAGAATCGCTTGAACCCAGGAGGCGGAGGTTGCAGTGAGCCGAGATCGCACCACTGCCCTCCAGCCTGGTGACTGAGCGAGACTCCAGCCTGGGGACAGGGTGAGATTCCGTCTCAAAAAAATAAAAATAAATAAATAAATAAGTTGATACATGTGTAAGTGGGGATAATAATTTTCCCAACCTCATTAGGATATCATGAGGATGAACAGTTAATTTATGTGAAGTGCTTAGCACCGTGCCTGGCATATAGGAGGTGCTCAGCAAATGAATTTGTTCCAAATACACCGTGTTTTCTCCTCTGCACTTCTGACCCCTATGGGATCAAAATGGAAACTCGTCTACCAGGCTAACGAGGCCCTTAGGGTCCATCTTTTTTTTTTTTTTTTTTTTTGAGACAGAGTCTCGCTCTGTCGCCCAGGCTGGAGTGCAGTGGCACAATCTCGGCTCAGTGCAAGCTCCGCCTCCCGGGTTCAGGCCATTCTCCTGCCTCAGCCTCCCGAGTAGCTGGGACTACAGGCACCCGCCACCATGCCCGGCTAATTTTTTGTATTTTTAGTAGAGACGGGGTTTCACTGTGTTAGCCAGGATGGTCTCAATCTCCTGACCTCGTGATCCGCCCGCCTCTGCCTCCCAAAGTGCTGGGATTACAGGCGTGAGCCACCGTGCCCAGCAGGTCCATCTTTAACCTTCACTGCCACACTCAGCCCTTGCCACTCCCTTGTATCCTATGTCCTCTGTTCACTCTGCCTAGAATGTCCTTCCTTCCTTTGCTTGTCTTGGTAAAAGTCCAGCTTAAATGTCACCAGCCCTGGGACACTCTTCCTGAAGTCCCAGCCCAGAAAGAGATTGTGTTCCCTCCTCTGTGATGGCAGAGTCCCCGGGTGCCCCTCTGTGGGGCATCATCACACAGAACGGTGACTATGTTCCTGGTTCCAGCTGATACACACACACTTGTTTGTTAAAATAGAAGGAATCCAGGGGGAAAAAAAATTCAACTCCAACTCAAATAAAACCGCAATAAGACACAGTGTTCTATCTATCAGAGTAGCAAAGTTTAAGGAGTTCTACACTGAGGTGGCAAGGAGGCAGGCACTCGTGCAGGATAGCCAACTGGTACACATTCTGAGGGCTGGGCAACATCTGTCCAGATTCAATGGACACCCATAACAAAACGCCACAGGCAGAAAGCTGCTTGTTGCATCAATGCTTGAAAGAACAGAGGGCTGGAAACCACCTAAATGCCCATCAGCTGGGGGCTGGGAAATAAGTTATGGTAGAACTATACAACAACCATGCAGCCACGAAACAGAGAAGCTCTTTATTACTGACATGGAACATCACCAAAAAATACACTGAGAAGTAGAAAATATAAGTATTTGCATTTGATGCACAGAATACTTCTGGAAGAATACATAAGGTCATATTGACAGTAACATAATAGCAGCTGCCAGGGATGAGGTCTGAGCCTCTGGGAAACAGGGGAGGAGGAAGATATTTTGTTATCACTTATATCTTTTTCTGTCTTTTAAATTTTATACTGTATACATATATTATCTCTTCAAAATTAAATAACTGTTTAACAAAGGAGAAAAAGAAAAGCTAGTAATCAAATGGAGATGAGGTAGGCCACACGCTCCAAGAGGAGGAAAAATACCTTGAATTTTTTTCCAGGAGCGCCAGGGTCCATGGTAAAGCTCTACCCTGGGCCAGCTGCCCCCGCACTTGCACCTGGGCACAGGAAGTTGATGTTCGCAGAATTAAGAACTTTTTTTGTCTCAATGCGTGAATGGTTAAAGAAACTGTGTTAAACTATGGTGCCTCCATGCTACTCAGCAATAAAAAGAAAGGAACTACTGATACACACAACCACCTAGATGGACCTCAAGAGAATTATGCAGAACTGAAAAAGCCAACGTCAAAAAGTCCCATACTCGGCCAGGTGCGGTGGGTCATACCTATAATCCTAGCACTTTGGGAGGCTGAGGTGGGCGGATCACTTGAGGTCAGGAGTTGGAGACCAACCTGGCCAACATGGTGAAACCCCATCTCTACTAAAAATACAAAAGTTAGCTGGGTGTGGTGGCACATGCCTGTAATCCCAGCTACTTGGGAGGCTGAGGCAGGAGAATCTCTTGAACCCGGGAGGTGGAGGAGTTGCAGTGAGCTGGGATCGCTCCACTGCACTCCATCCAGCCTAGGCGATAGAGCAAGACTCTGTCTCAAAAAGAAAAAAGTCACATACTTTATGATTCAATTTATAACATTCTTTCAATAACATTAGAGATAGAGAACAGAGTAGTGGCTGCCAGGAGAGAAGTGGAAGAGCAGAGAGGTGGATGTGATTGCAAAGAGACAGCATGAGGGAGAACTGTACTGATGCAATGGTTCTGTGTCTTCACCATTTGTGTGCTGGTGGTTACACAAATCTACACGATGAAACTGCACGGAACAACACACACATAACACACACGTGCACATGGTGAAAACTAAATAAGCTCTATGCATTGTACTAATATACCATCTACATTGTACACTGAAACTGAATGCAAGGGTTTTGATATTGCACCACAGTTATGCAAGATGCTACCACTGGGAGAAAGTGGGTGATGGGTACATAGGATCTCTCTCAACATTTTTTGCAACATCTTGTGAATCTATAATTATTCCAAAATTAAAATTTAAAGAAAGATCAATCAGAGATACGTATAGACACATTTAGATTAAATGACACAGGTCTGGAGTTTGCATTTAAAAATACTCCAGAAGAGCCAGGCGCGGGGGCTCACGCCTGTAACCTCAGCACTTTAGGAGGCTGAGGCAGGTGATCACCTGAGGTCAGGAGTTGGAGACCAGTCTGGCCAACATGGTGAAACCCCATCTCTACTAAACCTACAAAAAAATTAGGCCAGGTGCGGTGGCTCATGCCTGTAATCCCAGCACTTTGGGAGGCCGAGGCGGGCGGATCATGAGGTCAGGAGATCGAGACCATCCTGGCTAATGCAGTGAAACTCCATCTCTACTGAAAAATACAAAAAATTAGCTGGGCGTGGTAGCAGGCACCTGTAGTCCCAGCTACTTGGGAGGCTGAGGCAGGAGAATGGCGTGAACCTGGGTGGCGGAGCTTGCGGTGAGCTGAGATTGCACCACTGCAATCTTGACAATCCACTGCAATCCAGCCTGGGCGACAGAGCGAGACTCCGTCTCCAAAAAAAAAAGAAAAAATTAGCCAGGCGTGGTGGTGGTGGTAGATACCTATAATCCCAGCTACTCAGGAAGCTGAGGCAGTAGAATCATTTGAACCCGGGAGGCAGAAGTTGCAGTGGGCCAAGATTGCACCATTGCACTCCAGCGCGAAACTCTGTCTCACACGCACACACACGCACACACACACACACACACACTCCAGGAGGAAAGAAAATAAAGGACAAAAAGTGGGAGAAACAGATGAAACAGAATCAACAAGCTACTGACAAGTGTGGAAGCTTGATGAGGCATATACAGGGGTTCATATATTTTGCTCTCTAATTTTGTATTTGAAAATTTCCAAAATAAAAGTTTTACTAAGTTCCCAGGTGTGCTTAGGCCAACACAAGGGCTAAGCCTGACTTATTTGTCCACATTGCTGTTAACTTTTGAACACAAATTAAGTTCAAAGCTTACAGTTCTATTTATTTACAAAGTTTTTATTATGAATTTTTATTGAGATTTTCATAAACATTTTTAATCTGCATGTTTACTACTTTTGGCCTCTAAGAAGTCCCATAAAGTTATAAAAAATAGAAATTTATAAATACACATTGAGAATTTTGCATTTTTATACAGGGTCAATGTTTCAAGTTGTCTAACCCTTTCCCTGTCTCCCCTCAGAACAAAATTATAAGAGTATAGCCTCTGAGGCCAGGCGCGGTGGCTCATGCCTGTAATCCCACCCACACTGGGAGGCCGAGGTGGGTGGATCATCTGAGGTCAGGTGTTCGAGACCACCCTGGCCAACCTGGTGAAACCCCGTCTCTACCAAAAATACAAAAAAAATTAGCCGAGAATTGTGGTAGGTGCCTGTAATCCCAGCTACTCAGGAGGCTGAGGCAGGAGAATCCCTTGAACCCAGGAGGTGGAGGTTGCAGTGAGCCGAGATCACGCCATTGCACTCCAGCCTGGGCGATAAGAGTGAGATGCCGTCTCAAAAAAAAAAAAAAAAGAAAAGAAAAAAAAAGAGTATAGCCTCTGAAATCTCAACAGCAGAAATAGCAGCCCTTTTCCAAATCCCACCTCTAACTCAGCACATCTGCATTCAACAGGTGCTTACACTGGATAACAACAACAAATGGAAGCTGCAGAAACACTGACTGGGACAACACCTCCCAAGAGCAGTGAGAACAGCTGGGATTGGCCACGGCTTGAATGTGGGGCTGTGTTCATAAACTTATCAGGCCAAGAATCGCTAAGAACTGAATCACAAACCCTGAGAAGGCCACATAGGCCAGTCTAACTGCTTCGATCTAGGAGAGTTTCACGTTACTACAAACCTGAAAAACTCCTATTTAGTCCAGTTGGGGAATCCAATTTTTTTTTTTTTACTAGCGTCCCCTCTTCCGTTCCTGACAAGCAGCTCTTTCCTTACACAGTACAGTGAGGCCAGAAGAACATGGAGCCTGCTGTCAAGTCCCCAAGTTTTTCAAGTTTCCAAATTCACCAAGGGAATGGAAGACTAAGAGATGGGCTGGGCACCGTGGCTCACGCCTGTAATCTCAACACTTTGGAAGGCCAAGGCGGGTGGATCACTTGAGGCCAGGAGTTCAAGACCAGCCTGGGCAACATAGCAAAATCCCGTGTCTACTAAAAAAAAAAAAAAAAAATTAGCCAGATGTGGTGGCGGGCATCTGTAATCCCAGCTACTCTGAGAATTGCTTGAACCCGGGGAGTGGAGGTTGCAGTGAGCCGAGGTAGTGCCACTATACTCCAGCTGGGGCGACACAGCGAGACCCTGTCTCAAAATAAAAGGAGTTGAACTGTGGAAGCCAAAGGGGAATACATGAAGCTAAATATGGACGTTAGGATTCTAATTTGGGAAACAAGCTTATTCATCCAGTGTTCACTTCCACGTGTTGTTACATTTTTCTTCCTTGGATTTAGTTTTAAAAACTCTTCCTTAGGAGACCAGAAAAGCTATCAGCATGCCCAGCATCTTCCTTAAAAACTTGTTTTCTGGTTTGTAGGGTATGTTAAGAATGAAGTTGTTCTCCCCACAGGATACAAATTGGTTGGACAGACTCAGACCTGCTTCTTGCAGAACGCCTCAGCTTGGCTCACTCCTGCCCATCCACCAGCCTTCCAGCTGACCAGCCGTTTCTCAGCTTTCAGAATACAAGATGAGGCCCAGCCCTCAACACCCCACCCTCACCCCACCAAATCCTTTCCTATTGTTTACTTTATCCTTTTTTTATTTTTTTGAAATGGAGTCTCGCTCTGTCACCCAGGCTGGAGTGCAGTGGCACGATCTCGGCTCACTGCAACCTCCGCCTCCCAGGTTCAAGTGATTCTCCTGCCTCAGCCTCCCGAGTAGCTGGGATTACAGGCATGAGTAACCACACCCGGCTAATTTTTGTATTTTTAGTAGAGACGGGGTTTCACTATGTTGGCCAGGCTGGTCTCGAACTCCTGACCTCAAGTGATCCACCTGCCTTCGCCTCCCGAAGTGCTGGGATTACAGGCGTGAGCCACTGCGCGTAGCCCCTCTTTCCTACTGTTTAAACCCCATGGCTCCTCTGTCAAGTCCCAGCATAATAGAGCCGACGCTCTAGGCTCTTGTCAGAGAAAACCTCTTCTTCCAGAAGGGGTAAGACTTGGCAGTTCCCAAGCACACATTCCTCACAGGGGCAATAAATGGTAAATCTCTCAGGAGGAGAGTGCTGCCCCGCTTCAGGGAGCTTTCGTCAAATGCCGACGGGAGGACAGGTGCAGCCCCGACATGTCGTTCTTCTTCACAGTGATGCATCTGCTCAAGACTCCTGACTCCTGCCCACCCCAAACAAAGCTGTGCTGTGTGGCCTCCTGTTTCCGACACGTTGAGGGAGTACAAAGAACTTTTCATCAGCTCAACGGAGCACTTGGGAGGCCAGATGAGGAGAGAAATAAGAATGAAGTTCTGGGATGAGAAAGTGGTGCCACAAATTGTGAGTCAATAAAAGGGATCCAGATATCCTGAAATACACGCTGGACAAACAGTCTTCCTTGTAATAAGCACAGCAGCAAAGAGCCCTTTCCTTCCTGTCACTTTCCCTGGTCTCTTGAGTTTCAAAGGAATCAAATCCTGTGATAATGAACGAAGTCACTGGCTGCTGCTATGCCCCACCACATAGCCTGATTGATTAAGAAAGTCTCTGGTGGGGTGCGGTGGCTCACGCCTGTAATCTCAGCACTTTGGGAGGCCGAGGCGGGTTATCACTTGAGGTCAGGAGTTCAAGACCAGCCTGGCCAACATGGCGAAACCTTATCTCTATTAAAAATACAAAAATTAGCTGGGCGTGGTGGCTCACACCTGTAATCGCAACTCTTTGGGAGGCCAATGCGGGTGGATCACTTGAGGTCAGGAGTTCAAGACCAGCCTGGCCAACATGGCGAAACCCTATCTCTACTCAAAATACAAAAATTAGCCAGCATGGTGGCGCTTGCCTCTAGTCCCAGCTACTCGGGAGGCCAAGGCAGGAGAATCACTTGGACCCAGGGTTGCTGAGACTGCAGTGAGCTGAGATCACACCACTGCATTCCAGCCTGGGTGATAGAGTAAGACTCCATCTCAAAATAAAAAAAAAAATTCTCATTATTCTGTTCATATCTTCCTCAACCCAAACATCCAGTGAAAATAGGTCATCTTAATAAGACGGTTTGCCATGAAAATCATGTCCGATCACACCCTGCAGCCTCGGCTTGGCCATGAGGAGGTCACCCTCTTCTTCCCTTGAGTGGCTTTAACTCCCCGGGAGGGTGGAATCTGCGCCCCTGTACAAGCCAGGTTTCCTTCTCAGCTCAGGAGAGGGACCTAGAAAGAAGAGGAACCATGGAGCCTCCTGGTGTGGGCCCTGTCTGCTCTCCTTCTAGGGGAAAACTGCTCCAGTGCTGTGAGGGTTGGTCCCTAGACTGCAGGACACTCAACCACTAAGGAACAAGAGCTATGTACGGGAGCCAAGTAAGGACAGGAAAAGGGAGACTATTCCCTCTCACCAGAGTGGCTTTCCCCAAGGCTCCGCCCCACTGAGGAGACTCTTCCAAGAAGCAGAGAAGACCACCTCGGTGGGACAGTGAAGGCTCTCTGGACCCCAGCCTCCAACTCACTTCTTCCTGCGGATCTTGGGCTTCTTCACCGGCCGCAGATAAGGGTTATCGATGATGTTCTCCTCCCCATTCCGGCTACCCGACAAGGAGGGGTTCTGCTGCAGGACAGAGGTGTTCTCCTTCTCGGCTCCAGAATCCTCCTTTGAGCAAAAGCCAAAATAAAGCACAACATCAACAGCATAAGGAAAGAGATCATGCCTATAATTGGAATGACCATTAGCATCCTCTAATTGAGAAATTAGAACCTGGGAAGCACCTTCTTTCCAACATTCCTATCTCTGCCCCGATGAAGCGAGGACCAGGCAGGGGCTGGCTATGAAGGGAAGGCAAGACTAACAGCCTTGACCCAAGAGAGCACACAACAGAGTCCAGAGTTTTGAACCTCTGGAGAAGGCAGGGACAGGGGTTAGAAAGAACAGACACCTGGGAGGGACAGGAATCAAATTCAGATGCCTCAGGGAGGATGCCCGGCCAGGTGGGGAGATGAAGAAGAAAAGTGATCCTGGATGCCCTGCATGACTGGGAGATACAGGATCAGAACACATCATCTGCATAGCGCATCTCCTGGCCAAGCTAGATAGACTAAGTCAGAACAGATTTCTCCCTCAAATCCTCACATTTCTGGTACTTGCAACATGGTACCAACAATCACATCCCAGCACAGGCTAGAAACTTCTTGAGCCTTGAGGGTTCCACTAAGGGACGCAGAGCCAGCAGGTACCAGCACATGCACATCATTGGTAATGCCTATCTGCAACCTATGAGGCAGGGTTTGTTTGTTTGCCTGTTTGAGATGGAGTCTCCCTGTGTCACCCAGGCTGGAGTGCAGTGGCGTGATCTCGGCTCACTGCAGCCTCCGTCTCCGGGGTTCAAGCAATTCTCCTGCTTCAGCCTCCCAAGTAGCTGGGATTTCAGGCATGTGCCATGACGCCCGGCTAATTTTTGTATTTTTAGTAGAGACGGGGTTTTACCAGTTGGCCAGGCTAGTCTCGAACTCCGAGGCAGGGTTTTTTACTGTTCATTTTTTTTTTTTGAGATGGAGTCTTCTTCTGTTACCCAGGCTGGAGTGCAGTGGTGTGATCTCAGCTCACTGCAAGCTCCGCCTCTGGGTTCAAGAGATTCTCCTGCCTCAGCCTCCCAAGTAGCTGGGAGTACAGGTGCCTGCCACCACATCCCGCTAAGTTTTTTATTTTTAGTAGAGACGGGGTTTCACCATGTTAGCCAGGATGGTCTCGATCTCCTGACCTCATGATCTGCCAGCCTTGGCTTCCCAAAGTGCTGGGATTACAGGCGTGAGCCACCGCGCCCGGCCGCTTTACTGTTCATTTTTTGAGAAAAATGTGTTTTTTCAGAAAAGTTTGTAAGTTCACATGTAATCAGTATGATCAAAATTCTTAAAAAGTCACAGTTGTGTATAGACACAGAAAAAAAGGTAATATGCTGACATTTTAAAAACTGTTCTGGAAGTATGAGCAGTCAGTTATCCTGTCTTTATTCACAGCCTCCTTTATTTTCCACGTTTGGTCGGGCTGCGCCCCCTGGTGATGGGCCAAGGGGAAGAAGTTCTTCCACGGGGAAGAAGTCATTGAGATTCCTGTTCTGCAACTTGAGGCTAAAGAGGCCCTCACTGACCTCAAGCAGGAGAGGCTGCTGTCAAAACAGACAGAGGATGCCATGACCGGATGGCATGAAATAAATAGCAGGTTCCCCTGACAGGACAGCTGGCCTAGGGCATGGACACCAGTCTCAGGTTTAATGAGCCAGAAGAAACCAGATCACATCTAGGTTCCCCTGCGTGCCCTCTCCCTGTCCTATCAATTGTTCTCTTCAAAGACACAGTTCCATTGGCCCAGTATCAGGGCCTGTGTGTTTTCCCTCTCCAGCACCCAATCCAGTGGGACCACAAGGTGACCCAGAGCCACTGGGGCCTTCCAGAGACTCTTGAAAGCAAGTGCTGCAGGACCAACCTAGTTCAGGCCAGACCAGGTGCCGGAAAAAAGGTCTGCCCACAACCAGACCTCCCTTGGGTATCTGGCATCCAACCTTTCTGAAGTTCCTAATGGTACAAATGAGTAGTATCTCCTCGCTCCGTCCATCCTATCATTTCTCTACAGTAGACAGCCTATCTTCAAAGTTACTGGAAGCTCACTTCAACCGTGCCTTCAATGTTTTCTGAGATACACATGGAGGTAACACTGTTAGAGGTGCTGAAAACGCCAGCCTCAAGACACTGCTGGAGGGTCAAGAGGCTCCCTCCATTCGGCCCACCGTGGCTCACAAGAGCAGGACGGCAGGCTTCCTTCTCCCAAGCAGGCCTCATAGAAATGTCCCCTTCAGGGACAGGCAGCACTGAGATGGTTAGGGGTGGGGAAGTCAGCCAGTTAAAAAAAAAAAAAAAAAAGTAGGCCAGGCGTGGTGGCTCACGCCTGTAATCTAGCACTTTGGGAGGCCAAGGCAGGTGGATCACCTGAGGTGAAGAGTTCGAGATCAGCCTGGCCAACATGGTGAAACCCTGCCTCTACTAAAAATACAAAAAAATCAGCCGGGCATGGTGGTAGGCGCCTATAATCCCAGCTACTTGGGAGGCTGAGGCAAGACAGTCGCTTGAACCCGGGAGTTGGAGGTTGCAGTGAGCCGAGATTGTGCCACTGCACTCCAGCCTAGACGACAGAGTGGGACTCTGTCTCAAAAAAACAAAAAAGTAAAGTGTCAAACTGACCCAGAGATTTGTAAAAAAAAGTGGGAGCAGAATGGTCCGTCAGGAGCTCCCTGAATTGCCTGTGAGCTCTAGCAAGGCCTACACCCTCTGTGGTGACTGCATCCAGTCTCCCAGCTCTCAGTGCCATCTCTACGCCAACAGCTCCCTGGAGTACAATGCCAGCCCTAACCTCTCCCGACTTCCAGGCTCATGCAGCCAGCTGCTCACTCAGCATTTCCACTGGGGTATCAGGTAGGCAGTTCAGACTTCAGGCACCTAAGTCTGAATTGGGGACCTTCCCCTGTGGTGTAAACGGCGCTTCTCAGTCCCTCCCATCACAAGTGATGGCAACTCCATCCTTCTAATGGCTCGAGTCACAAACTCTGTGGTCATTCTTGCTTGTTTTCTTTCTTTTATTTTTAAACAGGGTCTCACTATGTTGCCCAAAACTGGACTCAAATTCCTGGGCTCAATCTTCCTGCCTCAGCTTCCCAAGTGACTGCAACTATGGGCATGCACCACCACACCTGGCACACTCCTTTTCCTTCACTGACATCCCATACCCAATCTGTTAGCACAGCCTCTTGGACTTACCTTCAAAATTCAGGCAGGCACTGACCACTTCCACCACCTCTGTGGCAACCACTCTACTTGGGCCCACCACTGCCTCTCGCCTAGGCTATAGCGACAGCTTCCTGACTGATCTCTCTAGTCCGTTCTTACCGAGCCATCAGAGTGGTGCTTTAAGAAGCTCAGAAACATCCCTCCTCTGCTCCACGCCCTCCCACAACTCCCATCTCTCTTAGTTAAAAGCCAGCTCTTAAAATAGCCTACAAGGCCCTACCCAATCTGACCCTCCCTCCCACAAGCCACTCACTATTCCACAGGGCCTTTGCACTGCCCATTCCCTCTGCCAGAACACTCTTCCCCAGATATCCACATGGCTCACTCCCTCACCCATTTCAAGCTCCTGCTCAGATATCCCCTTCTCAGTAATGCCTACTCCGAGCACCCCACTTAAAAACTGAAGACTCCTCCTCACCCTGGATCTTCCCCTACTGTTTTTCCCCCACACAGCACTTTCATTTCTGATATACTATGCAACGATTTAGTCATATATTGTGTTTGGTATCATTCTCCCACAGCCAAACTCTGCTCCTAAAAGGCAGAGGTTTTCTTTGTTTTTCTCACTGCTTTATCCCAAGCAGCCAGAAAAAATATCTGGCACATACTAGGTGCTAAATAAACACTGGTTGAGTGAGTGACTGGTATATTTTTCATAAAAGAGTAAAAGCTTAGATATCTGGGTTGGCTGCAGAGAGCAGCTGGTTCAAATGTGTGAGAAAAGAATCTATTATACATGAATTTAAATTATACATGAATTTAAAATGAATAGCTCCTTTATGTTCAAGTACATGGAGAAACTAGAACCAGGTTAAATAATGTACTGCCTAACAACAGACCTTGAGAGGTGCACTCTCATCAAGAGATAAAATAATAATTTAAAATACCTGTTATTGGCTGGGCGTGGTGGCTCACGCCTGTAATCCCAGCACTTTGGGAGGCTGAGGCGGGCGGATCACGAGGTCGGGAGATCGAGACCATCCTGGCTAACACGGTGAAACCCCGCCTCTACTAAAAATACAAAAAAATTAGCCGGGCGTGGTGGCGGGCGCCTGTAGTCCTAGCTGCTGGGGAGGCTGAGGCAGGAGAATGGCATGAACCCGGGAGGCGGAGCTTGCAGCGAGCCGAGATCACGCCACTGCACTGCAGCCTGGGTGACAGAGCGAGACTCGGTCTCAAAAAAAAAAACAAACAAAAAAACCAGTTATTTACTTTGCTATAACAATGTCTGTAAATGGTAAAGACAGAAAACAACCTAAGTGTTCATGGGGGACTAGATAAATTAAATGGTTACATCCATACAATGGAAGATAAAGTAGCTGTGAGGAACGATGCGCCTCCTCCCTTACAGATGTGGAATGACCGCCAAGATACAGCCAGGAAAAAAGCAAGAAGAGAACAGTTTGTGATCTGCTGTTTCAGTTCAAAATAACAATTTAAAAAAATGTCTCTAGAAGGCTACATAAGAGGCTGGTGAGACAGTTGCTCTGTGGGAGGGAAAGTGGGTAACAGGGAACAGGATGGGAGGGATTGTCACCATACATCTTTTTGCACACTCTGCATTTTGAAACATATGATTGTATTTCCTAGTCTAACAAAATAACATTAGGTCCAACTGACTGTAGTAAATTGTCACTAGAATCTTTGTCTTGGAGTCATTTGATTTTATTTTTCACAGAAGGGCATATGGTTAGATAGCCTAAAACAGCAGGGGAGGGAGCAGTGTGTGCTAGGAGCTGCCACATGCCAGGCACCTGATAGATACCAGCTCTGTCTCACGCTCCCCCTGTCCCTTGAGGTAGGTGTTTCTGTTTCTACTTACAAGAAAATAGACTAAGGCGTAAAGTAACACAATCACGGTCACACATGTGGCAAGCAGCACAGCCTGGATTTGAAGCTAGGCAAGTCTGACTCTAAGACTCAGGCCTTCCTACACTCCTGCTGTCTGCAACCCTGGCTTGGCCTCATGGTATTCAAGAGTCCTCAGGCGGTTGCTGACACTCTTTAGGTTCAATTACCACCATGACCTCACATCACTACGGGACCGTCAGTGAATGCATGTCCAAGCCCTTTAACTATATTGTACTTACAAAGGTATGATGACGTTTGTTTACATGATTCCTCTTTCTCATAAGGTGAACCTCAACTTAGTCCATGACCCAATCACCATATCTCAGCCCAAATTAACAGAAGCGTACAATAACAATTTCCTCTGCTTTATTTAAAGCCATGGTCTCCCAGCCCTAATTCTGAAAGGAATAATTCAATATTTAAAAAAAAAAAAAGTATATCCAGGCCGGGTGTGGTGGCTCACGCCTGTAATCCCAGCACTTTGGGAGGCCAAGGAGGGTGGATCATGAGGTCAGGAGTTCAAGACCAGCGTGACCAACACGGTGAAACCCCGTCTCTACTAAAAATACAAAAATTAGCCGGGCGTGGTGGTGCGTACCTGTAATTCCAGCTACTCAGGAGGCTGAGGCTGGAGAATCGCTTGAACCCAGGAGGCGGAGGTTGCAGTGAGCCAAGATCTTGCCACTGCACTCCAGCCTGGGTGACGGAGCGAGACTCTATCTAAAAAAAAAAAAAAAAAAAAAAAAAAAAAAAAAGTATGTCCAGGCAAATAAGACCTTCAGCAAATAGAGATGACACAGGCATATTCCACTAGCAACCCAGGGTGGCTGGCTGCCATTTGGGGTATCACATCTTAGAGAACATAAGGGATGCTCAGTCCAACTACAGCCACTAAGGCATCCAAACTAGTGCTGATTTTAAAGGATGGTTGAATATGGCAACCTGACTATATAACCCTATTAGCCTTAAGGGCATTCCAGCTTCTGGCGGTTCTGCGATTGTACTTGGCACTTTCTCCAAGGGTGCAGGAACAAGAGGGGGCTCTTATCCTTTCACTCGCTGAGTATGACACACCGGTGAGCAGAAAAGAAAGTATACCCTAAAACAAACTAGGACTAGAACACCTCCTTGCCCACCTTTGTCTCTGAACCCACATGTTGTCTCCTATCCTGGGTATGAAATGTCCAGAAGAAGGCTAGTCCCTCCATTTGGTCACGGGCCCATCCCCTCTCGTCTACCAAATGACATCATTCCCAGACTTTTCTTTCTCTCCTGTATCCATTTTCCCTTTTGACTAGATCATTCCCAACAGCATACAAACACGTTATTTCTTTTATCTTAAAAAATAAAAACACGAAACACCTCTCTTAATTCCTTCATTTTCCCCCTTTTAGTTACCACTGCATCACTCTCCCTCCCTGTACTGCAGGAACACCACACGACTTTCTGTGCCAATGGAAATGTTCAATATTTGCACTGCCTAGTAGAGCAGCCACTGGCCGTATGTGGCTATCAGACACTTGAAATGAATGTGGCTAGTGAGGTTAAGGAACTGATTTTCAGTTCTTTTCTT
Organism: Homo sapiens; assembly: GCF_000001405.40. NCBI lineage: Eukaryota > Metazoa > Chordata > Mammalia > Primates > Hominidae > Homo > Homo sapiens. Next base: position 42,070,493 of record NC_000006.12, on the reverse strand, counting down.
TTGAGACAGAGTCTTGCTGTGTCGCCCAGGCTGGAGTGCAGTGGCGCGATCTTGGCTCACGCCAAGCTCCATCTCCCAGGTTCACGCCATTCTCCTGCCCCGGGCTCCCAAATAGCTGGGACTACAGGCGCCTGCCACCACGCCTGGCTAATTTTTTTTTTGTATTTTTAGTAGAGATCGGGTTTCACCATGTTAGCCAGGATGGTCTCGATCTCCTGACCTCGTGATCTGCCCACCTCAGCCTCCCAAAGTGCTAGGATTACAGACGTGAGCCACCGCGCCCGGCCTTTAGTTTTATTTCATTAATTTAAATTTAAATACCTACACGTGGCTAGTGGCTGCTATAAGGGACAGCACAAGTCTATACTCACTGACTCCTCTTCTCTCCTCCCATTCTCTCTGAATTTACTCCAGGTCTTCGCTCTCATTCTTACTGAAATGGCTCTCATCAAGGTCACAAATGACATCCACACTGCCAGATCTAATGGTTGAATTCTCAGTCCTCCTACCATTGGAGCCACCCACAGCTTTGGACACAGCTAATTGCTCTTTTCTCCCTGAAACACTTACTTCCCTTGGCCTCCAGGACACAGCCCTCTTCCAGTTCTCCCACCTCCATGCTGGTTCTTCCTCATCTCTTCAAGCTCTACACACAGCAACAGCTCCAGGACTCAATGTGCCTCCTCTTCTTATCCTCACTCATCCCTGGAAGAGCTCATCCACGCTCATGTTTTTAGACACGACCTACAGGCTGCTGGCTCCCAAATACGCATCTCCTGCCCTAACTGCTCCTCAAACTCCAATTATATATCCAATTCTTCACCTGACATCACCGCCTGATGTCTAACAAGCATCTCAAACTTAACACATCTATGTTTAAGACACGAACATCAACTCCTGACTTCCCCCACACACCTGTTCTACCCGGTGGTTGTTCCTATCTTGGCTGAAGGCAATTCCATCTTTCCTATTGTTCAGGCAAAAAACCTTACCGTTTTCTTTAACTCTCATATCTACTCTATCAACTGGCTCTGCTCTGAAAGTGATCTAGAATCTGACCAAATGATCTAGGTGACCACATCTCCTTATTTTTGCTCCTCCTACCATCTCTCAGTTTACTGTGACAGCATCCTAACTGGTCTCCCTGCTTCTGCCTGCCCTCTATAGCCCATCCTCAGCACAGCAACCTGACTGACCCTGTTAGCAAACCTACCTTGGATCCTGACCCTCCTCTGCTCAACATCTCCAGTGGGTCCACCTTACTGAGTAAATGGCAAAGTGTCTAATCTAACCTTTAAGACCCTGTAAGATCTGACTCCCCGTGGGCCCTCTCGGACCTCATCCCCTACTGTTCTCCTCCTTGTTCACTCCACTCTGGCCACCCTGATGTCCTTGCTGTTCTTCAATACAACAGGGGAGCTCCTGCCTCAGGGCCTTTGCATCTGCTGCCCCTGCTGCCTAGAATGGCTCCACCCCCAGACATGTCCATGCCTTGTTCCCTTCCGGTCTTTACTCAAATGCCCCCTTCTCGGTCACTCTACCTAATACTGCATCCCTCCCATTCCCATCCCCACTTCCTATCTCCTCATTTATTATTTTTCATTAGCCCCATGAGGACAGGGAATTTTGTTTATTTGGCTTCCTACTAATATCCCAGCACCTGGAACTGTATTTGTTGAATGAACGAGTGAATCCCCAGGACACGGATGTGTCTCTAAGCAGGAGATTGGGTCACATCTGGATCATCACGCAAGCCCTTATGCAGGCCCCTAACAGAAAGCCAAAGAGACCTGAGGTCGATCATGTCCAGGTCCCAGGGTGACAGACTGAGGGCAGTGTGCGACAGTTTGGGGGATACTCTGAGGTAGGCAGAAGGTGGAACCCACCATGCTGATATGAAGAGCAAGGTTCTCTGTGTCTGTCTGTTCATCCTGCTCCGAGGAATCTGTCTCTTCCATTTGTTGCATCTCCAGTTCAGACGGAAGAAGAGCTGTCAGGTAGGGGATGGTGAAAGGTCTGGCAGCAATCACTGGCGAATTGGAAGAGAGGCATGAGTCCACTGTCACAGAGACCTCGCAGCTGGCTTAGAGTCCTAGAGCCTCACAACAAATCAGTGAGCAGCACCAGAAGATAATACTAGCTAACTCGCTCCAAGTACTTACACAACAGGCCAGGCAATGTTCTACGGGCTTTACTCATGTTATCTTTCATCCTTGCTCCCATCCTATTAAGTACGATTAGGCACAGAGAGGTGAAATGACTTTCCCAAGCATGCTAAAAATGGCAGAATGGGATTCTAACTCAAGCAGCATGACTTCAGAATCTACTTTTTGCCAAGTACAACTGAGATAAGATGGAAATGAGGCTATAGATAGAATCCTAGCAACACATAAGTTTTGAGATCCTGCACCCAAGGTCAGTTAAACCCCTCTAAGCTTCACTTCCAGAGCAGGAATATTGATTCTTTTACCCTGAAGGACTCAAGTCCAAAGGCTGGATTTGAGCACTCTGCATATATGCATGTCCACTGAGCTGTAAGACACTCTGGTCAATGAGAGTTCTAGCTCTTCCAAAAAGCAATGAGGATGAGAGGAAGAAATTGAATAAAAAATAACATTAAAAGAAAGAAGGCCGGGTGTGGTGGCTCATGCCCATAATCCTAGCACTGTGGGAGGCTGAGGCAGGAGGACTGGTTGAGCCCAGGAGTTTGAGACCAGCCTGGGCAACATGGTGAAATCCCGTCTCTAGGAAAAATAAAATTAGCCAGGTATAATAGTGCATGCCTGTAGTCCCAGCTACTAGGGAGGCTGAGGTGGGAGACTCATTTGAGTCCAGGAGGTCCAGGCTGCAGTGAGCTGTTTGTGCCACTGTACTCAAGACTGGGCGACAAAGTGAGATCCTGTCTCAAAACAGAAAAAGAAAAAGTCTCTGTGTGTACTTCTATGGTAGAATGTGACTGTTAGAAAATACTCTAGAATTGGCTGGGTGTGGTGGCTCATGCCTATAATCCCAGCACTTTGGGAGGCTGAGGCAGGCAGATCACTTGAGCTCAGGAGTTCAAGACCAACCTGGCCAACTGGGTGAAACCCCGTCTCTACTAAAAATACAAAAAATTAGCTGGGTGTGGTGGCTCCTGCCTGTAGTCCCAGCTACTTGCTGAAGCAGAAGAATCGCTGGAACCCGGGAGGCGGAGGTTGCAGTGAGCAGAGATTGCGCCACTGTATTCCAGGCTGGATGACAAAGCAAGACTCTGTCTCAAAAAAACCCACAAAAACTCCAGAATTATTTTTGCTGTGGGTCAGATGTGGGGTCCTGCAGTAAGAGCTAGGTTTGAATGATGTCTACTAGCCATGTTCCTTGAGGAAGTGACTTCATTTCTCTTCTCTTGTGCCTCATTGAAGGGTTCCTATGAAGGTAGTGATATATCAGTTCCCAACTCAGAGGCTCACAAGAGGATTTAATGAGATAATGTATGGGAAATGATGAGCACAGTATCTGGCACTTAACAACCGGCAGCTGCTGTTATTCCAGAGCCAGGCACACAGCGGGCGTTCCACAGGAGCTTGCTGAATGAATGAATCACCCAAACCAACCTCCCTCACTCACATTTGTAAAAACTGAGGTCTTTGGAAATGAAGTAGCTTGGTCAACATGGCCAAATAGTGCTGAGATGCCAAGTTAAATGAGGTGGGACCTACGAGGGAACATCACGATGGGCAACTGGCCCCTGATGCCAATGTTCTTCTACTACCTGGGCTGCCACCAAGTGTCTCTGATGCCTAGGCCTAGGCTACCCTCAAGGTAACTCTATGGACCTCAAGCAGCCAGTCCCAACAGAGACCATTACTGTTTTGGAGTCGTCAGTTAAGGACAGACTCTTAAGACCTGGGGAAGGGAGCCAGAAATCTGAGAGGCAAGCTGTACCCAAGGGAAGGACAAAAGCTTATTTGTTTCTTCCTACCATGCTGAGAGAAAGAAAAGATAATGTGAGTGTTTCAAATAAGACAGGGTCCACACAGTGGGGCAACTCTCACATGGAAATGTGCTGACGTCATCTTTGAAAAGACTCTGAGTCTCGCCTGTCTTGGCCATGAAACGGGTAAGTGCCCGCTCCACATCGCGCCTCTGGGATGCAGCCTTCTCCCGCAGGACCTGGTAGTCTGACACGGGCTCACGGTACGTCTACGAAGAGAGCAGCAAAGACACTGGGGTGATGCCGAAGTATCATTCTGCTTTCATCAGCTCCCTGGCTTGCTGTTGCTATGCCCTGTTCTCTAAAATGACCCAATACCAGGCCAGGCACAGTGGCTCACACCTGTAATCCCAGCACTTTGGGAGGCCAAGGCTGGTGGATCACCTGAGATCAGGAGTTTGAGACCAGCCTGGCCAACATAACGAAACCCCGTCTCTACCAAAAATACAAAAATTAGCTGGGTGTGGTGGTGGGCACCAGTAATCCCAGCTACTTGGGAGGCTGAGGCAGGAGAATCGCTTGAACCCAGGAGGCGGAGGTTGCAGTGAGCCGAGACTGCATCATTGCACTCCAGCCTGTGCAGCAGGAGCGAGACTCTGTCTCAAAAAATAAATAAATAAATAAAATTAAATTAAATGACCCAATACTATTAGTTAGAGCCAAGATCACCAAAGCACAGTAGAAAGGTGGAAAAACAATGTAACTACATTAATATTCATTTCTAATTAAAAATTAAGAAATGTACAAATATTTACTGTAGAGATTGTCTTGGAGCCTTCATTCAGCTCCCATGACAGATGGTCTCGGGTCTAAGAGACGCATCGTGAAGAAAGAGTGGGAGTGCCCCCAGGGAAGCCCTGATGGGGACCACAGGTTCCATCAGCGCAATGTGACCTCCTGCAGTATGGGAGTGGCTGCCTATGTGGACTTGTGGATTATACCATCCCATCTTATTAAATCAATCCTCACAATATGGATACATTGTTCCAAAAAGATTCCCTCAAAGAAAGAGAGGCTGAAGATCTTATTATACGTGCAAGTGACCAAGAAAACGGCAGGCTGCTACTCTTCCTCCTAATTATGAGCTTGCTGGCAATCAAGTTATGGAGTGAAAATGATTGAGATCAGAATGAGAAATGAGCCAAAACTTTTTATTTTATTATTTTTATTTTTTGGAGACAGAGTCTTGCTCTGTCACCCAGGCTGGAGTGCAGTGGCGCCATCTCAGCTCACTGCAACCTCCACCTCCTGGGTTCAAGCGATTCTCCTGCCTCAGACTCCTGAGTAGCTGGGACTACAGGCACGTGCCACCATGCCCAGCTAATTTTTGTATTTTTAGTAGAGATGGGGTTTCATCATGTTGGCCAGGCTGGTCTCGAACTCCTGACCTCAGATGATCCACCCACCTTGGCCTCCCAAAGTGCTGGGATTACAGGTGTGAGTCACCGCGCCCAGCCGGAAAACATTTTAATTGGTAATGGCAACGGTGACATTTTAACAACGACCAATAAAGTAACTACTCTTCATGATACTGAGATACCATTTTTTTTTTTTTTTTTTTTTTGAGACAGAGTCTTGCTCTGTCACCCAGGCTGGAGTGCAGTGGCGGGATCTCTGCTCACTGCAAGCTCCGCCCCCCGGGTGCATGCCATTCTCCTGCCTCAGCCTCCCGAGTAGCTGGGACTACAGACGCCTGCCACCACTCCTGGCTAATTTTTTTGTATTTTTAGTAGAGACGGGTTTCACTGTGTTTGCCAGGATGGTCTCGATCTCCTGACCTTGTGATCCACCCGCCTCAGCCTCCCAAAGTGCTGGGATTACAGGCTGAGATAGCATTTTTAAAGAAGGCACCTGGAAATGTTTCTTTGTTGTCACCATCAGTTCAAGTGTGTCACCTATACAGTTCTCACATCTGTACTTAAACAAAGAAACAGAATTTTCTGACGTGTTAAAAATCTTCCCAAAAGGCTGGGTGTGGTGGCTCACACCTGTAATCCCAGCACTTTGGGAGGCCGAGGCGGATAGATTACCTGAGGTCAGGAGTTTGAGACTAGCCTGGTCAACATGGTAACACCCGGTCTCTACTAAAAATACAAAAATTAGCCAGGCGTGGTGGTGGGCACCTGTAATCCCAACTACTTGGGGGAGGCTGAGACATGAGAATCGCTTGAACCTGGGAGACAGAGGTTGAAGTGAGCCGAGATCACACCACTGCACTCCAGCCTGGGGGACTGAGCGAGACTCTGTCCACCCCCCACAAAAAAACCCCAAAACTTCCCAATAATAAAATGAGTGGATTTTGAACATATTGTACTTGTTAAAAACATTAAAATGCAAAATCTTGTAATGATTCCTAAGACAACTTTTGGCACTCAATAAATTAGAAATTTAATAGAAAATTTTCAACCAAATTCTTTGGATAATGAGTAAATGAGGATGAAAAAAATTAGTTTTATGATTTATTAAGAGCAGCCAATGATGTTACATATGTTTGTGATGTACCATTTTCAACTATGAGAGCCATTAAAGTATCAAAATAAACTAATCTTAGATTCTGACCTCCAACTTACTATTCCATCAAGTATTAAACCAAGATTTCTAGGCTGGCATGGTAGCGTGTGCTTGTGGTCCTAGCTACTCTGCAGGCTGAGGTGGGAGGACTGCTTGAGCCCGGGAGTTCAAAGCTGTAGTGCCATGATTACACCACTGCACTCCAGCCTGGGCAACAGAGCGAGAACTCCACCTCTAAAAAAAGACTGAGCACAGTGGTGCATGCCTGTAATCCCAGCACTCTGGGAGGCCAAGGTGCAAAGACTACTTAAGGCTAGGAGTTCAAGACCAGCTTGAGCACCACAGAAAGACAAAAAACCTGTCCCCATCTCTATAAAATAACAACAACAACAAAACAAACAAGAACAACAAAACAAACAAAAACCCTATGATTTCAAAAAATAAAAAGCAGAGGCAATTGCTCCCGCTAGAAAAGGTTATAGGTTTCCTGAACATTTTAAAAGGGTAAGATTATCTTTTAATGTACATTATTTTGTACAATGTTACATTATAATATTCACATAAATAAGCAAACATATACTGGAGTATGTACCCATGCCTGGGTGAACTGCTTGCGCCCAGGAGTTTGAGACCAGCCTGGGCAACATGGCGATATCTTGTCTCTACAGAAGATACAAAAATTAGCTGGGCATGGTGGTGCACCCCTGTAGTCCCAGCTACTCGGGAGGTTGAGGTGGGAGGATCACTTGAGCCTAGAAGGTCGAGGCTGTGGTGAGCTGAGATCGCCCATTGCACTCCAGCAGCCTGGGCAACAAAGTGAGACCCTGTTTCAAAAAAAAATGTTACAGATAGGGATATACTATATAAAAGAGTTAAAGAATGTTATGGGTTGAACTGTGTCCCCACAAAAAAACATTTTTGATATGTCCTAGTACCTCACAATATGACCTTATTTGGAAATAGGGTCACTGCAGATGTAAGCACAGTGAAGATGAGGTCTTACTAAGGTAAGGTGGGTCCCTAGTGCAATATGACTAGTGTCCTCCTAAGAAGCTGGCCACAGGAAGACAGAGATAGAGAATGCCATGTGAACTTGGCATAGCTTTAGCCATAGCTTTTGTTAAAGGGAATGTAATTTTGTCTAGTTCAGAGGGTTTTAAAGATTGTCTTGGCCAGGCACGGTGGCTCATGCCTGTAATCCCAAAACTTTGGGAGGCCAAGGTAGGTGGATCACAAGGTCAGGAGTTCGAGACCAGCCTGGTCAATATGGTGAAACCCCATCTCTACTTAAGAAAAAAAAAAAAATTAGCCAGGCTTGGTGGCAGGCGCTTGTAGTCCCAGCCACTTGGGAGGCTGAGGCAGGAGAATCACTTGAACCCGGGAGGTGGTGGAGGTTGCAGTGAGCTGAGATCGCACCACTGCACTCCAGCCTGGCAACAGAGCAAGACTCTGTCTCAAAAAAAAAAAAAAAAAAAAAAAAGATTGTCTTAACCTAAAAGAGTAACAGAATCGAAACTGAAGATTTAAGCTAAGTAAAAAAGGTTTGTAAAGGGTTGATCGTGTAAAAATTCTGTGGGTATCAACAAGTTGGCTAAGATTTAAAAGAAATTATTTAGCTTTTTTCTGTAGGCTAAAACATTAAAATCATACTGATGTGGGGCCAGAATCTGGACCCACGTGTCTGAATAACAGGGTTTTCTTAGAAAATTGACCTACTGTTTGGTGGAAAATTGTAAAGGGTTCTAAAAAGTTTATGAAAATCTTACTGTATGGTCAAACTAATTAAAACTGGGTAGAGATATAAAATTTTATTTAAAAAACTAGCTTTAACATTAAAGATGCGCTAGTACAAATATGAAATTTGTTTTTCTCTTCTGAAGATGATTTTTATGTAATGTTAAAAGATAATGAAAGGGTTTTCTTTTCTCCTTTGGGTGAATGGCAGGGAAAAAAAAGAGGAGAGGGAGAGAAGAGACAGATTCAGTTGGCCTCATGCTATCTTCATCGAGTCTTGTTTGGAAAGCTAAGTCTCCTCTAACAGAGTAAAAGTTTTTCTTTACAAAAAAATTTTTTGGAGTTATCATTTTGGCTAAACGAATGACTTATGGTGACCTGGGATTCTATTTTGTGATATCCAGTGTTTTAAACCTTTGATATTTGACAAACTTTCCAAAATCCAATTAAAAATTATGTCTCTTTCTAACCTTTTAGATATTAGGTCCTCTAAAGCCCAAAAATGATTTGGCTTATCTGATACAAAATCATACAGGAGGCATTGTCAAATATGAAATGGTGTTTGGCTTTCTTTGGTCTATATTTGTATAAATGTTATTGGTATATGTTCCAAAATTACATAAAACTTCTATAATTCTAATATGACTTAGTGTATGTTATCAGTAATAATTATAATGATTATGTTAACAGATTGTGTGCCACAGAGGTAACAAATTTCCTTGCCAATTGTGCCTTTAACTGTGGCTGCCCTAAAATGTTTTTGTCATACACTTGTCTCATTTTGGTCCTCTTTAAAAGATGGTTTTATAATCAGCTATAAAATTTAACAGGTGCTAATAAATGCAGGTTTCTGATTAATAACTCTGGAGATTGTGACATTAGAATAGAGGAAAAACTTTCAAATAGAAGAGTGAATGGTGTTTGGTTTACTTTAGACTGTATTTGTATAAATATATTATTAGTATGTGTCCAAAATTATGGGAAACTTCTATAATGTTGATATAGTTTAGTGTACATTAATAATTATAATTGCTATGTAAAATTGTTGTATGCCACAGAAGTAACCAAAATTCCTAGTCAATTGTAGCTTTAATAGTGGCTATAGACTTTTGTCATCCACAGACATTTTATCTTGCTTTGGTCCTTTTCAAAATGCAGTTTATAATCAAATATAGGACTCTAAGTGCAGGTCTCAGATAACTTTAAGAACTGTGCTATTGGAATAGAGGAAAAAAACAAACTTCTAGGACTCTCACGGAGAGCTAATGTGTTAAACATTGCTAAACCTTTTGTTTTCAGAGTCAAGAGAAATTATTTCTTTAGAACTATTTGCAACTTTTATCATGTGAGTAAAATAAACTCCTGTGAACAAAATTTACAGCATATTGTTCCTCTCTACCTGATTTCTCCAGAATTTGGAAACTATTTGTGAATATTCTCAATTTATGGCAGTATAGCTAATTGCATAAGTGCAATAAGAATCTGTTTTCTTTTGTAACAGGCCACAGTTGGAGAAATTGGTTATTTTACCAAGGCTTTGACTGGAATGGCATGCTTTTTTTTAAAGAATCAAAGTTGACTTATATAGCCAATTAAAGCCCGTTGGGGAATCTGGCCTTATACCCCGTCCACACAGAGTCTCTGTACAAGGTTCCTGACCTGTGGTAAGTAAAGAATGTCACTTTCAAACAGGCTCAGGAACCCCAAGCTATCTTGGGACCTCAAGAGGAGACAAATTTGCCCAACTCATAGGTATTTGAGGGTACAAACCCATGGCTGGGCTCGGCTTTTAAAAAGTCTTATCTGAGATTCTTCATGGAACAGAGTTCTATCAAAGCCAATTTAAAAAGTCTAAGTGAAAAATAATTATTCTTGCTGCACTTTATGCAAATAATCGGGCCAAGTACAGTAAGACTAAAGTTTATTTTGTAAACAAATCAGTTGTATCATGATTTGTTTTTAATAAAAATGGGGACTGGAGAGAGAAAAATTATGCTTCAAAAGAAAAACTATAGTACACTGTTGTTAGCTGTTCTTGAGGTTTTTTCTGCAGTTTAGACTAAATTCTAAAGTCTTTGTGGGTTAGAAGTCCCCAAACTAGTGCTTCCAAATCTTTGCTTTTAAAATTGGGAATTGTACTCCTCATCCTAGGACTCGTTATTTACCTTATAGTGGGCTGTTTCACTTAAACACTGTAGTAAAACTACAGAGTACTAATGTTTGTGCCATGCAAGCCATGAACGCCTAGCCAGGCCTGCATGAGTACACTCAGACAGTTGCAAACCAGTTCCACTCTTCTCACCTTCGGGTTCACTCCCATTCCCATAATGTGCCCTGTCAGCAGGAAGAAGCCAGAGCAATTGATAGCCTTTTCCCATCTTCACAGCCTACACCTTAAGATTAAGGTGTTATAAAACCCAAAGGGAAGGACTGAAACCACGTTTGCAAAATTATGACTGAGACGGTGAAAGAGATCTAACTTAACTGACTCCATCTTGCTTCTAACCTCCAAGCTGTCCTTGTTCATTCCTGGGCGGAGGCTAAACTAACTTTGGGAGAAACTTAGTTTAGAGTTTAAACAAAGACAGTGACACTCCTTTTCCCAAAGAAGACCTCCATCTTGCCTGGAGACTAGATTGCCTTTGTAGGACTAACATTAGCCACAAGATTGGAAATTATGGTTTAGAAGTCATGCAGCTGGAGGCTACAAGATTCTGACCCTCCCTATACTGTTCCTAAGATCAGTGTTGAGACACCTTGCACTTGATGGATCAGCTGGCACCACCCAGATCAATAAACTGGCTCATCTGATCTTGTGGCCCCCACCCAGGAACTGACTCAGTGCAAGAAGACAGCTCTGAGTCCCTATGATTTCTTTTTTTTTTTTTTTCTTGAGACAAAGTCTCGCTCTGTCGCCCAGGCTGGAGTGCAATGGTGCAATCACGGCTCACTGCAAGCTCTGCCTCCCGGGTTCACACTATTCTCCTGCCTCAGCCTCCCAAGTAGCTAGGACTACAGGTGCCCGCCACCATGCCCGGCTGATTTTTTGTATTTTTAGTAAAGACGGGGTTTCACCATGTTGGCCAGGATGGTCTCGATCTCCTGACCTCATGATCCCCCCACCTCGGCCTCCCAAAGTGCTGGGATTACAGGCGTGAGCCACCTTGCCCGGCCCTGAGTCCCTATGGTTTCATCTCTGACCAATCAGCACTCCTGGCTCACTGGCTTCCCCCGACCTACCACATTATCCTTAAAAACTCTGCTCCCCGAATGCTGGGGAAGACTGATTTGAGTAATAATAAAACTCCAGTCTCCCCCTCTGCCCCCCAACCACACACAAAAAAGAATGCCATGTGAAGACAGAAAGCTGGAGTGATGCATCTATGAGCCAAGAAATGCCAAAGAATGCTGGCCAACCACCAGAAGCTAGGAAGAGGCAAGGAGGGACTCCCCTACAGGTTTCAGAGGGAGCATGACACCTTGCTTTTAGACTTCTAGCCTCCAGAACTGTGAGACAATAAATTTCTGTTGTTCTAAGTCACCTGGTTTGTGGCATTTTGTTACAGCAGCCCAGGAAACTAATAGAGAGATCTGACCAAGGGCAAGGGCAAGGGCTATGTTGCATTAGCTGGGCAGCTACTATTCCCTCTCCCCCACCCTAAGGTATGGAAAAATGCCCAGAGGACGTGAGGGCTTGCCATCACTATATGGTATGCAGGCAGAAGCAAAGGAAGTGTGGGAGGGCACCTTCCCAACGGAAGGTAAAACTGCCATTCAGGCAAATTAGAACACATTCAAACCACAGAGGATAATTCATCTTCTCCTCATTCAGACCTAGAGCTCAGAGTGATAAGTTCCATTTCATTATCATTACTAATTTTTATTTATTTCTTTTTGAGACAGAGTCTTGCTCTGTCGCCTAGGCTGGAGTGCAGTGGCGCAATCTCAGCTCACTGCAACCTCTGTCTCCCAGGTTAGATTCTCCTGCCTCAGCCTCCTGAGTAGCTGGAACTACAGGTATGTGCCACCACGCACAGCTAATTTTTGTAATTTTAGTAGAGATGGGGTTTCACTGTGTTGGCCAGGCTGGTCTTGAATTCCTGACCTCAGGTGATCCATCTGCCTCGGCCTTCCAAAGTGTTGGGATTAAAGGTATGAGCCACTGCTCCCGGCCATTACTAAATATTTTTAAAGTAACTTTTCCCCCAATTGAAAAAATAATTTTCCTATTATGGAAAATTTGGAAAACTCAGAAAAGTAAACACAAAACAAAATGACCTATAATCTCAACCCAAAATTACTATGAACATTTAGTGGAATACCTTTTCAGTCTTGTTCCTATGCGGCTATGTACTTTTGTGTTTTAGTAGGACAGGCAATACTGGGGCCAGCTTCAATTTCTTTGTTAATTATACTTTAGCTGGCAAACTTGAGAACATAATTCTCATTTGCCAAATTGTTTCTCAATTATGAAAGATAATCTGAATTCTTTTTTTTTTCTTTATTTATTTATTTTTCAAATGAGACAGGGTCTTGCTCTGCTGCCCAGGCTGGTCTTGAACTCCCAGGCTCAAGTGATCCTCCTGCCTCGGCCTCCTAAAATGCTGGGATTACAGGTGTGAGCCAATGTGCCCGGCCACATTCTGAGTTTTGAACCACTCTTTCATCAACAAGCTTTTGGACTGGACTCTGCCACGTGACAGTCAGTAGGAACTGACTCCGTGCTTTACACCACGCGCAGTCCCAGTGCTTCATCACTCACCGGAGTTTTGATGTAGGTGTGGGGATCAGGGAACTCAGGAAAATGGCTGGGGATGTGCGGCGGGTGGGGTCGGTTCTGCCCTGCAGTGAGGGCCTTGGGGGTCACTGGCTGATTGGTCACCGGAGCTGCAACAGAGTCACAACTGATTACCCCTCCACCCAAGACCCTGATTTCTACAGATTATGGTCTCTCCCCAAAGCCTCCTTTTCTCAAAAAAATGCCAGACCTCAATTTTCTAAACAAGTTGCATTTTGTATTTCAATCGATAAAAGGTCTTTGATGGCTTACAATGCCCAGCCCTGCTGGCTAATCTTGGTTGACGTTCCCTTTGACAACAATCTGCCCACAAGCCTCTTAGGTAGAGGTGGGTGGCTGTGGCCACAGTAACTACGTAAAACAGCATGCTGAGGAGCTACGCAGGTTACATGGGCTGCTGGTTCTCTTTTCAGAGACCTTGGATAACAAAAAGGAACAATGAGCTGGGGACATTAAGTGTGAGCTTAATCATAACAAGAGGGGATTGAAAATGGCACCTTCCACTGCTATGTTGAGAGGGAGTTTTTAAAAAAATGCCAACAAGAAAAAAGTGACTTTAAAGAAGAAATCCAGGCCGGGTGCGGTGGCTCACGCCTGTAATCCCAGCACTCTGAGAGGCCGAGGCAGGCGGATCACTCGAGGTCAGGAGTTCGAGACCAGCTTGGCCAACATGGTAAAACCCTGTCTCTACTAAAAATATAAAAGTTAGCTGGGTGTGGTGGCGAGCGCCTGTAATCCCAGCTACTTGGGAGGCTGAAGCAGGAGAATAGCTTGAACCTCGGAGGCAGAGGTTGCAGTAGTCAGCCGAGATTGTGCCACTGCACTCCAGCCTGGGCAACAGAGCGAGACTCCATCTCAAAAAAAGAAAGAAAAGAAAAAAATCCAGTTAACTCTCTCCAGGTCCTACAAGCCCAAACTGGTTACTCTCTACTCAGCTTATGGCACCCAGGTTTACTTAAAGTAGAGGTCATCAAAGTTTGTGTAAAGGGCCATATAATAAATACTTTAGGTTTTGCATGTGGTACAGTCTCTACCACAACTAAACTATGCCATTATAGCATGAAAACAACCACAGATAATAAGTAAATATGGCTGCATTCCGATAAGACTTTATTTACAAAAACAGGAGGCAGGCTGCATTTGGCCCATAGGCCACAATTTACCAACCCTTAATCTAAGAAGAACAAAAACTTTCATTTTTCCAAGCAGCATCATTTGCCCTTCTGGGGCTAGAACACAAGAAACACAGCAATATCTCAAAGATGGTTTACCTTTTGGTGACTGAATTTCACATGCTAATCAGACTAGCCCAAATAAAGATTATATTGTAGGTAGCCCCAAACATTGGAAGAGAGCCCACAACAAGGAAGTAGCTACTAATCCAATCCCTACCATATTCAATTACTTCATTCCACAAGCATTAATTGAAAAATTGCTAAGTACCTCAGTTCAAAGTCACTTACGAGCAGTGATGACCATCCTCTGAGACCGTTTTGCATAAGCAGGGAGAGTGTCCACATTGAAACCTAAGAGACAGGAAAACAAAAATCACTGCCCAGACCACTGGATATTGAATACAGAAAGAATAGTAGTAGTATGGACAAATGGCTTAAACTCTCAACTCAATGACCTTGCAGCCACGCAAAAGAAGCTCTGGCAGAATTCCCTAACAGGGAATTATGAGGCCTCTTAGATGTGTTCAGAGGAATCTCTCTTGATAACTCTCTCAAGCTCAAAGCAATTCAAGAGAACCATGAGGGAAACCAAGAACACTTAGCAGACATGCCTGATTCCTAGGGACTCCTCTCCCAGTTGCATCGAAGAACTGGAAACTGAAGGTATACTCACCCATCTCAACAAGTGTGACCACGATATCGGACAGTGTGGGCTGGGTCCTGGCTGTGTGCTCACAGTAAGACTTGGCACTTCTCCCAATTTCTGAAATGTCTAAGAGGGGATTAAAGGCATAAAACTTATTCTCAGTTCCTCAGAAAGTTAAACATAGAATTACCAGATGAGCCAACAATTCCACTCCTAGGTATATACATAAATGAACTGAAAGCAGGGATTCGAAAAGCTACTAGTACACCAATGTTCACAGCAGCATGATTCACAGCAGCCAAAAGGTAGAAACAACAGGTGAATGAACAAACAAAATGTGCTGTATACATACAATGGAATATTATTCAGCCTTTAAAAGGAAGGAAATTCTGGTAATGTTATAGCATAGATGAACTTTGAAAACATTATGCTAGACCAGGTGTGGTGGCGCAGGCCTGTAATCCCAGCACTTTGGGAGGCCAAGGCCAGTGGATCACCTGAGGTCAGGAGTTTGAGACCAACCTGACCAACATGGCGAAACCCCTTCTCTACTAAAAATACAAAAATTAGCCAGGCCTGGTGGTAGGCGCCTGTAATCCTAGCCACTTGGGAGGCTGAGAAATAGCTTGAACCTGGAAGGAGGAGGTTGCAGTGAGCAGAGATTGTGCCATTGCACTCCAGCCTGGGCGACAGAGTGAGAACTCCTTCTCAAAAAAAAAAAAAAAGAAAAGAAAAAGAAAACATTATGCTAAGGCCAGGTGTGGTGGCTCACGCCTGTAATCCTAGCACTTGGGAGGCTGAGGCAGGTGGATCACTTGAGGTCAGGAGTTCAAGACTAGCCTGGCCAACATGGCAAAACCCCAACTCTACCACAAATATAAAAAATTAGCCAGGTGAGGTGGCACACACCTGTAATCCCAGCTACTCAGGAGGCTGAAAATCGCTTGAACCTGGGAGGTGGAGGTGGTTGCAGTGAGCCGAGATGGCACCACTGCACTCCAGCCTGGGAGACACAGCGAGACTCCATCTCAGAAAAAAAGAAAAGAAAAAAGAAAACATTATGCTAAGTGAAATAAGGTAGACATAAAAAGACAAATAAAGATTCTACTTATATGAGGTATCTAGAGATGGAAAGTAGATTAGAAGTTACCAGGGGATGGAGGGGGAGGGAGAATGGGGAGTTATTGTTTATGGGTACAGAGTTTCTGTTTAGAATGATGAAAAAGTTCTGGAAATAATGTAAATGGCTGCACAACATTGTGAATGTACTTAATACCACTGAATTGTACACTTAAAAATGGTTAAAATGATAAATTTTTTTATGAATATCTCACTACCACACACACAAAAAGGTCTTATTCTCTGATGGGCAATTTTTCTTTCTTCTGCCTGAAGCTGAACCTCTATTTAAGAGTCACGTTAAAGTCTTTTGGGGAAAGGGGAAAGGTTTCTAAGATGGAGTTTTTGAAGCTCGGCTCTGTGAATGAGCTTCCAAGGTGGACAGGAGGTTTCATGAATACTCTGAAGCTGTGCTGAATTTTAAACACAAAAAAAGCATTTTTTGGGGAATGGGTCCACAGATTTTATCAAATGTACAAAGGGGTCTCAAAAGGTAAAGAACTCCTACTTTAGGGGCCCAGTGGCTCAGAAGATAAAAGCAAGTGGTACTTGACAGGGAAGGGTGTCTAACAAGAGACCTACCACCTACCACCAACCCCCCTGCTATACTGAGCAAGTCACTAATACCAGCCTCTAGACATGACTTTTAAACTCTAAATTCCAAGATTGTTCCAAGAACTGCATTCTTATCTCTTGGGAACTATTAATTCATTCCTTTAGGACAAAGTTCAAAAAGTAGTAGCCTGGGAATCTGTGGTAGGCCCCAAAATCTTTTCTAAAGTCCACAGGTCAAAACTATTTTCATAATAAAATTAAGTTGTTATTTGACTTTTTCACTCTCATTCTCTCAGGTAGTTTTCCTGAGTCTATGTGACTTTTGATGACAACATGGGTCTGATGAATAACAGAATATGTGATTGTACATTCTTATTTTCAAAATTTCTTCTTCTTTTTTTTTCTTTTTTTTTTTTTGAGACGGAGTTTCGCTCTTGTTGCCCAGGCTGGAGTACAATGGTGTGATCTTGGCTCAATGCAATCTCTGCCACCTGGGTTCAAGCGATTCTCCTGCCTCAGCCTCCCGAGTAGCTGTAATTACAGGCGCCCGCCACCACATCCAGCTAATTTTTTGCATTTTTAGTAGAGACAGGGTTTCAGTATGTTGGCAAGGTTGGTCTTGAAACTCCTGACCTCAGGCGATATACCCGCCTCGGCCTCCCAAAGTGCTGGGATTACAGGCGTGAGCCACCACACCTAGACCCAAAATTTGTTTTTTCTAACGTGGCAAATACACATATACAAAAGCTACTTGGGGTCCTCAATGTTTATTAATATAAAGGGATTCTGAGAGCTGGGTGTGGTGGCACATGCCTGTAGTCCCAGCTATGTGGGAGGCTTGGGTCCAGAAGTTTGAGGCCAGCCTGGGCAACACAGCAAGACCCCATCTCTAATTAATAAGAATAAATAAATATAGGAGTTCTGAAGCCACAATGATTGAGATCACTGCTTTAGGAAAACATTTGGTATTTAAAAGTGCCAAATATCAGCTGCAGAGAGCCACCTTGCCCAAGATCACCCTTCCTGGGGTAGCCCACATCTACTGTTTGATCAAGACCTGAGTATAAAGGCAGGGCCTTTTCAGCTTGATGGGCAATAATGCTCCAGGGGTCCTGGCTAAGTTGTCCACTTCTTTATTGGGCCTGCATTGCACCCCACATCTCCCTCTGCCCAAACCTTTCTCCTACTTCCTTTCATAGTTGTTGATCCCTAAGAAACACCGTAAATACTTCCATCCCTCATCCCATCCCATGCCCCAAAAGTTCAAAACAGGGAAATATGTTGTACATGCAGAAAAGCCTCTGTAAGACCACACCCGGGCTTCTAAATCTCAACACATTTCCTTTTAAAAGTAGCTTTTCAGCTGGGTGTAGTGGCTCATGCCTGTAATCCCAGCACTTTGAGAGGCCAAGGTGGGTGGATCACCTGAGGTCAGGAGTTCAAGACCAGCCTGGCCAACATGGTGAAACCCTGTCTCTACTAAAAATACAAAAATTAGCCAGGCGTGGTGGTGCACGCCTATGATCCCAGCTACTTGGGAGGCTGTGGCAGGAGAATTGCTTGAACCTGGGAGGCGGAGGCTGCAGTGAGCTGAGATTGTGCCACTGCACCCCAGCCTGGGCAACACAGTGAGACTCTGTCTCAAAAAAAAAAAGGGGGGGGGGGCTTTTCCCCTTCATTCTTTGTATCACACAATCTAGCATTTCATTACATAATGTGATGATATCTATTGCATGGGGAATTAGTCCTGACTCCCCAACAAAAGTCCTTAAGGGCACCCATAACTCACCAAGAGCTTAAAATCTCCCCAGCACTGAATGTTTTATATATACATCTCACTTACACTCACAAATCCATGAGGTAGAAACTGTTATCCCATTTCAGAAATGAGGAAATTGAGGTTCAGGAGATTCAGTGGCTTGCCCAAGCTATTAAGTGACAGAGTGATGATGTACACCAAGTCTATCTGATTCTAAAGCCTGTAAGTCACTTCATTATGCTCTTTTCTGTTTTTGTTGTTGTTGTTGGAGATGGAGCCTCACAGGCTGGAGTGCAGTGGTGCGATCTCAGTTCACTGTAACCTCTGCCTCCCAGATTCAAGCGATTCTCCTGCCTCAGTCTCCCGAGTGGCTGGGATTATAGACACCTGCCACCACGCCCAGCTAATTTTTTTGTGTGTTTTTTAGTAGAGACGGGGTTTCGCCACGTTGGCCAGGCTGGTCTTGAACTCCTGACTTCAGGTGATCCACCCGCCTCAGCCTCCTAAAGTACTGGGATTACAGGCGTGAGCCACCACGCTCGGCCCATTGTGCTGTTTTCTTTTCTCAACTTTTTACATTAAAAAAAATTTTTTTTCTCCCCTCTTAAGAAAAAAGTTTGTTTCTTAAATCCTCTCAAACACTATCACAAAGCAGGGCACAGAACTGATGTTGGGGTTGACTCCAAGGCCAAGTGTTTCCATGTACTCACAGCTCTGCAGCATCTCTGTCAGCGTTTCCACGGATGCTTTCTCGGCACTCTCAAACCCTGCCTCTGTCAGCAAGGAGCTCACAACCACCTGCAGGGTTCTCCTCCGGGCCAGATGATAGTTATCGGCAGGGTTAGTGGACTGTTTACTTCCCGATCTCTGTGAATCAGCAGAGAGATTTTCATCCACAGGAGAAGGATGCAATCACATAGTTCATACGTGGTCAACGGCAAGCAAAGTTATTTTACTAAATAATTTTATTTTAAAAATCAGTGCTTAATGTTTAGATTTACAGATCTTGGCCAACTGAGTAAAAATTGAGCACCCAAGGTGCTTTAAATACAGAGACCACTTCTCCGCTTACCTAAAACGTACAGTCCCAATGAGATAAAATAGCAGGTCTTTTACTTTCTACTTTAGCAGATTATTAGAATACATAGCTGAAGAAACACGCATGATGGGATTAAGACGTGTCCCGCAGAAAAAACAGGATCCCTCTCTTGTGCCTCCCATCTTCACACCATTTCATTGAAAGGGAAAATGAAAACAGTAACAAGAGGTGACCGCGAGGAGAGGAGGGCAAAAGATAAAAGCACAAAAAAGTAAGAAAGCTAAATATTTTGAAACGGGAATGCCTTTCAACTTTGGCCGGCCAATAAGAAGGCGAAAACGGCATCTTCAGACCAATCGGGGGTGTTCCGGGCTCCCAACCCCCAACAGCGAACGAGCCAATCAAGACACAGGTCCGCCAACTCCGGAGGCCGCAGCCAAGTCCCAAGGAGGGGGCGCCTACGGCCTGAAAACACCCTCCGCCAGTCGGAGCTCATGATGGGGCTGAATTTCTGGGCATTATCTTGTTGCTCAGTCGAGGGGAAAGTTGCAGGATACCCAAACTCTCTCGGCTCCGAGCCCGCGCTTCCTGCCCTTACCGTTCCGGAGCCACCGGCCCCAGCTGTGGCCGCCGCGTCGGCCATCTTGTTCTGGCGTAGTGTGCGCGAGCGCGGGGCGCGATGGGACTTGTAGTCGCGGGGCGGGGCGGGGCGGGGCGGCGTGCGCCCCTTGGTTTTCCGAAGCCCAGTCGGTTGGGGGACGCCTCCGGTGACCCCGGCTCACGTGACTTTTTTTTTTTTTTTTTGGATACAGAGTCTTGCTCCGTTTCACAGGCTAGAGTGCAATGGCGCGATCTCGGTTCACTGCAACCTCCACCTCCCAGGCTCAAGCGATCCTCCCGCCTCAGCCTCCGGAGTAGCTGGGATTACAGGCGGGCACCACCACGCCCCGCTAGTTTTTGTATTTTTAGTAGAGACCGAGTTTCGCCATGTTGGCCAGGCTGGTCTCGAACACCTAAGCTCAAGCAGTCCGCGGCCTCGGCCTCACAAGGTGCTGGGATTACAGGCGTGAGCTACCGCGCCAGCCTCACGTGACCTTTTGAGAGTGAAGTGTTCTGGGGCCTTCAGTGGCTTGGTTGTGGGCCAGGAAAACGCGCCCGGTTTCACTGAGTTAAAAGAAACCTATTTTAATATGAAAATCGGTTCTTATAAAGAGCATACCAGGAGATCATCTACACTCGCAGGGTTTTCCAAACTTGTCTTATTATTAGTAACACCTGGCTGGGCCCAGCCCAATCCCAGTGACTTCACTCTCTGGAAGAGGGGCTTGGGAATCTTTCTCATTAAGGAGCTCCCCAGATGATTCTTCTGAGCGAGTAATGTTGGGAAACCCTGGAGCATCCAGCCTGGTGATTTTGTGCTGAGGGCCGCCCCGCCTGTCAATGGCCCACTTGGAAGTAGAGCCTGGACCACCTAGTCCAAGTCTATCGCTGCATCCTGCTGCCTTCGCGCCCTCGACCCGCAAGTATTTGCGAGGCAAGTCTAGGGGGCGGGAGACTTGTCCCTTGCCGCCTCACTCCCAGGGCGTGGGGTGCCCGCGGCTACCAGTGGTTTTCTCCCTAGCCTGTCAGCCCCTCTAGCTGCGCCGTGTTCGTCCCCATTTGCAGGTGCCTGGCAGGACGCAGATTCTGGGCTTGGATCCTAACACTAGCCAGCTATGGTACTTCGGGCACTTGACCTTAATCCTCAGTGTGTCTCAGTTTCCTCTTCTGTAAAGCTGGGGGAAAGATGAGATGATACACAGAAAGAGTCTGTCACAGTGCCTGACGTGTAGTAAGAGTCAAGAAATCGGCCGGGCGCGGTGGCTCTCGCCTGTAATCCCAGCACTTTGAGAGGCCGAGGCGGGTGGATCACCTCAGGTCAGGAGTTCGAGACCAGCCTGACCAACATGGTGAAACCCCGTGTCTACTAAAAATACACAAAATTAGCCGGGCGTGGCGGCGTGCGCCTGTAGTCCTAGCTACTCGGGAGGCTGAGGCAGGAGAATAGCTTGAATCCGGGAGGCGGAGGTTGCAGTGAGCCGAGATCGCGCCACTGCACTCCAGCCTGGGCGACAGAGGGAGACTCCATCTCAAAAAAAAGAAAAAGAAAAAGAAGTCGCTCCTCATGATGTTGTTTACTTCCTGGATAGCACGTGGAGGAGTTGCCAACGCCGGGAGGCAGCGGTCCGGGAACCCGTGCTGCCCCGGCCCCGCCGCCCACACCTGAGCCTCCGTGGCGCCCCGCCCCCGCACCTATGCCGCGTGGGGCGGGGGCTGCGGGCGGGGGTGCGCGGCGCCGGATGAGCCTCCTGGCCTCGCCGAGGGTGTACAGGGGGTGGGAGAGTCAGGCCGGGGACCGAAACTTGGCTGAGCAGAGCACCAGCCCCTTTGTCTCCTCCGCCCCCTCTTCCCCACTTCCTGCCCAGCTCTGGATCGGCGGCGCGGCGCGGACTTTGTAAACACTTCGCCACTGCAGGGGTGGAGACTGGCTCTGTTCGGATGCCGGCCGGGGGGGAGAGGTGCAATCCTCTCCTCGCGGCTGGTGGTTGCGACCACCCCCACTCCCCAAAGGCAGGCTCCGGAGGCGGCGGGACAGAGCGCCTGCGACCCCAGTCGGTGCTCCGGGGAGGTCACCTGACGAGGAGGTAGGCTTGGGTGCTGGAGAAACCGGGGTAGATGGGATGTCAGCTCAGGCTGGAGACCATGCGTTGGGGATCGGTGCTGGGTGGGTCAATGGGGTCGCCGCATCCTCATCACTTCCTAGTTGGCACCGAAAGCTTGGCTCACTTTCCCACTGAGTGAGGTGTTCTGCACGGAATTGAAGGGCAGAGAAACCCCCAAAGGCCCTGAGCCCTCTGTATGTACACACATCGGCACAACCCCCTCCAGCTGATCTGGAAGCCCCGTGGCTTTACCGGGCTGTTGGTCTTCTCATGCCTCAAAGATGGGGTGGAAGGCCAGTAGGAGGGCAGACCAGTGTGGATGGGGAGTCTGTGAGTGCTCTGGCAAGTGCACCGGGATGAAACTGGAGGGAGGGACCCCTCAGTGGTGTCTGATTGATACATAGATGATGATCTTAGCTTCTTCTGTGTCTCTTGAAGTGCCAACAAGAGGAATAACTGAATAAATTGGTTGCTGTTACTAAGGGAGCATTAAGTTATTCATTTGCATTGATTGAACACCTACTATGTGCCTGGCATTATATGGAATGCTGAGGGTGCAATGATGTTATTCATCCACAGCTAATATGGATCACAAAACAATAGACATAGATGCCAAGTACACTGGCTGGGGTGGCTGGGAAGGCTTCAGAGAGAAAAGGACATTTGAGTTGGGTTCAGAAGGATGAAAAGCATAGAAGTCTTTGGGGGCACTTATTCCACAGAACTGGATTGAACCCCAGCTGTGGTGTTGGACACTGGAATATAGGGGCGACCCAGAAACAATTCCTGCTCCCTTTAATCCACTGTCTAACCATCAAGGGAATGAACAGGATGAATCCCAGAAAAGGCAGTTTTCTGGGCTGGGTCCCAAGAACCCAGGAATTCCCAGCTGGGTACAGCTGGGAGGGTCCACCTGGGGGTGATGTGACAGTCCACACAATCCTGGGCACCCCCTCCTCATCCCTGGACTCTGAGACTGTTTCCTCTGACGAGTCCTTGCCCTCTGCCTACCACCTCATTTCTCTTTGGGACCAGACGTGGATAGAGAAGTGGATCTCCCTTTGCTTCCTCACAGATTCTTCTGGCCGTTCAATTCTGGGGCTCCTTCGGGAAATGACTGACACAGCAATTTATGAATTCATTCAGCACCTATTTGCTATGGCCATACTCCATCTGCACAGGCTATTCCCACAGCTGTTGGGGATGTCATGGTAATCAAATCAGAGTTTCTTCCCCTGGAACTTAACACTGAAAGCCTCTGATAATTGTAGCAGAGTTCTAGTCTATGCCAGTTATTGAGATCATGACCTCCATGGTCCCAAACATCTTCTCCTTCCGGCTTCCCCTTCCCTCAAGGGCTTAGAATACTAGCTAACAGTTACATAACACTGTCAGGTACTCTTCTAAGTGGCTTAGAGATCATATCTCATTTAAACCTCCTAATATAGTCCTATGAGGTAGGCATTAGGATTCTCTCCATTTTATAGACGAGGAAACGCAGGCACTGGAGATAAGTAATCTTCCTTCAGACACAAGAAACAAATGGCAGAGCTGGGATTTAAACCTAGGTCACTTGATTTGGGAGGCTTTATTCTTAACCATTAGGCTAGCCTGCCTCCTTCGCTGACCACAAAAAATGTGCACTTGAGCCAGGAACTTAGGAGTTTCCTAAAGGGAGTCTGTGGTCCTGTATCTTGGATGATACAGCCATCTGTTAGCTGAGCCATAGGGCTGGTACTGTTTACAGTGAGCCCAGCAGGCCTGGAATAGAGTTGTGGGAACTGCACAGAGCTGGTATCCTTTCCTGATGGCTGTGTGTGTGTGTGTGCGCGCGCGTGTGTGCGTGCACACAAACGTATGAATGTTTCCCCCTGTGTAAGCCTCACTCAAAGGGAAAGGAGGAATATGAATAAACCGGGAGGAATGAACTAAGATTATATTCAAGAAAGAACTTCTCAACTTGGACGTGATGTGCCAGAATCTGGGGATTTGGGAAACCAAGACACCTCTTTTGTTGGGAATTAAGAATAGCAGAGATGCTCACATTCTAGATGTGCATTCCAGCTTGGTAGATGAGTAAGGAAGATGGCCAAGGAGTGGGTCCAGGCTTAAGATGCTCACACCTCTCTTTCCCACAGCTCCTGCTTCCAAAGCTGCATCTGTATATCCTACCCAGTCCCTCCAGACAGGCTGGGATAATGCTGGTGATGCAAGCGAGAGCACGGGACAGTTTCCATGGATTCCAGCCCCTTTTCCACCTCCTTTCTGAAACGCTTTTAAATTTCTTACAAGGGCCCTCCCCACAGGTTTGGGGAGGCCTTGAGGCGGTCCCTCTCTGCCTGCAGTCAAAGCACTTCGTGCATCTGTCTTTGAGAAAGGGATGTGTGTTGGGGGCATGGGTATTGATGCTGGGAGTCGAGGGTGGGAACTGGGTGGAGGGTGGCTGCACTGAGAAAACGGGTAAGCAGGACGTGAACCTTAAGAACTATAAACCTCCAAGCTGCTCTTCTCCCACGCACGCACCTTCCTCCCTCACTCGCTGGTAGGGTGGGGTGCAGCGGAGCCCTTGGCACGCCCTGGCCCCCTGCCCCAGGCACTGGCTTGGCTGTGGAGAACAGGTTGTACTCTTGAAAAACCACAAGAGGAAGTTTAGGGAGGGCTGGGGGTGGGGAAAGTTCTGGGGCCCCTGCCAAGTTTCCCTTTCCCTGCTGAGCAGTAGATGTGTTTATCTTGCTCTCAAAGACATTTAAATTTTAAATCCTCAAGTTTCAAAGAGCTGTCAAGGCCTGCCCCTTTCTAGGGGTGGCAACAGACACTGCTAGAAATGGCATTGGAACAAGTTACCCATCTGTTGGAATTCCCCTGGGATTCGTGCAGGTTGAGAAAGGCTAATTCCAGAAAGTCTCTTCTTTGGCCCCTTCACTTTTCTCTTCCCCAAAGCATTTCCTACAACCTTTAAACTCAGAGGAATGTGGCTGTAATTGCCACTTAGGAGCTGAATGGTGTTGCGGGAGCTGTCCCTAAGTTTTTACTTGTACTGTCTCATTTAATATTTATTCACCACAACTCTAGGTAGTAAACACCTCTATCTCCAATTTACAGATAGGAAACTGAGGCTCAGAAAGGCAAACTTGCTCAAAGTAATTTAGCTAGTAAGTGGCAGAGCTTGGAATTGAACGAGGATCTATCTGATTTCAAAGTCTAGGCTCTTTACTCGTGAATTAACTCTCAGTCTGAGCATTGACTTTCCTAATATATCAAACACTGAGACAGGGAGGCTGAAATATAAAGGGATTTTTTTAAATGCTGCTGCTAGTATGGGAGAGGGATAGAATTGGAAGGGATTCCTTGGAAGTTAATGTATTTAAGAAAGGATAGCCACTGGGCACAGTGGCTCACGCCTGTAATCCCAGCACTTTGGGAGGCCAAGGTGGGCGGATCACGAGGTCAGCAGTTCGAGACCAGCCTGACCAACATGGTGAAACCTCATCTCTACTAAAAATACAAAAAAAAAAAAAAAAAAAACGTTAGCCGGGCGTGGTCGCACGGGCCTGTAATCCCACCTACTCAGGAGGCTGAGGTGGGAGAATCACTTGAACCCGGGAGGCGGAGGTTGCAGTGAGCCAAGATCACGCCATCGCACTCCAGCCTGGGCAACAGAGTGAGACTCCGTCTCAAATAAATAAATAAATAAATAAAAGGAAAGAAAGAAAAGAAAGAAAAGATAGCCAAGTTAAAAAAAGATGCAGGAGGTGAGAGGTCAGGTCAAATTCTGGAAGATTGCAGCAAAGGGGAAGATTTAGGAGGAATACTATAGCTGTATGCAAATATTTAAAAGTTTGCCCTGGCAAACCTTGAAGTAGGGGGTTAGTGGGACTAGTGGAGGCAGATTTTCAAAAAACGTAGAACTTTCTAACAAATGGGGCTTAGAGCTCATGCTATAAGAGGGGCCTCTGCCAGCAAGACGACCTCAAAGCCCCTTCGCCTGTAAACCCCTGATGTGATTTTCCCCCTGCTTTCCTCTTCTATGTCATTCTTTGCTCTCCCATACTCCCTGGCCCGTGGTAGTCCCTGATCGTCCACCAGGTGGAGCTGTTGCCCCGTGTGTCACCTTGGGGTGACTGGATTGGGTGAATGAAGAGTGTTGCCGGGTTCTTCAGGCGCTGACTGGTTTCAGGGAGCCTCTGCTCCCAGCCCATCACCAGCTGTTTACACACCGGGGCCCAGAGAACTGCTTTTGATCCAGCAAAGCCCCCGTAAAAGGTGCTCTTCTGTCTTGTCCAGGCTCCGGCCAGAACGTGCAGGCCTCCGCCTCTGCGGCATACACCCGTCCCCAGGTCAGGGATTTCTTCCACATCTTCTCTTTCCCCTTCCTGACTGTCCTTTCCCTTTGAGAGAGAGGGACCCGTGTGCCCAGAGCAGAGGGCAGGACCGACGGCCCTGCGAGCCAGCAGGGTAGCTAATGTGGCATGGCCTTTTATGCCCTTCAGAGGGCATGACACCTGTGTCATCTCCCGGAAGGGGCCTCAGGAGCCCCACCTCTCTGAAACTATTTGCACTCAGTGGCCTGACCAGTTCTCCCACCCTGGGTGAAATTCCCCAGGACAGTCGTTCCTGAGGTGAGGGCTGAGGGGTTATCTCTGGAAGGAGACGGTTGCTGGTACCTCCGTCGTTGGCCCAGATCTGCTTGCTGCCCCCTCAGACCTTTAGAGAGGCACAGAGCCACTGGGCCTCCAGGGACACAGAGGCAGAGCCCAGAATGAGCAAGGACACCCTGATTTTTTTGAGACAGGGTCTCACTCTGTCGCCCAGGCTGGAGTGCAGTGGCGTGATCTCGGCTCACTGCAGCCTCGACTTCCCAGGCAGAGTTGATCTCCCCATCTCAGCCTCCTGAGTAGCTGGGACAACACGCGTGGCGCCACCATGCTCAGCTAATTTTTTATTATTTTGTTGAAATGGAGTCTCACTCTGTCGCCCCGGCTGGAGTGCATTGGCACGATCTTGGCCCACTGCAACCTCCGCCTCCCAGATTCAAGTGATTCTCCTGCTTCAGCCTCCCAAGTAGCTAGGATTACAGGCACCCGCCACCACACCCTGCCAACTTTTTGTATCTTTGACGAGGTTTCACCATGTTGGCCAGGATGGTCTTGAATTCCTGACCTCAGGATCCATCCGCCTCGGCCTCCCGAAGTGCTGGGATTACAGGTGTAAGCCACCGCGCCCAGCATACTCAGCTAGTTTTTTGTAGAGATAGTGTTTTGCAGTTTCACCCTGTTGCCCAGGCTGGTCTTGAGCTCCTGGACCCAAGCAGTCCTCCTGCCTCGGCCTCCCAAAGTGCTGAAATTACAGGCGTGGGCCACTGTGCCTGGCCAGAGACACCCATTTTGCAGGTGAGCAAACCAAGGTACTGAGAGGTCTAGCAGCTTGCTTCCTTACACACAGCCCATCTGTGGCTGAGCTGGAAGTCTGACTCAGCCATTTGGCTGTAACATTTGTGCATGTAACCACTAATCTGTGCCATCTCTCATGGAGTGGTCGAGAGAGCCTCTACAGACAAACGACCCCACTTCGAGTCCTAGCTCAGCTCCTTTCTGGCTGTGTGAAAGTTTCTTTGTCTGTAAAATGGGCATAACTATAGACCCCACCTCTCTGGGTAATGGTGAGAATTAATAATAACCAATATTAGTTGAATGCCTACTATATGTCAGGTGTCTTTTTTGCATCCTCACGGCAGACCATGAGGGAGGCATTATTATTCTGCTTCTTATACATAAGGAAACTGAGGCACAGGGGAGGCAGAGAGACTGCAGGATTAAGACTTCCAGCCAGGCGCAGTTGCTCATTCATGTAATCCCAGCACTTTGGAAGGCTGAGGCGGGTGGATCACCTGAGGCCAGGAGTTCGAGACCACCCTGACCGACATGGAGAAACCCCGTCTCTACTAAAAAGACAAAATTAGCTGGGTGTGGTGGCGCATGCCTGTAATCCCGGCTACTCGGGAGGCTGAGGCAGAAGAATCGCTAGAACCCAGGAGGCAGAGGTTGTGGTGAGCCGAGATCGCGCCATTGCACTCCAGTCTGGGCAAGAAGAACGGAACTCCGTCTCAAAAAAAAAAAAACCCACTTCCGAGCCTACGCTTCCCTAAGATTATGAGGCAGTACACACAAAGCCCTGCTGAGTGGTGGGCAGGCCATACGTCCTTTGAGTGATAGCTGCTGTCATTATCACCATATCATGGGCATCATCGTCTCCCAGATAGAGGTCCTCGGGGTGGATATGGGGCCATCTAGATCCAAAGAGACAGCCCTGGTTTCTTTCCTCACCATCCCACCTATGGCTTCATGTTATCCTCTTTTCTAAAATAAAAATCGGTCCACAAGCTCTGGCCTGTGGTCAGACAGTTGGACAGAATATTTGAAGCTGGGGCTGTCCCAGAAACTCCCAGTTCTGGCCCCAGCTTTTGCTGCTCCAACTCACCCTCCCTCTTGTTCTCTGTTCTCTTCCTTCTCTGCTGTTCCTCCCTGCCACCTCCCCTGAGGTCCCTGAGTTCTGGGAAAGGAAGCCGGAGCAGGGGCCTCAGACAGATGCAGACCTTGAGCTCCAATTTGGGCTCCAGATGGAGGAGGGAGGACCAGCCCGGGGCAGGAGCATGAGGCGCAGAGGGCCCCCAGTCTGCCTGTCCCTGGGAAGACGTCTGTTTATTATTCGCAAAGTCTTAAGCTCTGGTTTGTTAAGCTTTGCCATGCTGGGTGCTGTGGAATCCACTGGGAATAAGGCCCAGGGGAGGTTTATTCTACTCTGGCAAGTGGCTATCACAAAGCTGTCTTTGGGTTATAGAGGGGAGGAGTGCTGTTTCCTCCCAGCAGCCGGCCCCTAGGATGCAAGGCTGCCTTTTCCTTTCCTCCCAGCTCCATTGTCTTTTCTGTAAGCGGTGTCTGCTATAGAACCACAAACTTGGAGACTCTTCAAATGTGGCATCTATTTTCATCCTGGGGTTACAAGCCCTCAGATGTACTGAGTGACTGAGCGTAGGCCAGGGCATAGAACATGCTAGTTTTCTCCAGGCCTTCTCTTCCTTCTTTCCAGTCAGCTGGTACCTGCTGGTCCTGGGGGAACTCCCATCTTTTCTTTGAATTCTACCTCTAGGACCCAACTGAGTTTTTCTCTCATATCCCTTGATCTCCGAGGGTACAGCCTTTTCCGGCCTGGGCCCAGCCTTTTGGGTTCTTAAAACTTTTTTCAGTCACTGGACTTGAGCTGGGTGCCTCCTGGGTGGTCCTCAGAAAGTTTTTCCTCCCCCCTGTTTCTTCTCTGCCTTTCCTCTGACACAGGTTCTAGAAGTCATTTTTTGGTGCTTCTTGTGGGAATCTGTTGTGTGGCTTTTCTCTGAATCCTCATGTGTTCCCAGACACATGGCACTCAAGATGTTGGTGATAATAATAGTGCATCTTTACACAACACTTCCATGTGCCAGGGGCTGTTGTAAGTGCTGCCATATCCTGTATGCCATTTGTACATAAGTCAGTTTATAATAAGTATGGATATTTATTAACCCATTTCTCAGCTATTCCTCACAAACATATTCTATGAGGTTTTTTTTTTTGTTTTTTTTTTGTTTGTTTGTTTGTTTTTGAGATGGAGTCTTGCTCTGTCACCCAGGCTGGAGTGCAGTGGCACGATCTCGGCTCACTGCAACCTCTGCCTCCTGGGTTCAAGCAATTCTCTGCCTCAGCCTCCCTAGTAGCTGGGATTAGAGGCACCCACCACCACACCCAGCTAAATTTTGTATTTTCAGTAGAGACTGGGTTTCACCATGTTGGCCAGTCTGGTCTGGAACTCCTGACCTTGTGATCCACCCGCCTCAGCCTCCCAAAGTGCTGGAATTACAGGCATGAGACACTGTGCCTGGCCGAGGTTTTTTATTTTGCAGATAAAGCCCCTGAGGCACAGAGGTTAAGTATCTAGTCCAAAGTCATATAGCTGGTTGTATTGAGAGCCTGGTGGCTGAAATAACTCTGACCTCAGTCAGACTTTTCTTTTTTGTTGTTGTTTTTGTTTTTGTTTTGAGACAGAGTCTCGCTCTGTTGCCCAGGCTGGAGTGCAATGGCACGATCTCAGCTCACTGCAACCTCCACCTCCTAGGTTCAAGTGATTCTCCTACCTCAGCCTCCTAAGTAGCTGGGATTACAGGCTCCCACCACCATGCCCAGCTAATTTTTGTATTTTTAGTAGAGACAGGGTTTCGTCATGTTGTCCAGGCTGGTCTTGAACTCCTGACTTCAGGTGATCCACCCGCCTCAGCCTCCCAAAGTGCTGGGATTACAGGCGTGAGCCACTGTGCCCGGTTCAGACTTTTCATGCACACTGTGTGCACCACACACGTGTGTGTGCACATGTGTATCCACCTACCAGGGCAAGTGTGAGATTACACTGGGTTCCCTGTTGAGACATTGTCACGTACACAGTCTCAGGACTAGTAGAGCAGGCTGGTAGGCCCCTGACTGCCTGTGTGCGTGACATGCAGGGATGCACGGAGATGTGATGGTGTTGACACGAATCCCCCCGGGCAAGCCCAGAGCATCCTGGATCCCCCAGTGCCTTCTGGCCAGTGCTTTAGGATTGTCCACTAAGCCAAGAAGGTGGAAGGGAGGGAGCAAGGGTGCCCCAGCCCTGCCACAGCAGGAAGATCAGGTGTCACACACAGCCCCGGAAGCAGGAGTGGGTGGTGGTGAATGTGAGCTCTGCTAGGTGGGGCTGGGCCCTAACCTATCTGGGGAGCTCTGGTTGAATCAGCCCAACCACAGCCACCCCAACTGCGGCAATGGTGCAAACAAGCTTTTCCTCCAGCTGCCCTTCAATGCTCATTTTCCTTTCCTCGCTCTTGTATGAGACTCAGGCTTTGGGAGGAGTGTGCGATTAGGCCAGCAGCTGAGAGCGTAAGTCTGGAGGGGGTGGTTCAGCTGGGTCCTAGTGCAGGACCTCTCACCTTGGCCTTCAAGTGACACCTGAGACCTTCACCCAGCAATGGGTGGCAGCCCTGGCCTAGAGGGGATGCCACATACCCTGTCCAGAGGACAGGACTACATGGGTCGAGGACTCCTGGGCTCAGTCACCTAGTATATTCATCCAACATCTGTAAGTCTCAGAGGCCTTGGAACCATTCACTTGTCCATTCTTCATGTAGTGGAGCCACATTTGACACAGTGTTGGGTTCAAAGTCAGTGTAAAAACAAGACACACATCAAAGTTACTATTAAAGTCTCTATTTTAAAGAGACTGCTCATAAAACACAGGATACATGATTTGGACATTCTCTTCCATTTCTAAGATTCCTCAGCATGGCCAGTTTTTGTTGGAACACAGGCTCTGGTCTTTGGTTAAGCATTATGTTAAGCCTGGGTGAAGGGATCACATCATATAAATAGTACATAGGTTTCTGTGGTTGGTTGGTGTCTCTTCCAGTAGATATAACTGAATTTATGACCGTTAAATATGCACATTTAGGAATTCAGTATGCATACTTTTATGGTCTAGCTGGGCCTCAAGAAAGGTTTCAACTACAATGCTGTGGGAATCTGGAGGAAGGAGTGGTTGCTTTTGCATGGGTTAACCAGGAATTTCTTCTCAAAGGTGCCATTTGAGGAGATAAAAGAAGAATGGATTAGATGAGAAATTATTCCGGAGCAGTTTTAAATGGTGGTTGCTTTTGGGTCTTTTTACTCTTCTGAATGTTCTGAGTTTTTTACTGAAGGCCATATTATAGAAATAATTTTTATGTTATTTCTATGGCAATTATTAGGCTTATTTCTTATTCTTTTTCTATAGTATTACTGATTATTTCTTATTTCTAAAAGAACTAGTGGTTATTTCTATAATCACTATTATTTGTAGAACAATGATTATTTTTGATATGCCCTCTTCTTGCTTTTTTTTTTTTTTAGTTGAGATGGGGTCTCACTCTGTCACCCAGGCTAGAGTGTAGTGGCACAGTCTCAGCTCACTGCAGCTCCTGCCTCCTGGGCTCAAGCAGTTCTCCTGCCTCAACCTCCCAAGTAACTGGGACCACAGGCACAAGCCACCACGCCCAGTTAATTTTTTGTATTTTTGGTGGAGACAGGGTTTTGCCATGTTGCGCAGGCTGGTCTTGAACTCCTGGGCTCAAGCGATCTGCCCACCTTGGCCACCCAAAGTGCTGGTATTACAGATGTGAGCCACTGCACCCTGCCCTAATATAGTTAAAAAAAATCCAGCAGCACAATGGGGCCAAGAGGTAAAAATGTGAATAAGGGTAAAGAATACCAAGAACTAGATAACCAGGCTTGGAATTGGGCATTTTAGAGACTGACATATTAGGTCTGCTGCAGCAATTTTTAAGCCTTCTGATCTCAGGACCACTTTACATTCTGAAAAATTATTGAGGATCCCAAAGAACTTTTTTTTTTTTTTTTTTTTGAGACCGAGTCTCACTCTGTCGCCCAGGGTGGAGTGCAATGGCGCAATCTCGGCTCACTGCAACCTCCGCCTCCCGGGTTCAAGCGATTCTCGTGCCTCAGCCTCCTGAGTAGCTGGGATTACAGGCATGTGCGACCACACCCAGCTAATTTTTGTATTTTTATTAGAGACAGGGTTTCACCATTTTGGTCAGACTAGTCTTGAACTCCTGACCTCATGATCCGTCCGCCTCGGCCTCCCAAAGTGCTGTGATTACAGGCGCATGCCACTATGCCTGGCCAGAACTTTTGTTTTTTAGGCTATACCTAATAATCGGTGCACCCGACATGGCATTCCCTGGAATAAATAATATAAGCTTTTGACTTGTCCCTCCCTATACCTGTTGTTATTTTGTTTCTGATAAAAAATTTGATATGAGAAATTTTAAATATTAATTTATTTAAAGTAACAATAAGAAACTCATTGCATGTTAACATAAGCATTGTAATTTTTTTTTGGCCAGGCGCGGTGGCTCACGCCTGTAATCCCAGCACTTTGGGAGGCCGAGGCGGGCGGATCACAAGGTCGAGAGATTGAGACCATCCTGGCCAATATGTTGAAAACCGTCTCTACTAAAAATACAAAAATTAGCTGGGCATGGTCGTGCATGCCTGTAGTCCCAGCTACTTGGGAGGCTGAGGCAGGAGAATCGCTTGAACCAGGGAGTCAGAGGTTGCAGTGAGCCGAGATCGTGCCACTGCACTCCAGCCTGGTGGCAAAGCGAGACTCCGTCTTAAAAAAAAAAACAAAACGGCCGGGCACAGTGGCTCACGCCTGTAATCCCAACACTTTGGGAGGCCAAGGCGGGTGGATCACGAGGTCAGGAGATCGAGACCATCCTGGCTAACACAGTGAAACCCTGTCTCTACTGAAAAATACAGAAAAATTAGCCAGGTGTGGTGGCGGGCACCTTTAGTCCCAGCTACTCGGGAGGCTGAGGCAGGAGAATGGCGTGAACCCGAGAGGCGGAGCTTGCAGTGAGCTGAGATCACGCCACTGCATTCCAGCCTGGGTGACAGAGCAAGAGTCTGTCTCAAAAAAACAAAACAAAACAAAACAAAAAATCCATAAGCATTGTATTTTTTTAAATGAAAACTATTTTCCAAAACAAAAATAATGAGAAGTATAGCCTTGTTTTACATTTTTGCAAATCTCGTTAATGCCTGACTTCATAGAAGACAGCTGGATTTTCATCAGTTTCTGATTTAATCTGTTGCAATATGTTTTCATTGATGTATATGAAGAAAATTTGGCCTCAGGCAGGTATCTCATTAGAAAAGAGAGGACTGGCCAGGCACAGTGGCTCATGCCTGTAATCTCAGCACTTTGGGAGGCCAAGGCGGGCAGATAACTTGAGCCCAGGAGTTGGAGACCAGCCTAGACAACATGGCAAAATTTTGTCTCTACAAAAGACCCAAAACTTAGCCAGGCTTGGTGGTGTGCGCCTGTAGACCAGGAGGAGGCTGAGGTGGGAGGATTGCTTGAACCTGGGAGGTGGAGGCTGCAGTGAGTAGTGATTGTGCCACTGCACTCCAGCCTGGGTGACAGAGGGAGACCCTGTGTCAAAAAAAAAAAAAAAAAAAAAAAATATATATATATATATATATATATATAGTATATATGCACTCCAGCCTGGGCAACAAGAGCAAGGCTCCATATATATATTTTATATATATATATATATAAATAATAATTTTTAGGCCAGGCATGGTGGCTCACACCTGTAATCCCAGCACTTTGGGAGGCCGAGGCAGATGGATCACTTGAGGTCAGGAGTTCAGGACTAGCCTGGCCAACATGGTGAAACCACATGTCTACTGAAAATACAAGAATTAGCTGGGCATGATGGCACATGCCTATAATCCCAACTACTTGGGAGGTGGAGGCAGCAGAATCGCTTGAACCCGAGAGGCAGAGGTTGCGCAGCAAGCTAACATTGGGCCAATGCACTCCAGCCTGGGTGACAGAGCAAGACTCTGTCTCAAAAAAAACCCAAAATAATAATAATAATTTTTAGGCCGGGAGTGATGGCTCACACCTATAATCCCAGCACTTTGGGAGGCCGAGGTGGGGGGATCACAAAGTCAGGAGTTCAAAACCAGCCTGGCCAAAATGGTGAAACCCCGTCTCTACTAAAAATACAAAAATTAGCCAGGCGTTGTGGCGGGTGTCTGTAATCCCAGCTACTTGGGAGGCTGAGGCAGGAGAATTGCTTGAACCCTGGAGGTGGAGGTTGCAGTGAGCCGAGATCGCGCTACTGTACTCTGGCCTGGGAGACAGAGTGAGACTCCGGCTCAAAAAAAAAAAAAGAAAAGAAAAGAAACTAGCTGGGCACGGTGGCTAACACCTGTAATCCTAGCACTTTGGGAGGCTGAGGTGGGCGGATCACGAGGTCAGGAGATCGAGACCATCCTGGCTAACACAGTGAAACCCCGTCTCTACTGAAAATACAAAAAATTAGCCAGGCGTGGTAGTGGGCACCTGTAGTCCCAGCTACTCGGGAGGCTGAGGCAGGAGAATGGCGTGAACCCAGGAGGCAGAGCTTGCAGTGAGCCGAGATCGAGCCACTGCACTCCAGCCTGGGCGACAGTGTGAGACTCCGTCTCAAAAAAAGAAAAAAGAAAAAGAAAAGAAACTAGGGTGACGCCAGTAGAAATGGAAACAAGGGGGTGAGCTGGGAAACTATTTTGAAAGTAGAAGCAATGGAAATTAGTAATTATTTGGTAGGAAGATCTGAAGAGTCCTCTGCCCTTCCCCCGTGAGGCACCATGCATGCTTCCGCAAGGGAGTAGGTTGCCCTGCGCTGTAGTTTGCTGCTGGCATTCCTTCTCTCCTAATAGGCCCTGTGCTCCAGGAAGAGCATGAATGAGAAGAATCAGGGACTACCCTTGAACTTTCAGCCTGGATGACTGGCAGAATATTGGTTGCATTAACAAGTTTTAAACCAGGAGGAAAAGATGGCCATTACCATTTACCATCATTAACTGAAGAATAGGGAAAGGTGTCAGGCTATGAATGGGGGGAAATAATGGGTGGACCTTGAAATATAGCACTCTTGGCAAGGAAGTGTATTTTTCTAGGTACTAAAGATTTGAGGAGAAATATAAAAAACATCTAGGAAGGATTGCTCTGTTCTTTATTCTCAAGTAACTTAAGTTCAGTTAGGGCAATGTTTTTCAAAACTAGAAAAAAAATTTGTTTAAGAGACAGAGTCGGCCAGGCGCAATGGCTCAAGCCGGTAATTCCAGCACTTTGGGAGGCCGAGGCGGCCGGATCACTAGGTCAGGAGATTGAGACCATCCTGGCCAAGACGGTGAAACCCCATCTCTACTAAAATACACACACAGATAACCGGGCATGGTGGCACGAGCCTGTAGTCCCAGCTACTCGGGAGGCTGAGGCAGGGGAATTGCTTGAACCTGGGAGGCGGAGGTTGCAGTGAGCCGAGATCGCACCACTGCACTCCAGCCTGGCAACAGAGCAAGACTCCATCTCAAAAAAAAAAAAAAAAAAAAAAAAAAAAGAGTGACAGGGTTGGCCAGGCACGGTGGCTCACGCCTGTAATCCCATAATCCCAGCACTTTGGGAGGCCAGGGCGGGTGGATCACCTGAGGTGAGGAGTTCAAGACCAGCCTGGCCAACATGGCGAAACCCTGTCTCTACTAAAAATACAAAAATTAGCCGGGTGTGGTGGCGGGCACCTGTAATCCCAGCTACTAGGGAGGCTGAGACAGGAGAATTGCTTGAACCCAGGAAGCAGAGGTTGCAGTGAGCCGAGATCGCACCACTGCACTCCAGCCTGGGCAACAAGAGCGAGGCTCCATCTCAAAAAAAAAAAAAAAAAGACAGGGTCTTGCTCTGTAGTCCAGGCTGGGGTGCAGTGGTGCAATCGTAGCTCACCACAGCCTTGGGCTCAAACGATCCTCCCACCTTAGCCTCCCCAGTAACTAAGACTACCGGTGCATGCCACCATACTTGGATAACTTAAAAATTCTTTTGGTAGCAACAGCGTTTCTTCTATGTTGCCCAGGCTGGTCTCAAAATCCTGACCTCAAGTGATCCTCTAGCCTTGGCCTCCCAAAGTGCTGGGATTATAGGCATTAAAATTAAATTAAAAATGTTTTAATTTTTTTTTTTTTTGAGACGGAGTTTCGCTCTTGTTGCCCAGACTGGAGTGCAATGGCGCAATCTCAGCTCACCTCCAAACCTGCACCTCCCATTTTCAAGTGATTCTCCTGCCTCAGCCTCCCAAGTAGCTGGGATTACAGTATGCACCACCATGCCCAGCTAATTATTTTGTATTTTTAGTAGAGACGGGGTTTTTCCATGTTGGTCAGGCTGGTCTCGTCCTTCTGATCTCAGGTGATCTGCCCGCCTCAGCCTCCCAAAGTGCTGGGATTACAGGTGTTAGCCACTGCACCCAGCTGAAATGTTTTAATTTTAACTCATTTTATACACATGCATACAAACACACATCTATGTGTGCGTGTGTGTGTGTGTGTATGTGTGCATATATATACACATATATATATATTTTTTTTTTAGATGGAGTCTCGCTTTGTCACACAGGCTGGAGTGCAATGGTGTGATCTCAGCTCAATGCAACCTCTGCCTCCCGGGTTCAAGTGATTCTCCCGCCTTAGCCTTCCGAGTAGCTGGGATTACAGGTGTGCGCCATCACACTCGGCTAACTTTGTGTTTTTGTAGAGAGGAGGTTTCACCATGTTGGCCAGGCTGGTCTCGAACTCCTGACCTCAGGTGATCCACCTGCCTCGGCCTCCCAAAGTGCTGGAATTACAGGCGTGAGCCACCATGCCCGGCCAATATATTATAAAACAAGACTCACTGAACAATACTTACCCTGGCCACAGTTGATATACTTTTGATGTTTTAAAATTCTATTTTGCTGTTTCATTTTTAAAACGTGCTGGTCATGATTAGCTTCATGACTTCATGAACAGTAAAACGACTTGCCATTTAAAAAGCACTAAGTTGGGGAGGCATCACTCTCAAAGTTCTATTATCAGCAGAAGTGGACTGACTAATATAAGGCAAAGGGAATGTATTAGAAGAAGGTCAGAAACTCATAGACTCACTAGGAAAGCTGCAGAACCAGGCTTGGAAATGGACAAAGTGCCAG
Organism: Homo sapiens; assembly: GCF_000001405.40. Classification (NCBI taxonomy): domain Eukaryota; kingdom Metazoa; phylum Chordata; class Mammalia; order Primates; family Hominidae; genus Homo; species Homo sapiens. Next base: position 42,032,851 of record NC_000006.12, on the reverse strand, counting down.
GGGCTCGAAAGAGAGAACTACAGGAAGATGAGGGCAGCTGGCTGTTACCTCTGCCAGTCTGCACATCGTGGAAATGGGTAGGTTTCTGTGGTACAGGTCAGGCAGCCTGGCTCCTGGATTTACAATAGGGGAAACGGAACTCCCAGAGGGAAGTGGCTGTGCTGTCAGGGAGGGGGCTGGACACCCAACAGCCAGAGAAGAATAAAGTCTACCAAAGGTAACAGGACATGGGCACATTAAAAAGATACCTCACTGTGAGTGGTATACTTAACATGGCAGTCTAGGCGGGCGTGCCCGTGCCCGGCTTGTGGCCTTCTCATGTGCTAAATTCCATCTTCAGAAACCAATTGGCCATAGGTATTGAAATCAAATGCCTGCAAAAGATCCCAGGCCTCTGCCTTGGTAATTCCACTTTCCAGCCTCTGTCCTAATTAAATAATTCTAAGTGCAGAAAAAACCTTGTCAGCTGGGTGTGGTGGCTCACGTGTGTAACCCCTAGAAGTTTGGGAGGCCAAGGCAGGATAATCGCTTCAGGCCAGGAGTTCAAGGCCAGCCTGGACAACATAGCAAGGCCCCATCTGTACAAGAAATAAAAAAGAGTAGTCAGGTGTGGTGGCATGTGTCTGCAGTCCTAGCTACCCAGGAGGCTGAGGCAGAAGAATCGCTTGAGCCCAGGAGTTTGAGGCTTCAGTGAACTGTGATGGCACCACTGCATTGCAGCCTGTGTGACAGGGCAAGACCTCGTCTCTTAAAAAAGAGTCGGCCAGGTGCAGCGACTCACGCCTGTAATCCCAGCACTTTGGGAGGCCAAGGCAGGTGGATCACCTGAGGTCAGGAGTTTGAGACCAGCCTGACCAACATGGTGAAACCCCGTCTCTATTAAAAATACAAAAAATTAGACCGGTGTGATGATGCGTGCCTGTAATCCTAGCTACTTGGGAGGCTGGGGCAGGAGAATCGCTTGAACCCAGGAGGCGGAGGTTGCAGTGAGCTGAGATCGCGCCGTTGCACTCTGTCTCAAAAAAAAAAAAAAAAAAAGAGTCAGTTGCAAAATATATGTGGTAACATGAAAATTATATGGTAACGTTAAGAGAAAAATCAGGATGCAAAATTGTACATATATTTACAACTCTGTATTTTAGACACACACACACAAAGACTTGAAGGAAATATACCACAGTGTTAACAGTGGTTATTTCTTGGGGGAGCAGAACTAAAAGGGTTTTGTTTTTCTAGTGCTTTTTTCACTTTTTGAAATGTTCATGAAAAATCAAAAACATGTCATGAGTTGTGTTTCCATAAGTATTTGGAAAATTAGTCTTCTTACTTTAATAGCATCTCACAGGGGACAGTAGGTGCCGAGAGTAAAGTTGGCAGGAAGGAGTACAGTGTGAAGGCCCAGAGAAGTACCCTGTGAGGTCACAGCCGCCTCTGCCCCACGTTTCCAATAAGCCTGCACTATCTTCCAGCCCTGCAAGTCCTGGGCCACCAGTAAAGTTGTGAAGTATCCAGGTGACTCTGGGGTGACCGGCTCCCGTTGTCATGGCAGTTAGGGGTGGGTGAAGTCAGGTGAGGGGCAGATGACTCAGCTTCAAGCCCCAATAACCTACGGATGGGCACAGAGTGGGTCTGAAGTGGAGCACACATTTCTTTTTGAGGCCTGCTTTTCCCCCTTGTCCCTTTTAGCAGGATGTAGCGGGGAACTAAGGTGGCCAGAGCAGGAAGTCTCCCATAGAGTCTGCCTCCCCAGCTCAGCAACAGAGGAGGAGGTGGAGTCTGGATTGAGCCCCAAGATAAGGAACATGCAGCAGCTGAAGAGGGAGATCAGAATAAACAGCTGTGCCCCCAGGAGAATGAGCTCCACATTCCACTCTTTGACCCCACCCCCAATTCCCACTTCTCCCAAGTGCCTTCCTGCACCCCACCCCCATCCACGCACACTCAGTGTTCCCACCCGCTCCAGGGGCCTCCCCTCCAGCCTTGGCTCAGCTCCCTTAGAGCTGCCTTCCTTCCCCCAGTCCCCTGAGCCAGAGGCTCTGGGGCCGCTCTCCAGCTGTCTGGAAGGAGTGAGTACTCAGGACAGGTGGCCGGAGGCAGATGGAAAGGGGCCTCTTCCAGGCTGGACTCCACCTGCCGGGCTGGGCCACCCTCAGACTCTCCCCTGGGCCGCTCCAGGAAGGCCTGGGAACACAAGAGGGCCAGGCTGTGGTGGTGAGTCTGGGGAAGGCGAGGCAGGACCTGGGGCATGGAGAGGAGACAGTGGAGTGGTCCTGGAGGCCGGGTCTGTGCACATCTGGTCAGCCTCACTGTGGGTGGGCCTTGCCCTCCAGGAGCCCACAGTCCAGTAGGGGAGACAGACAGCAGGTACCAGATGTGCCTCCTGAGGTGGTCTCTGCACAGCTCTGGGAGGTCATGCCTCATCATAGCCTCATCATAGTATCTAGGGGTATCCCCAGCTCCACAGAACAACCAGAAGGCTCCATATTTCCTGAGGGTTCAAGTCACTGCCCCAAACACCCCATATTACTTTCTAGACATACTACCCTGGGATTTAAAATTTAAGAGAAGGAGCAGATATTTCTGTCTCCTGGAGCTGGACCAATCCCTCAGGCCACCACAAGTATAATGAGCACCCCTTCTTCTGTGCTACCCCCATACCAGCTCCAACCTGAGCGGCAAGACCCAGATGGACATGGGCACCTAGGGGCTTTGGGGCAGCACTGGTTTACCACGTGTCCCTCCATATCCTGAAGATGTAGGCCTCCGTGGACACACCTGTATTCCTGAGCTGTGCATGGCCTCTGTCCTGGTTGCACAGAGGATTGGACCCACAGGGCAGATGGGTGAGTGTTTGCCTCAGGTACATTGGACATCTTTGCCCTTGGTGGGAGAATGGTTGAAATAGGGAGGCATGGTGCATTCCAGAGGCTGCCCATTGTCCTGGCTGTCTGCAGGGAGGGCACCCCCATCCATCCCCAGTGCCCAGTGAGAGGAATTTTTTTTTTTTTTTTTTTGAGACAGAGTTTCACTCTTGTCGCCCAGGCTGGAGTGCAATGTTGTGATCTTGACTCACTGCAACCTCCACCTCCGAGGTTCAAGTGATTCTCTTGCCTCAGCCTCCCAAGTAGCTGGGATTACAGGCATGCACCATCATGCCTGGCTAATTTTGTATTTTCAGTACAGATGGGGTTTCACCAAGTTGGTCAGGCTGGTCTCAAACTCCTGACCTCAGGTGATCTGCTCATCTCGGCCTCCCAAAGTGCTGGGATTACAGGCATGAACCACTGTGCCCGGCCCCAGTGAGAGTATGTGTGGGGGTCTCACTGCCCTCTTAGTCTCTAATTGCTGGCAACCTGGCATGGTGCCACATCACTGTATTTAAATCCCTCCTTTGAGGCTCCCAAGGCCGTCTAATGTCCCACATCTTTAACAAACTACTGGACAGGTGTCCCCTTCTATAGCCACTGCCAGCCAGCAGACTCAATAAATATATGTTAATAATAGCCAGGACTAGCTACATAGTTTGCAGAGCCCTTGTTCAAAAACTATTAAGAATTTCAAGGCTGCGTGCAGTGGCTCATGCCTGTAATCCCAACACTTTAGGAGGCAAAGGCGGGAGGATCTCTTCAGGCCAGGAACTCGAGACCAGCCTGGGCAACATAGTGAGACCCTGTCTCTAAAAAATAATAAAAAAAAAAAAAATTAAAAAATAAAATAGCTGGTGGTGCCTGCTTGTATTCCTAGCTACTCAGCAGGCTGAGGTGAGACAATCACTTGAACTCAGGAGTTCGAGGCTGCAGTGAGCTATGATCATGCCACTGCAATCCTACAGTCTTGGCAACAGAGTGAGACCCTGTCTCTTAGGAAAAAAAAAAAAAAACCGTTTCAAGGTGGTGGTGACAGAGCATTAACCAAGTTTGGGACCCGTCCTGAGCATGGGACCCTGTGTGGCTGCACAGGTCACAAACCTATTTGGCCTTGAAAATAGCGAACACGAACGTGTATTGAACACTTGCTGTGTGCCAGACATTGTGCTGGGCTGGGTGCTTACCACGCATAATCTCATTCCTTCTTCTCAACAGCCCTGTTATCCCTACTGTGCAGATAAGGAAACTGAAGCTTTAGCTGAGTCATCTCCCTTGCTGAGGTCATCCCGCTCCTAAGTGCTAGAGCTGGGAACGGAACCCAGCTCATCTGTCTTTGGAGCCTGAGCTCTTTACCCATGCCTGTGGACAGCTTCAGCCTTCAGTGGCAGGGAGGCTGCTGGCGGAGGGCAGCTGCTTCCCTTGCCACCTTCTGCCATATCATGAGCAGGAAGGAAGATGAGGCAAGAAATAGCAGCCGACAGTGTGGCAACGGTGACCGTGGTGGTAAGGGTGTCCAACCCGGCAGAGGCGATGGGCAGACAAAAATGAGATGGGCACAGGAATTGTCTGAGCTGGAGGCAGCTGATAGATAGCACAGCTGTGCTCTCCACACCTCGCCCAGCATGGCCATCGCCGAACCCACTCCTCTCTCTCCCCTGATGTCACCTCCAGCTCTGCCTCTCTCTTCCTCTTTATGGCCACAGTTTCCTCTCCCCAGCTCTCTCTTCCACTCCTTCCCTGGCCACCCTCCACCAGGGAGGTCATCAGGTCTCCTCTCCAGCTGTGTCCTCCGTATTCCCATGCTTAGCATCATAGTAAGAGCAGCCACGATTTAGTGAGCACCTACCACATGCTAGGCACAGTGCTAGGGACTTTACAAGTTTGTAATCTTCTCTCCACAAACCTGTAAGCAATTTTTACCCCCATTTCATAACGGGCGGCCGGGCGTGGTGTCTCACGCCTGTAATCCCAGCACTTTGGGAGGCCAAGGTGGGCGGATCACCTGAGGTCGGGAGTTTGAGACCAGCCTGACCAACGTGGAAAAACCCCGTCTCTACTAAAAGTACAAAATTAGCCGGGTGTGGTGGCAGGAGCCTGTAATCCCAGCTACTTGGGAGGCTGAGGCAGGAGAATTGCTTGAACCCAGGAGGCGGAGGTTGCCGTGAGCTGAGATTGAGCCATTGCCCTCCAGCCTGGACAACAAGAGCAAAACTCTTGTCTCAAAAACAAACAAACAAACAAACAAAAAAAACTGAGGCTTAGAGAGGCTAAGAGATCTGTCCAGGGTTACACAGCTGGTGAGCAGTGAGGAGGAGATTTGGGCTCTGGTGTTAAGCCCACACACTTTCTGCCCTCCTTACCACCTTCCCCATGGGTTGGGTTGGCCTGAGTACAGTGGTTTCCTGAGCAGGGAAGGAGATACGCAATTGAGAAATGGTCAGTTCGAGGGAGGAATAAATTGGGTATGGTGAGAGAGACATTCACCTCCAACCTCATTTGGCATTAGGTGGGGGTGGAGTCGGGTGTCTTTTTTTTTTTTTTTTTTGAGATGGAGCCTCGCTCTCTCACTCAGGCTGGAGTGCAGTGGCGCGATCTCGGCTCGCTGCAAGCTCTGCCTCCCGCGTTCACGCCATTCTCCTGCCTCAGCCTACCGAGTAGCTGGGACTATAGGCGCCTGCCACCAAGCCTGCCTAATTTTTTTGTATTTTTAGTAGAGATGGGGTTTCACCGTGTTAGCCAGGATGGTCTCGATCCCCTGACCTCGTGATCTGCCCGTCTCGGCCTCCCAAAGTGCTGGGATTACAGGCATGAGCCACCGCGCCCGGCCTAGTGGTGTCTTAACCACCTGGAAGGCACTCAGACACTTGGGAAGCTGACCTGATGGAGGTGAAGGGCTGGAGACATGGATGAGGACAAGGCCCCTTTTTCACGCCTTTACCCATCAGCATCTTGGCACCAAAGAATGGGCTGGGATAGGAACTAGGGGAGGTTAGGCTGCTGTAACACAGACTCCAACAAGAGTGGCTTAGCAAAATGGAAATTTCTCCCATACAGATCCGGGTGGGTGATCTGACCCCTTGGTGGTGTTGAGGGCCCAAGCCCCTCCTGTGCCCTTGCGTGTGGGAGATGGCATCCCACCATGGCTGCTGGGTCCGTCAGCCAGCCAGTGGGGAGGGAGGAAAGTGACGAGAAAGAAAAGGCACTGCCCTTCCTTTTCAGAGCATGACCTCAAAGTTGCCAGATGACATCCCTTTGGTCACCAGCTGATCACATGCCACACTTAGCTGACAGGGAGTTTGGGGAACATACATAGTGGAGCTTCTAGTACCAAAGGTACAAGAAGGGAAAGTGGATTTTAGGGGACAGTTGGCAATCTTTGCCATGAGATCTAGATGAGAAGGGTATGGGGAGCCTGTGTCATGTGGGTGAGGATGGCTTTCCTATGGGGACCTGCTGGGAGAAAAATGTTCCCAGCTGGACTTCTTTTTGTGAGGGGCCTAGAGCAGAGGGACCAGAACCCCCTTGGCTAATGCCCTCACGCTGGACTCCCTCCCCTCTGGTCAAAGGTGGAGGGTCTGATTCTCCTTCGCCTTGACCAGAGGCCCCTTGGAGGTCATCATGGAGCCCTTCTTCCAGGAGCACCCTGTAGGATCAGGGTGAGGTTCATTGAGGAGCACCATATTTTCCCCTTGGCAGGGGGGCGGCGGGGGGAGAGGGTCTGTGCTGTTCTCTGATGAGGTAGAGGAGGGTCATGTCTCCATCCCTTAGAGAGGTCGTTGAGAAGGTCAAATGTAATGTGAGCAGGGTCGAGGCAGGGAGGTCAAGGTTTGTCAAAAATAGGGGAAAAAGAGGTTTATTTTCAAACGAGACCTAACAATTGACAGATAGCTTATCCCTTTGATCACCAGTTGGTCACAGGTCACATTTAGCTGACAGGGAGTTTGGGGAACATACGTAGTAGAGCTCTTCTCTGGAGGTGGGAATCTCCATGTGGCTAGAGGCTGACAGGCAGCCTTGTGGGTCCAGTGCTGACTCATTCATTCACTCACTCATTAATTCACTCATCCGCTCAGTGTCTGTTTATTAAGTGCTTACCATGGATACACCGGGTACCATGTTCCGTGTGTGTGAAAAAGGAAAGAACAAGATGGGCACAGTCCCTTACCTCTGTAGCTTATAAGCCTTGTTTTCCCTGGTTCCCTTTCTGCCTCCCTGGGGAGGAGAGACCAGGCCATCACAGCTCTGAGAGAGCCACCCTTGTGACTCAGAGCCCAAAAGGCCCTAAGGGAGCCCATGAATGCATCTGATAGGCCCTCACCTCTGAGCCCGCCATCGTGGGGCGGCCGGGGTGCAGGATGGGCCAGAGTGCCGGAGGGGAGGGCAGTGGAGCATTGGAGGTGCGGTTTCACTTCCCTCTCACACCAGGCGTGGAATCTGATTTTTCTCAGTTTGGTGAGGTGTGTGACTTCTTCTGTGAGCTGAGGGGAGATGTCTTCACTCACCCCTCCTCCAACTCTAGCTGTCCCTCCAGTGTTCCAGGTTGGATGGGATCTCTCCTTCCCATTCTTCCCATTACCCGTGGCCCTAGTTCACCAACTGCACCTCTTTGCTCCAGGAAAGAAGGTGGCGTGGCAATTGGAAATCTCTGTGGAGACACTTCCTCTGTGAGGCCTTGGTCTCTCAGACTTCTCCCTGGGGCTTGGCTTCCTGGGCCCCTCTTGGCCTTGCTGGAAGAGAGGTCCCCCTGCCCTGGCCTGCTCGGAGAGCTGTCAGGCTCCCTGTTTCCTCTCACAGTTAGATCCCAGACCTTCTGTCTGCCTGCGTGCATGGGTCACTCTCACTTTATTCCCCAAGGCATGGCCTCATGCAGGCCCTGCTTTCCTCCCTGGATTTCTTTTTTATTTTATTTTATTTGACTTTATTTTTTGAGATGGAGTCTCACTTTGTCACCCAAGCTGGAGTGCAGTGGCATGATCTCGTCTCACTGCAACCTCCACCTCCTGGGTTCGAGCGATTCTCCTGCCTCAGCCTCCCACGTAGCTAGGATTACAGGTGTGCACCACCACACTGGGCTAATTTTGTATTTTTAGGAGAGACGGGGTTTCTCTCTATTAGTCAGGCTGGTCTCGAACTCCTGACCTCAGGTGATCTGCCCTCCTCAGCCTCCCAAAGTGCTGGGATTACAGGCATGAGCCACTGCGCCCGGCCCCTTAATTTTGTATTTTTAGTAGAGACAGGGTTTCACCATGTTGGCCAGGCTGGTGTCAAACTCCTACCCTCAGGTGATTCACCTGTCTCAGCCTCCCAAAATGGTGGAATTACAAGCGTGAGCCACCATGCCTGCCCTGCTTGCCTGGACTTCTGAGTGGCCCCAGCCTCGCAATGTCACTTCATGCTTTCCTGCTACTGAACAGTGCCAGTGGCATGGCTAAGGAGAGGGACCCTCCTCATCACTGAGGGTGGACTGAGATCCTCACAAGATGCAGGTTCTCCTTCCATGTCACTGGAGGCGCATAAACCCCTCTGCCTCTTCCACACACCAGCTGTGTTATCAGGGTGAATTATTATTATTTTTTTTTTTTGAGACTGAGTCTTGCTCTGTCACCCAGGCTGCAATGCAGTGGCGTGATCTCCGCTCACTACAAGCTCCGCCTCCTGGGTTCATGCCATTCTCCTGCCTTAGCCTCCCAAGTAGCTGAGACTACAGGTGCCCGCCAACATGCCTGGCTAATTTTTTGTATATTTAGTAGGGACGGGATTTCACCATGTTAGCCAGGATGGTCTCCATCTCCTGACCTCGTGATCCACCTGCCTCGGCCTCCCAAAGTGCTGGGATTACAGGTGTGAGCCACCGCACCCAGCCATGGGGTGCATTCTTAACCTCTCTGTGCCTCAGTGCCCTTATCTGTAAGTTGGAGATAATAATAGTATCCACCTTACAGGGCTATTAGGAGGATTACATGAGTTGTTAGGAGGCTTTATGCACGTACAGCACTCAGAACAGTGCCTGGCCCTAATAAGTGTATGTATTAGGCTGTTATTGTGACACAGGTGTTTGCCTGATGTAAACACTGGCAAAACTTTTAGGCCCCAATGCTAGTATATCAACCTAGGGATATCTAAGCCAAATAAAATAATAAAACCTTCAGAGTCAGTCTTAACGTACAGATTCCCCCATTGTACAGTTAAGATGGTCAGTGACAGGGTCAGGACCCTGCTTGCATCCTGTATTTTTTGCTTTTAGTGTTGGATTTTGTACTTAGTGTTTAATAGATGATAGATGGCGGATGGATGAGTAGATACAGACTGGCATTCACAGGTACCCAAAGGATACGGCTACCCTAGTTATTATAATATTTAAATACTACCAGTTCTCGCTATTCTCACCAGTTATATTCTGTACAGTCACCACGAACACCAAACTGGTGAACACTGGCCCATTGCTCCTAGGGGAAATACAGGGTTAGGTTTCTGTGAGCCACTGGTCACAAGACTTTCATCAACTAATCAATACATAACTTTGTTTTCTGTGTGTTTCTGTTTGAAGACACCTTATTGAATATATAGTTAACTCATTAACATTGAACTCATGCCCCACAGCACGATACTTCATGCCCAAACAAACCTGATCTAATGTATTTTCTCTGTAAGGCGCATACAGTCATCTTGTACTTAGAAACATTCGCCAGCACGTCAGCCCTAGGCTCGGGGGCCATTTCAAACAGCGAAATCAACAAAAAACCCAGCAATGCAGAAAAGGTGGCACTAAGTAGACTGTGACAAGGACACTTGTTTACATTACGAGAGCTGAAACAGGCAGAGCACTGCCCTGTCCCACCTCAGCCAGGAACATGCATGTTGGGTGACTCAAATTTTTCATGGCTTTGCGCATGTCTGTGAAAGATGACAAAGCACCTCAAGTATTGATTTCGGGGTCACAAATTTTAGCAAGGAGGCAAATTCACAAATACAGACTCCATGAATAATGGGGATTGGCTGTACCCGTACATGGTCCCCCTCTTAGTCCTATCCCCACAAGATGCAGCCATCTGCATATCTACTGCCTGGCCCAGCATGGGGCCTCCAGCACCCCGAGCCAGCTCTTAGGCCAGCGCCATCCCACTTGTTGACTCTCCCATCTCTCTCCTGGTGGTATAAATGTTGCTGCCCTGGCTGCACTGGCGGAGGGGTGAGGAAGCCCTGCCCTGCCACCTTTCCCCTTACGCTACTTCCCCACTGCACATGGGGCCTCCCTTGCGAGCCAGACCCACGCATGTGTAAAGGAAGGCGGGATGACACACAAGCAGAGGCCACCTGTGACTGCTCCAGGCCAAGTGCTGCATCAACACCTGGGGAAGACCCCCTGGCGGTTGGGGGGAGCCTGTTTTGACCTGATCTTTATTTACCCCTCAAAGGAAGTAAATAAATAGCTCTTTGTTTCTCTTTGTGGATGTGCCTGTACCACACTGGATGTGCCCGCTGCACACCGTTAAAAACCATGACCCAGCCCCAGAGGAAGTGGTAATACAACGATTGTTTGTTTTATTTTCCATTTATTCTTACATCTCCTCCCCGCCTCCATCCTCCACCCTTTTTGTGTGTGCTGAGAGGTTTTCTTTACCAACCTGGGATCCAATCATTTGTTCATTCATTTCTTCATTCACTCATTCCAGTGTGTACTGAACCATCATAGTGCTAGATACTGGTAAATATGAAAGACATTATAGGAGAAAGTGAGGGTGCTTTGGCCTGTGGATTCAGGCCAACTTGGATTCGGATCCTTGGAACTGTTTCCTGGCAAGATGATCGTGGATCTCTCCCAGCAGAATCATGGGCAAACTTCAGCCTTGTGGAACTCAATCTGAAAATTGAGATCATACTGTCTCATCTCACACGACTGTTTCAAGGATTAAAGACAGAGCAGTGATTTCCCCATGGTCAGCACTTAATATGTGATGCTTGCTTCCTTTAAGCTAGCAAGGTGGTAACAAAGCTTGGAATTTCTTCTCCGTCTCTCTTCCCTGTGGCTGCCAGCCTCCTTCAGCCCTTTATGGGCACCCACCTGGATTACTGTACATTTCTAAAGCTCAGAGACTGTTAGAGGCTTCCCAAGGCCTGCAAAATCAAATTCACCTTCTGTTGGTGTTCTGTTCTCCTAGGATCTGGGCTCAACTCACCTTTCCAGGCCTTTACCCACAGTGAATCTTTATAACCCTCTCCCTGCTAGCTAGATCTAATAGATCCTGGGGTGTTCCTGCTTCCATTGCTTTGTGCACACTGTCCCCCTTCCTGGAATGCCCTTTATCCTCCTCTCTCCATCCAAACTTGACCAGTCTTCAAAGCCCAGTTTAAATCCACCCAGTTCCTCCTCCCACATACCCTGCCTCCTGGGTGGTGTTTCCTAGTGTGTATTATGTGTGGATAACAACACCTATTATTGTCCTTACTAGACTAGGAGCTCTTTGAGGACAGGCTCTGTGTCTCATTGGTTTCCACCCTTCTCTCATTCATTCAGCACATGTGAAGGATGACTGCTCTGTGCCTTTGGGCCCGTCCGTGTTTCTCCAGCAGTGCCCATCACTCTGTAGGATATTCTCTTAGGAAAAGTTGGTCCAACAAATGAGTGAGGGGAAACAGAACAGAAGGTGGCAAATACTAGTCCCCCTTATTCACAGATCCCTAGTGGATGCCTGGAACAGCGGATAGTACCAGACTCTCTGTATATTATGTTTCTTCCTATACATACATACCAATGATAAAGTTTAATGTATAAATTACGTACAGTAAGAGATTAACCACAATGACTAATAATAAAACAGAACAGTTATATATTGTAATAAAAGTTGTGTGAATGTGGTCTGTTTCTCTCTCTCTCTCAAAATATCTTTTTGTACTGCACGATGGGTAACTAAAACCAAAGATAGTGAAACTGAGGCTGGGCACGGTGGCTCACGCCTATAATCCCAGCACTTTGGGAAGCCGAGGCACGCGGATCACCTGAGGTCAAGAGTTTGAGGCCAGCCTGGCCAACATGGAGAAACCCTGTCTCTACTAAAAACACAAAAATTAGCCGGGCATGGTGGCACGTGCCTGTAATCCCAGCTACTCGGGAGGCTGAGTCGGGAGAATTACTTGAACCCAGAAGGCAGAGGTTGCGGTGAGCTGAGATCATGCCATTGCGCTCCAGCCTGGGCAATAAGAGCGAAACTCCGTCTCAATAAATAAATAAATAAAGTGAAACTGGATAAAGGGGGTGACTGCTCATGAAGTCTTGGAGTGCAGGCTCTCTGTGCTGTGGGAATTCTGAGAGAAGGGGAGTAGGGGAGGCTACGGGTGAGGGGAAGGCTTCCCGGAGAGCCGAGTGGTCTTTAGAGGTTAACTGGTAGAGTTTGGAGGGCTGGGATGCAAGGCAAGGGCAGGGTGGGAGCCATGACCATCCTGGCAAGGCCAGGGATTCTTGCTTCAGCCCCTCACCATCATCCCAAGTGTCTAGATCTGGGGAGGGCATGTGGATGAAGGCTGGAACCATACAGAGTCCTTCCGGGGACCTGATCAACACAGTGGAGCAAGGGAGGACAGAGAGAGAGCCAAGAACCTTCTGCATGTTGGGTCAGTTGCAGGCGCCAAGAAGGGCTAGGGAAACGTGCATTCATTTATTAAGACTTTGTTCTTAAGGTTTTTCTTTTTTCTTTTCTTTTTTTTTGAGACAGAGTCTCGCTCTGCCGCCCAGGCTGGAGTGCAGTGGCACGATCTCTGCTCACTGCAAGCTCCACCTCCTCCTGGGTTCGTGCCATTCTCCTGCCTCAGCCTCCTGAGTAGCTGGGACTACGGGCGCCGGCCACCATGCTCGGCTAATTTTTTTGCATTTTTAGTAGAGACGGGATTTCACCTTGTTAGCCAGGATGGTCTCGATCTCCTGACCTTGTGATCCGCCCGCCTCGGCCTCCCAAAGTGCTGGGATTACAGGCGTGAGCCACCGCTCCCGGCAAGGTTTTTAAAAAAATTATAAGATGATTATTTTTAGGAATTTGGACAATATGGAAAATAGGAAAAAGTTAGAAAAATCACCCATAGTTCTTATCACCCAAAGACAGCCCTGGTTTACATTTTGTGATTTCCTTCTAGTCTTACATCTTTATTAATTTAAAAATTGTTAATTTTTAGATTTAACTTTTAAACTAAATAGTAAAAATTGTAATTATAAATATAAAACAAACTTCCTTATTGTAAAAACACATTACAAATAGGAAGAAAATAAAAGTTTAAATTCCGCCCCAATCATTAAGTCCTATCCCTCAGGGAAAATCAGTGTTAAGGGTTACTAGATGTCCTTCTGAACCTTTTTTTCTGTGCCTACAAACTCACTGATAGTTTCATTCTTTTAAAATAGGATCATAGAATACTGTTCACATGCAATCATTTCTCCTTTTACAAAGTTAGGACCATTTTGCATGCCTGGTGTTATATTTCCTTTCCTTTTTTTTTTTTTTTTTTTTGAGACAGAGTCTCGCTCTGTCACCCAGGCTGGAGTGCAGTGGTGCGATCTCAGCTCACTGCAACCTCCATCTCCCGGGTTCAAGCAATTCTCCTGCCTCAGCCTCCCAAGTAGCTGGGACTACAGGTGCACACCACCACACCCGGCTAATTTTTTGTATTTTTAGTAGAGACAGGGTTTCACCTTGTTGGTCAGGCTGGTCTCGAACTCCTCACCTCAAGTGATCTGCCTGCCTTGGCCTCCCAAAGTGCTGGGATTACAGGTGGGAGCCACCGCTCCAGGCCTACATTTCCTTTTTGTTTTACATTTTTTATGCTATGTGAATTTACTTAAGTATCTGACATTATACAAACTGAATCCATACCATTGATGATATACTTATTTATAGATTGCAATTTTATAACAACTGATAGAAAATATGGAGTAGTTTGCCCCAAAACACAAGAATATCTAATTTGTGTATTTTAGAACATGACTGAAATGTTCCATTGATTAATCAAAATGAGTTGAAAACCTTAACATTTAATATTTAGTTACAGTATTTAAAAAGTAGTGGGAGATATCTTTTTCTTTTTCTTCTTTTTTTTTTTTTTTTTTTAACATGGAGTTTCGCTCTTGCTGCCCAGGCTGGAGTACAATGGCACGATCTCGGCTCACCACAACCTCTGCCTCCTGGGTTCAAGTGATTCTCCTGCCTCAGCCTCCTGAGTAGCTGGGATTACAGGCATGTGCCACCATACCTGGTTAATTTTGTATTTTTAGTAGAGATGGGGTTTCTCCATGTTGGTCAGGCTGGTCTCGAACTCCCGACCTCAGGTGATCTGCCTGCCTCAGCCTCCCAAAGTGCTGGGATTACAGGAGTGAGCCACCAGGCCCGACTGGAGATAGCTTTTTCAATTTTGTGTCAGGTATATAAAACTAAAGGAAAAGGCATTTTTCTGAGATCTCTCAAGTTAAATAAAAATGGCCTCTCAGGTGCTCACTTTCGCAGCACATATACTAAAATTGGAACGATACAGAGAAGATTAGCATGGCCCCTGCGCAGGGATGACATGCAAATTCGTGAAGCGTTCCGTATTTTTTCCTGGCTAACACGGTGAAATCCCGTCTCCACTAAAAATACAAAAAAATTAGCCGGGCATGGTGGCAGGCGCCTGTAGTCCCAGCTACTGGGGAGGCCGAGGCAGGAGAATGGTGTGAACCCGGGAGGCGGAGCTTGCAGTGAGCCGAGATTGTGCCACTGCACTCCAGCCTGGGTGACAGAGCAAGACTCTGTCTCAAACAAACAAACAAATAAAGGCTTCTCAGGTGGACGTTTTACTTTTATTTATTATTTATTTAGAGACGGAGTCTCATTCTATCACCCAGGCTGGAGTGCAGTGGTGCGATCTCGGCTCACTGCAACCTCCACCTCCCAGGTTCAAGGGATTCTCCTGCCTCAGCCTCCTGAGTAGCTGGGACTACAGGCATGTGCCACCATGCCCGGCTAATTTTTGTATTTTTAGTAGAGATGGGGTTTCACCAGGGTGGCCAGGATGGTGTTGATCTCCTGACCTCGTGATCCGCCTGCCTCGGCCTCCCAAAGTGCCGGGATTACAGGCGTGAGCCACCACACCCGGCCACATTTTGTTGCTAAAATATAAAATGTTAATTATTATTTTGGAAAAAGTTAAAATTTCCAGCCTTTGCCTTCTACCTACACAACCTTTTAATAAACTGTTTTTTGTATGTCAATATATAGATTTCTTAAATGCCTATGTCACATTCCACCCATATTTTACTCAGGTCATCACACTATTTCCATAGACACTTCTGTTTTGGGCTAGGTCCATGAGACACAATGCCTGCCTTCTGAAGCTCACAGGCTGATTGGGACCCCACAACCTGACCAGTTTCCACTTAGTGCAATACATGGCAGTAGTGGATCTTGTGCTGGATGCAATGGAAGCTTGCAGGGTGTGGGGTGGCTGGGGATGCAGTCAAGGAAGCCTTTGTGGAGACAAGACATTTTTGCAGTGGATCTTGAAGGACAAGCAAGAAGTCCCAGATGCAGAGGCCAGAGGACTGAGTGGAGAACTGCCAGCAGCAATGTGACTCATTATCAGCCAGCTCCCCTGGTTCTGTGGTTTGTTTCTGCTTTTCCTTTAGAGATGACAGATTCTGTGAACAAGAGCTCCAGCTGTTTATCAGGGGCCCTCCCAGGCCCCAAGTGCCAGGGGCTCCCACTCCCTGCTGGAGAGGCTGTGGGCCCCTGATTAGGGAGACAGCTGAGGCAGGGGACCATGGGCACTGCAGGCGGGAGTACTGGCAGGGCACAGTGAGGGACAGAGGTGGAGACCTGCAGGATGCTGTGTGGGGGAGGGCCAGGGCAAGGGACAGAAACAGACCTTGTCCCTCTGTACTTCCAGGACGTGCCCCTGCCCTCCTCTGCCGGGTGAGATGCTGCTGTATCAAGGCCCCTTCAGACGTCACTCCTCTGTGACTCCACTCATTTATCTAACGTTTCCCCATGGCATCATTCAGAATTAATTTTTCTCCTTTGCCCACTTAGCAGGTCATTATGTTGTAGTTGAGAGTGTGAACTTTGGAATCAAGAATAGTAATAGACTGGTTGTGGTGGCTCACACCTGTAATCCCAGCACTTTGGAAGGCCATGGTGGTTGGATAACTTGAGGTCAGGAGTTCAAGACCAGCCTAGCCAACATGGTAAAACCCTGTCTCTACTAAAAATACAAAAATTAGCCGGGCATGATGGCGGGTGCCTGTAATCCCAGCTACTCGGGAGGCTGAGGTGGGAGATTGCTTGAACCTGGGAGCTGGAGGTTGCAGTGAGCCGAGATGGCGCCAGTGCACTCCAGCCTGGGCAATAACTCCGTCTCAAAAAAAAAAAAAAAAAGTAATAGATAGTAATAGCAGCTAACATTTATCAAGCATTTACCATATGCTAGGCACCGTGTTGAGTGTTGTGAGTCTACTTTCTCACTAATACTTCCCAACTGTCAGTGAGGTAGGAGCTATTATTATCCCATGTTGTAGAGGAGGAAACTGAAGGACAGAGATATTAGTAAACTTGAATTATCACAGCAGAGATTCAAACCCCTGTCTGAATCTCAATTTCCTCATTTATAACACAAAGATGAAAATAATATCTTTTTATGTTGGCCAAAAGATACAAAAATTCAGCTAGATGGGAAGAATAAGTTCAAGAGACGTATCGTACAACATGGTGACTATGGTTAGTAAAAAACATACTGTGGCTGGGCGCAGTGGCTCACGCCTGTAATCCTGGCACTTTGGGAGGCCGAGGCCGGTGGATCACCTGAGGTCAGGAGTTCAAGACCAGCCAGGTCAACATGGTGAAACCTCTTCTCTACTAAAATACAAAAATTGGCTGGGGGTGGTGGCACACAGCTGTAATCCCAGCTACTCAGGAGGCTGAGGCAGAATTTCTTGAACCTGGGAGGCAGAGGCTGCAGTGAGCTGATATCACGCCACTGCACTCCAGCCTGGGCAACAGAGTGAGACTCCATCTCAAAAAATAAATAAATAAATAAAAAATAAATAAAATAAAAACGTATTGTATACGTGAAAACTGCTAAGAGAGCAGTGTTTATGTTCTCACCACGCACACAAAAAAATGTGAGGCAATGCATATGTTAATTAGCTTGATTTAGCCATTCCACAATATATATATATTTCAAAATATCACATTGTACACAATAAATATGTACAATTTTTATTTGTCAATTTAAAAAGACATAACTTTTTTTTTTATTTTTTGAGATGGAGTCTTGCTTTGTTGCCCAGGCCGGAGTGCAGTGGCGTGATCTCCGCTCACTGCAAGCTCCGCCTCCCGGGTTCATGCCATTCTCCTGCCTCAGCCTCCGGAATAGCTGGGACTACAGGTGCATGCCACCATGCCTGGCTAATTTTTTATATTTTTAGTAGAGACGAGATTTCACCGTGTTAGCCAGGATGACCTCCATCTCCTGACCTCGTGATCTGCCCACCTTGGCTTCCCAAAGTGCTGGGATTACAGGCGTGAGCCACTGTGCCTGGCCATAACTTTTTTTTAAAATAAAATATTTTTTTGCAAGGGTAGTTGCAGGACCTGAATGAGGTAATGTATATCAAGCACTTGTCACATAGTCCTCATTCAGCTAATGTCGACTCCCCTGCCTCCTGTTACAGCCCCCACCACTCACTCAGAATCATCAATCCTTGGGTGGCGCTACTTTGAGTTTACATGCATGGCAGAGTGGTTAAGGGTGTCCATTCTGGAGCTGGACTGCCTGGGTTTAAAATCCTGGCCCAGATTCATGCTAGATGTATGACCTTGAGCAAGTTCTTTTAACCTCTTTGAGCCTCAGTTTCTTCATCTAGAATATGAAGATAGAAATGGAAGGATTGTTGTAGGATTAAAATGAATACGTGTGTGTTTGTGCATGTACATGTATATTTGCTATTGATATTGACTAGAAACTTTTTGAGGGCAGGATCAATTTCAGGAAGGTGTCACCTGGGTTCTCACTGCCTTAGTGAAGATATGTATGGCTGAGTGATCCAGATGATGGTATAATAACAAGGATAACAAGTATATATGTTGGAAATACTTGCTTATTATAATAAGAGATTTTGAAAAATATAATGAATAAAATGAAAATGAACCACTACTCAGAAATAATCACTGTTAACATTTTGGTATATTTCCTTCTAGTCTGTCACCCAAGCTGGAGTGCAGTGGCTTGATCATAGCTCAATGAAGCCTCAAACTTCGGGGCTCAGGCCATCCCCCAACCTCAGCCTCCCAGTGCTGGGATTACAGGCATAAGCCACCATGCCCAGCTCCTTCCCATCTTATTTCTATGTAGACAACTATTTTCCTGTAACTGGGATCATGTGCTGTGTTACAGTTTTGTATCCCCCACTGACCTGGTATGTATATAGGATGAGCATTTTCCAATGCCATTAATATATTCTTTGAAATAGAGTTGTTAATGGCATTTTGTTTTGTTTTACTGATTGAAAGACTATACACTAAGGGAGTTAATATATTGTTGCCATTCTGGAGACAGGGAGGCCTTTGTTTTGTTTTGTTTTGTTTTGTTTTGTTTTGTTTTGTTTGAGACAGAGTCTCGCTGTTGCCCAGGCTGGAGTGCAGTGGCGCCATCTCGGCTCACTGCAGGCTCCGCCCCCCGGGGTTCACGCCATTCTCCTGCCTCAGCCCTCCCAGTAGCTGGGACTACAGGCGCCCACCACTTCGCCCGGCTAATTTTTTTTGTATTTTTGGTAGAGACGGGGTTTCACCGTGTTAGCCAGGATGGTCTCGATCTCCTGACCTCGTGATCCACCCGCCTTGGCCTCCCAACGTGCTGGGATTACAGGCATGAGCCACTGCGCCCGGCCTTGTTTGTTTTTTGAGATGGAGTCTCCCTCTGTTGTCAGGCTGGAGTGCAGTGGCACGATCTCGGCTCACTGCAACCTCCGCCTCCCGGGTTCACGCCATTCTCCTGCCTCAGCCTCCCTGGTAGCTGGGACTACAGGCGCACACCACCACGCCCAGCTAATTTTTGTATCTTTCGTGGAAATGGAGTTTTACCATATTAGCCAGGATGATCTCAGTCTCTTGACCTCGTGATCCGCCTGCCTCGGCCTCCCAAAGTGCTGGGATTACAGGTGTGAGCCACCACGCCCGGCCCTGAGTCATTCTTGAATGAATGGCTTGGCGCTGGAAGGGACTGCTGAAATGTAGATTGAGAGAGCCAGAAATTAGATCTCAATAGGCTGAACTAATGATGAAAATTTAACAATATAAAATTCAACAAGAACAAAGTTTATTCTGAAGTTAACAAAAGGATTCTGCAAAGCAATCACCTCAAACCTCTCTTGTTAGAAGACTGGGTGTGAATTACAAATAAATTATAGAAATACAGGATAGGTGAGATGTGGCTTAACAGTTATTTATTTGCTCAACATGTATTTATTGAATGTCTACTATGTGCCAAGACTTGTTTGTTCTAGGTGTTGGGGATTCAGAACAAGCCAACAACCCTGCCCTCCTATAGCTTACATTCTAGCAATATCTAGAGACAGACAATAAGCAAACGAACATACAATGGGATGTCTCATAGTGAAAACTGCTGAGACCAATGGCAGTTAACCATGGTTCACAAGAGAAAACCGTGGTTTAAGTTGGCTCTAAACTCATGAATCAACTGTGTGATTCAATTTTGAAAAAAGCCCAACTCTACCTTAGGCTGTATGAATGGAATGTCCAGCACTTGGGAGATCATGTTCCCTCTGCTATCTGATTATCAAGTTGGATCCTGGGGCACTGCATTTACACTCTAGAGAGACACTGATGAACTGGAACTTATTTAGGAAAGGATGACTAAGATCATTAGGGGTCCCGTATTGCCCCTAAACAGGCAATAGGACCAGGATCAGCGGGTAGAGGCCCCACTACCCAGAAAACAGGACCGGACCAGTGGGTAGAGGCTCCAGGAAGGAAGGTTTCAGCTCAGTAGGTCAAGGAATGTTCTAGTGGTCAGAACTGACCAGGAATGGAACAGGCTGTGAGAGGGGGTGACTTTCCCATCTCCAGAAGTATATAAGAAGAGCCTGGATTCATCTGTGTCAGGATAGCATATAATGAATCTGGTAGAAGCTTGGATCAATTTATATGTGCAGCTCCTTTTAGTTCCAGGTCATACTATGCATGAGAAGAAAAAAGGATTTTCTGTAAAGATCTTGTAATGTACATAATTCCACACTACCCACATTTTAATAGCCAACAACCACCAAGGGCATAAGCAGAATTCCAGCATGTAGAAATCACAAGTTCTCAGAACTCCTTCACTCATCATTTTATTTTATTTATTTATTTATATGAGAGGAGTCTCACTCTGTCTCCCAGGCTGGAGTACAGTGGCACCATCTCTGCTCACTACAACCTCCACCTCCCAGGTTCAAGTGATTCTCCTGCCTCAGCCTCCCGAGAGCTGGGATTACAGCACATACCATCACACCTGGCTAATTTTTTTGTTTTTATTTTTATTTTTATTTTATTGTTGAGATAGAGCTTCTTTCGCCCAGGCTGGAGTGAAGTGGTGTGATCTTGGCTCACTGCAACCTCCACTCCCCGCCCCCATCCCACCCCAGGTTCAAGTGATTCTCCTGCCTCAGCCTCCCAAGTAGCTGGGATTAGAGGCGCCCGCCACCACGCCCAGCTAATATTTGTATTTTTAGTAGAGATGGGGTTTTGCCATATTGGCCAGCCTGGTCTCCAATGTTATGCTTTACAGAAATGAAAACAAAGTCCCAGATCATGGATTATATTCAGTTGTCCTGTCTCCCCAAGTTTTGTTTAACCTGAAATGATTCCTTAGTTTTTGTCTTCCATGACATCAACATTTTTGAAGAGTGGGCAAGGAACTCTTAAGCAAAGTCAAAAAATGAGCTAATGCAGCTGGGCATAGTGGCTCAATGCCTGTAACCCTGTTTGACAGAGCCCATCATGCTCCGAATTTGACAGATGAGGAAATGCAGGCATGGAAAGGCTACCTTGCTCAGGACCTTACCTCGAGATGATCCTGTGACATTTTCCTGGTGTATTTCCTCCTCGATCTGAGTCTTTGCAGGTTTCTGTAGAAGGGAGCTCAGCACCGGTGAGCGCTGTCGTCGGTGGCCTCTTACTCTGAGATTTTCAGGGCTTGGGAGTACCCCTCTCCCTCCACTGCCTCAGTTTACACCCATCTGTTCATGGCTGTATGCATTTGCAGGTGGAGGGCTCAGTACTCTGCATCTTCAATTCTGGGGTGGTGGAGAGGTAGGAGGATTTTGGTCCTTAATGTTCACTGCTTCCTTCCTTCCCACCAGAGCAATTTACTAACCCTTTGTATCTCACACCATGCCTGAGTTTCTCCAGTTAGGGCCCATTATGTCAAATGTATCATCTCCTGCAGACTGTGTCAAAAATACATAATCCCGGACCCCACTCCAGACCTCCTGAATCAAAATCTCTAGTGGAGTGACCAGGGCTTGCCTCTTTAATAAATTCCCAGTTAGTCAGGCTTGGTGGCTCGTGCCTATAATCTCAGCATTTTGGGATGCTGGGGCAGGAGGATTGCTGGAGGCCAGGAGTTTGAGACCAGCCTGGGCAACAAAGTTAGATCCCGTCTCTACAAATAAATTTTTAAAATTAGCCAGGCATGGTGGCCTAGGTACTTGCTGTGGTCCTAGCTACTTGGCAGGCTGAGGCAGGAGAATTGCTTGAGCCCAGGAGTTTGAGGCTGCAGTGAGCTGTGATTGCACCAACATACTCCAGCCTGGGTGACAGAGTGAGATTCTCAGTCAATCAATCAGTCAGTGAAAAATCCATTCATTCATTCATTCATTCATTCATTCATTCATTCACTACCAGTTGTTCTTACAGATTCAAGAATCACTTTTGAAAGCCTTCATTGGATCCTTGTGAAATGACCGATTGACTGCTTGGATGAACTCCTGAAGTGTTTCTATGGAGGACAGACCAAGAGGAAACTTAATATTTCCTCTCAATTTTCCTGTGAAACTAAAACTGTGCTAAAAAACAGTCTATTTAGAAAAAAAGAAGAAGATAGTTGCCTATAGAGGAACTAAAGAATGTTGTGGAATGTTGTAGGGCTTAACCACCCGGAACCTCCTCAGCGCTGATGGCAGTGATGTCACTTTCTGTAGGAGAAGGTGTCTGAGCAGGTCCCAACCTATCTGACTCCTGCTGACCTTGCCGAGGCTCTGAGAGCCTGGGGGTGACAGAAGACAGTTGCTCCACCCCGCAGAGGAGCACAGCTGTTTCCCCAGCCCCTCATTCAGCCACCTGAAATCATTCACAGTTTTCCTGTCAGTTAACCCGGCCCTGCTGCAGTGTGGGAAGGGGCCCCGCTAGATGGGGTGGGGCCGTGCTTCATTTACTGTCGGGCTTGGTGTCTTTCCTTGGGCCTCAGCTGAACAGGTGCAGGCCCAGGCAGCTGGGTGAAATGAGGACATTCTTCCTCTCCCTCCCTCCTCTCCTTCCAACTCCCTCCCCCAACCCAGCCACATGAAGCCACATCCCATTTCCTCCCCCTCATTCAAAAGCTTCACTCCCTACTCTGTCCTCCATGCTGCAGAGGGCAGTGCCCCGGGGCAGGGGACACCGTTAAGGGAAAGTGGAAAGCAGTAGGTTTCCACTGCCCCCCTCCCTTTCTGTTTTATTTGGGGGGCGTGTGAAGAGATGGAAGTGTTGTCATGAGAAGAGAGGGAGGGCTCTCCCAGGTACTACCTAGGTCACTGACTTTGCCTGCAACCTCTAAGCTCACAGAAGAAACCACTTATGAAGTTGATAACCCATCCCCTTCAGGGCTGACTCCTGCTTGTCCTCTAGGAGAATGAACATGGGGGTGCCTGAGGGATGAAGAAATCACACCCAAATCCACATTCTAGAACAAAGGTTCTCCAAGCTTAGCCTGCATTCCTTGGAGGGCCTGTTTGCTGATTGCTTGGAGGGCACTGATTGCTGAGAGATTCTGATTCAGTAGGACTAAGTGGGGCCCAACAATCTGCATTTCTAAGTTGTTGATGCTGCTTCTACTGGTATAGGGACCACACTTTGAGAATCACTATTCTAGGGCTCCCCTTAAGGTTTTTGTTTGTTTATTTTTTTTGAGACAGGGTCTCGCTCTATCACCTAGGCTGGAGTTCAGTGGCACAATCTTGGCCCACTGCAACCTCCACCTCCTGGGTTCAAGCGATCTGCCCACCTTAGCCTCCCGAGTAGCTGGGACTATGGGCGTGTGCCACCACCCCCAGCTAATTTTTTTGTGTGTTTTTGTTTTGTTTTGTTTTGTTTTTTTGTTTTGAAACGGAGTTTCGGTCTTGTTGCCCAGACTGGAGTGGAATGGCGCAATCTTGGCTCACTGCAACCTCCGCCTCCCAGATTCAAGTGATTCTCTTGCCTCAGCCTCCTGAGTAGCTGGGATTACAGGCATCCGCCACCACACCTGGCTAATTTTTGTATTTTTAGTAGAGACAGGGTTTCACCATGTTGGCCAGGCTGGTCTTGAACTCCTGACCTCAGGTGACCCACCAGCCTCGGCCTCCCAAAGCCCTGGGATTACAGGTGTGAGCCACCGCTTCTGGCCCAATTTTTGTATTTTTTGTAAAGACAGGGTTTCACCATGTTGCCCAGGCTGGTCTTGAACTCCTGGGCTCAGGCAATCCAACTGCCTCGGCCCCCCAAAGTGCTGGGGTTATAGGCATGAGCCACCACACCCAGCCTCCCCTTAAGGTTTCTGATAAGTAGGCCTGACCTAGGCACAGTTGAGGGAAGAGCAGTCCACTCAAGGAAGTTGAGCCCCCAGTAGTGACCCTTATCACTCAGGCTCTAATCACAACCCTTCCCCCTTACACTTCTGTATACCTTAGCTACATTTGGATGGGACTCTGGCTTAAGAGAAGAAGGCGGAAAGAAGACCCTCTCTGTCTGCATGTTCCCTATTCCCACGGGCAGCCCCCCTCCAAGCAATACCTCCTTCCATCTTGAACCTTTTGTTTCTAGAGCTCCTTTCCTGCCAATTATAGGGAAAGAGATGCCCCTGTGTTCCCTGAAGTTTACCTTTCAACTATATTCTGTGGAATGTTAGGCAGTGGTGACTTGGGAGGGATCCACCATGATGTAGCATGAAACTGCTCAACTATAGGTAGGAAATGTTCCTGCTTCTGTAAAAACAACCAACCAAAAAACCATAACCGAATATATACATAAGTATTTACATGCACATAGACCCTTTCCAGACCAATCAACAGCAGTCAGCTCTGTTGGGAGATTTCAGCAGGATAGAATATTTCACTCTTTATTTTCTCTAATCCTACATTTTAACAAGCCCATCTTACTTTGTAATTAAAAACCAGCCTATCTTACTTTGTAATTAAAAATGAATGCACTGCAAGTAAAAGAAAATGGTGCAGCTCTGGAAAGCTGCACACTAAGCTGTTGACAATGGGGACTAGGCTGAGGGTTCTGTCACTTTATACATACACACTCTGGACTGTTTGAATTTGTCTCAAGAGGTACTTTTCTTTTTCTTTTTTTTGAGACAGAGTTTCGCTCTTGTTGCCCAGGCTGGAATGCAGCGGCATGATCTCAGCTCACTGCAACCTCTGCCTCCTGGGTTTAAGTGATTCTCTTACCTCAGCCTCCCGAGTAGCTGGGATTACAGGCGCCCGCCCCACCCAGCTAATTTTTGTATTTTTAGTAGGGATGGGGTTTCGCCATGTTGGCCAGGCTGATCTCGAACCCCTGACCTGAGGTGATCTGCCCACCTCGACCTCCCAAAGTGCTGAGATTACAGGTGTGAGCCACCGCGCCTAGCCAAGAGATACTACTATTTTTTATATTAAAAAATAAGGTAGAGCTATAGGCAATAAAGGAAACAGAACAGCCTCCTTTCTTCCTCTCCCCACTTCCCCCAGCCCCCAGCTCCCCCGCCAGCTGCTGTCCCCAGCCTTCACACCCCGCCAGCTGCTCTGCCGGCTCATTTCTTCCTGTCACCGTCAGGTTTCTTCACTGAGTGGCCTTCACCTGCTGTCTCCACTTCTTCAACAGCCACTCTTTTTATTTTAAAGCAACATTATGTGCTTTTGTTTGTGGATCGCCAGCATTCCAAAAAAGAAAGAAAATCCCATAGACTTTAAAGCAGCATCCGTGAGCTGCTCTCGATCCTGTCCAGCCCTTTCTGGCTCTCGCAGCACATGCATGTCCTTTCATAATTGTAATCTGCACAAATGCTATTTTGTGTCCTGAAATTTTTTACGTCACCTAATTTTATAAGCCCGCCTATGTATGGACACAGCATCATTTTTTCTATGAATGGTACTATGGTTGCTTAGCCAGGCCCTGATTGTTAGGCCCTTGGGTAGTTTCCAATTTTTTGCTATTTATTCATTCACCATTTAACCCCCTGCATTTGGGCTCCGCCTCCTGCCAGTCTTTAAAAATTGCCCGTTTAAAGGTCAGTGCTATCAGACTTCCCTCCAATTCTACCAGCCTCTGCTCAGTCCTTGACTAAGCCCTTGTCCTGACTTCAATTGGACTTGGCCTTACTAGCCACCCTCATGGCCATCCACCCGCCCATCTATCAAGCTGTTGGTGAAATTCCAGCCTCCCTTCATTTCCTTTTGTTCTTTTTCTTTCTTTAACCATTTTCAAAAACACAGACCTTTTTACATTTTTGTTGTAAAACAATGAAACAACCAATAAGTGTACAATATAGAAAGTAAAAACATGTTGTTTCAAATGTTAAAATTGACTTATGAAGCATATATACACAAAAGAATATAAGTGCATATATATGTATGTAGGTATATATATACATGTGTGTATGTATATTATGAAGTAGTATAATAAAACTAAACATACCCTGCAACTTGAGAAATATGTCACCAGTTATATAGGAGCTTCCTGTGTTCCCTTTTCTGTGCCATCCCTCTAACAAATCTCATTGAGATACTATGAATTGTGTTCATTTTATCATTCGCCTACTTAATTTTTCTTTTTTTTTTTTTGAGACAGAGTCTTGCTCTGTCACCCAGGCTGGAGTGCAGTGGAGCGATCTCGGCTCACTGCAAGCTCTGCCCCCTGGGTTCACACCATTCTCCTGCCTCAGCCTCCCGAGTAGCTGGGACTACAGGCGCCCGCCACCACGCCCAGCTAATTTTTTGTATTTTTAGTAGAGATGGGGTTTCACCGTGTTAGCCAGGATGGTCTTGATCTCCTGACCTCGTGACCCACCCGCCTCAGCCTCCCAAAGTGCTGGGATTACAGGCATGGGCCACCGCGCCTGGCTGCCTAATTAATTTTAATAATTTGTGGACTTGAAGAGATTCCACGTAGATAGTCATATCATCTATTAATAATGAAGTTGTTTTTTTTCAATTCTATACCTTTCATTTATTTTCCTTTGTTTTGTGTTTTGCTAGAGCCTCCAATTTAATGTCAGCTAGAAGCAAGGACAGCAGGCATCCTTGCCCTACTCCTGAACTTAAAGGATAATGCTTCTAATGGCTTCCCACTCATAATAATGATTGCTGTAGGTTTAGGGTAGATGCTCTTTAATAGATAAAGGAAGTTTCCTTTATTTCTAGTTTGTTGTTAAATCTTTTTTTTTTAAACCTCTAAATCTACCTTAATGTTGTTAAATCTTATCACATGCTTTTTCTACATCTATTGAGATGAGATGATGTGAGTTTTTGTTTTTCATCTATGAGTGTTATAAGTTACATTAATAATAATTATTATTATTATTTTAAGACAGGGTCTTGGTCTGCACTCAGGCTGTAGTGCCACGGTGCAATCATAGCTCACTGTAGCCTTGAGCTCTGGTGCACAAGGAATCCTACCCCCTCAGCCTCCCAAGTAGCTGGGACCACAGGCACACAACACCACACCCTGCTAATTAAAAAAAAATTTTTTGTGTAGAAATGGGGTCTCAGGCTGGGCGCGGTTGCTCATACCCGTAATCCCAACACTTTGGGAGGCTGAGGCGGGTGATCACCTGAGGTCAGGAGTTCGACTAGCCTGGCCAACATGGTGAAACCCCGTCTCTACTAAAAATACAAAAAATTAGCCAGGCATGGTGGCGGGTGCCTGTAATCCCAGCTGCTTGCGAGGCTGAGGCATGAGAATCGCCTGAATCTGGGAGGTGGACATTGCAGTGAGCTGAGATTGCGCCTTTGCACTCCAGCCTGGGCAACGAGCAAAACTCTTATCTCAAAAAAATAAGAAATGGGGCCTCACCATGTTGCCGAGGGTTATCAAAATTCCTAGCTCAAGTGATTCTCCTACCTTGGGCTCCTCAAGTTCTGAGATTACAGGAATGAGCCAATGCAATTGGCCTACATTAATTCTTTTTTTTTTTTTTTTTTTTTTTTTTGAGACAGGGTCTCACTCTGTCTCCCAGGCTGGAGGGCAGTGGCACGATCTCAGCTCATAGCAACCTCCGCCTCCCAGGTTTAAGCGATTCTCATGCCTCGGCCTCCAAGTGGCTAGGACTACAGGCGTGCACCACCACGCCCAACTAATTTTTGTATTTTTAGTAGAGGCAGGGTTTCACCATGCTGCTCAGGCTGGTTTCAAACTCCAGACCTCAAATTATCCACCCGCCCTGGCTTCCCAAAATTCTGGGATTACAGGCCTGAGCCACCACACCTCGCCCCAGTAATTTTTTATGTTAAATTTTCTTTGCATTTCTGGGATAAATCCAATTAGGACATGATACATTATCTTGTTAATACACTGCTGGGTTTGGTTTGCTTATATTTTGAGCAAGGTGTCAGCATATATGCTCATTAGTGACATTAACCTTTAATTTTTCTTTCTCATACTATGTTTGGCTGGTTTGGAATTAAGATTTTACTAACCTCGCTGACTGAGTTGGCAGTATTTCTTTTTTAATACCTATGAAAGTCAACATAAAATTGGAATTGATGCTTTCTTTAATGTTTGATAGAATATTCCTGTAAAACATTCTGAGTCTGTTTTCTTTGTAAGAAGATTTTAAATTACTGATTTAATTTGTGTTTATGACTATAGATAAATAGACCATATGTCCTTGTTTGCTTGGGCTAGTGCCAGGTTATAGCTGTTATCCTGGCATATTTATAAATGGTACTCCCTTTCACTTTAAAAGATATACTGGTTTGGATAATAATAAATAGTTATTCTTTCTTTTTCTTTTTTTTCCTGAAATGGAGTCTCACTCTGTTGCCCAAGAAGGAGTGCAGTGGTGCAGTCTCAGGTCACTGCAACTTCTGCCTCCCGGGTTCAAGCAGTTCTCTGCCTCAGCCTCCGAGTAGCTGGGATTACAGGTGCCCACCACCACACCTGGCTATTTTTTTGTATTTTTAGTAAAGACAGCATTTCACCATCTTGGCCAGGCTGGTCTTGAACTCCTGACCTCGTAATCCACCCGCCTGGGCCTCCCAAAGTGCTGGGATTACAGGCATGAGCCACCATGCCCAGCCATAAATAGAGTTATTCTGTATATATAGGACTATTTAGGTTTTTTCTTTCTTCTTGAGGTAGTTTTTGGTAAATTATGTTTTTCTATAATATCATCTAATTTGTCTGTATCAAATTTATTGGCACTAAGTTGCTTATAGTTTTCTCATCTTTTAACCCTCTGCCATAGATTTAAACATATCACTTTGGACCAGGAACTGTGGCTCACACCTGTAATCCCAGCTACTGGAGAGGCTGAGTGAGGGATGAGAAGCGCTTGAACCTGGGAGGTGGAGGTTGCAGCGAGCCAGGATCCCACCATTGCACTCCAGCCTGGGCTACATAGTGAGACTCTGTCTCAGGAAAAAAAAAAAAAAAATACATACACACACACACACACACACATACATATATATATAACTTTTAAGATCTCTAATGTCATTGATCTGAATCTTCTTTTTATTGATCATATTACCTAAGTTTTGTTTGTTTTGTTAGTCTTTTTGATGTTAAACTTTTTTTTTTTTTTTTTTTTGAGATAGGGTCTCACTCTGTCGCCCAGGCTGGAATGCAGTGGCATGATGGTTTACTACAGCCTCAACCTCCCAGGCTCAAGTGATCCTCCCACCTCAGCCTCCTTAGTAACTGGGACTACAGTCACATGCCACCACCAAGCCCAGCTAATTTTTGTGTTTTTTGTAGAGATGGGGTTTCACCATGTTGCTCAGACTGGTCTCAAACTCCTGATCTCAAGTGATCTGCCTGCCTCAGCTTCCCAAAGTGCTGAGATTACAGGCCTGAACCACAATGTTAAACTTTTAACTTTACTGACCTTTTCTACTGTTTATTTTCTGTCTCATTATTCCTCTGCTTTTATTGTTTTATTCTCCTTAAGACTTATTCTGCTGTTCTTTTTTTTTTTTTTTTTTTTTTTTTTTTTTTTTTTTTGAGACAGAGTCTCACTCTGGTTGCCCAGGCTGGAGTGCAATGGCTGGATATCAGCTCACTGCAGCCTCCACCTCTGGGGTTCAAGTGATTCTCCTGCCTCAGCCTCCCAAGTAGCTAGGATTACAGGTATGCTCCACCACACTCGGCTAATTTTGTATTTTTAGTAGAGATGAGGTTTCTCCATGTTGGTCAGGCTTGTCTCAAACTCCTGACCTCAGGTAATCCACCTGTCTCGGCTTCCCAAAGTGCTGGGATTACAGGTGTGAGCCATTGCTCCTGGCCTCTGCTGTTCTTTTTTTTTTTAACTTCATAAGTTCTGTGCTTGGTTTATCAATTTTGAATATTTCTCTTTTTTTTTTTTTTGACACGCTGTTTCGCTCTTGTTGTCCAGGCTGGAGTGCAGTGGCACGATCTTGGCTCACCTCAACCTCTGCCTCCCAGGTTCAAGTGATTCTCCTGCCTCAGCCTCCCAAGTAGCTGGGATTACAGGCATGTGCCACCACACCCAGCTAATATTGTATTTTTAGTAGACACAGGGTTTCTCCATGTTGGTCAGGCCGGTCTCAAACTCCCAACCTCAGGTGATCTGCCTGGCTTGGCCTCCCAAAGTGCTGGGTTTACAGGCATGAGCCACCCCACCCGGCCTCTCTTTTCTTTCTTTTTTGTGTTTTTGAGATGGAGTCTAGCTCTGTTGCCCAGGCTGGAGTGCAGTATCGTGACCTTGGCTCACTGCAAGCTCTGCCTCCCGGGTTCACGCCATTGTCCTGCCTCAGCCTCCCGAGTAGCTGGGACCACAGGTGCCCGCCACCACACCAGGCTAATTTTTTGTATTTTTTTAGTAGACATGGTATTTCACCACGTTAGCCAGGATGGTCTCAATCTCCTGATCTTGTGATCCACCCGCCTCGGCCTCCCAAAGTGCTGGGATTACAGGCGTGAGCCACCACGCCCAGCCCTCTCTTTTCTAATACATGCACTTAAGGCTATATATTTCCCTGTAAGTGTTGTTTTAGCTGCATTGTATAAGTTTGCTTTCTTTATTGAATGTACATATCATAAAATAAATACATAGTTTTTTTTTTTTTTGAGATGGAGTCTTGTTCTGTTGCCCAGGCTGGAGTGCAGTGGCACAATCTGGGCTCACTGTAGCCTCCCAAGTTCAAGCAATTCTCCTGCCTCAGCCTCCTGAGCAGCTTGAACTACAGGCATGCACCACCACACCCAGCTAATTTTTGTATTTTCAGTAGAGATAGGATTTTACTATGTTGGCCAGGCTGGTCTCGAACTTCTGACCTCAAGTGATCCGCCCACCTCGGCCTCCCAAAGTGCTGTGATTACAGGTGTGAGCCACCATGCCTGGCCAAAATACACAGATCTTAAGTCTACAGTTCTATGAATTTTTTTTTTTTTTAAAGAAAGTTTTGCTCTTCTCACCCAGGCTGGAGTACAATGGCGCTTTCTCAGCTCACTGCAACCTCTGTCTCCCAGGTTCAAGTGATTCCCCTGCCTCAGCCTCCCAACTAGCTGGAATTACAAGCATGCACCACCACGACTGGTTAATTTTTGTATTTTTCATAAGGAAGGGGTTTCACCATGTTAGCCAGGCTGGTCTTGAACTCCTGACCTCAGGTGATCCACCCACCTCAGCCTCCCAAAGTTCTGGGATTATAGGCATGAGCTACCGTGCCCGGCCCTATGAATTTTGACAAATGTAAACATTCACATCCATGTTGCCATCATCTGAATCAAAATATGGGACAGTTCTATTATCCTAGAAAGTTTCAGGCACACTCCGCCCCCCGCCCCGCTTTTTTTGAGATGGAGTCTTGCTGTGCTGCTCAGGCTATCCTTGAACTCCTGAGCTCAAGTGATCCTTCTACCTCAGCCACCCAGTAGCTGCGATTACAGATGTGCACCACTGCTTCCTGCCCATGGGGCCCATTTTGGTTCAGTCTCTTTTTTATCACCAGAGTTTACCCCTGTTAAGACTATACATGTATAGAACCTCATCTAAAAAGAATCATGCAGTATCAATTCTCTTTGTGCCTGGCTTCTTTCACTTAGTATATGTGGTATGTGTTAGCAACCTGTTCCTTTTTATTGCTAACTTGTATTGCATTGTATGGATGTATATGCACTATTTGTTTATCCATTCTCTTGTTGATAGACATTTGGGATGTTTCTAGCTTTTGACTATTAGCACCTATGTATATCCTTGAGCAAGTCTTTTGTAGACATACGTTTTCATTTCTTCTGGGGAGGTACCTATAAGCTTTTTTTTTTTTTTTTTTGAGATGGGGTCTTGCTCTGTTGCCCAGGCTGGAGTGCAGTGGCGTGATCTGGGCTCACTGCAACCTCCACCTCCTAGGTTCAAGCAATTCTTGTGCCTCAGCCTCCCCAGTAGCTGGGACTACAGATGCACCACCATGCCTGGCTAAATTTTTGTATTTTTAGTAGAGATGGGGTTTCACCATGTTGGCCAGGCTGGTCTTGAACTTCTGACCCCAGGTGATCTGCCCGCCTCGGCCTCCCAAAGTACTGGGATACAGGCGTGAGCCACCGTGCCTGACCTATAGATGTCCTATAAGTTTTAATATGTGATATTTTCATTATCATTTAAGTTTTAGTTCTTGAAAAGTTTCCATTAAAGATTTGTTTCATGGCCAGGCGTGGTGGCATGCCTGTAATCCCAGCACTTTGGGAGGCCGAGGCAGGCGGATCACCTGAGGTCGGGAGTTCGAGACCAGCCTGACCAACATGGAGAAACCCCGTCTCTACTAAAAATACAAAATTAGCTGGGCATGGTGGCACATGCCTGTAATCCCAGCTACTAGGGAGGCTGAGGCAGGGGAATCGCTTGAACCTGGGAGGCAGAGGTTGTGGTGAGCCGAGATTGCGCCATTGCGCTCCAGCCTGGGCAACAAGAGTGAAACTCCGTCTCAGAAAAAAAAAAAAAAAAAAGATTCGTTTCACCCAGTTATTAGAAAGTATGTTTTCAGGCCGGGCGCGGTGGCTCACGCTTATAATCCCAGCACTTTGGGAGGCCGAGGCAGGCGGATCACGAGGTCAGGAGATCGAGACCACGATGAAACCCTGTCTCTACTAAAAATACAAAAAATTAGCCGGGTGTGGTGTCGGGCGCCTGTAGTCCCAGCTACTCGGAGAGGCTGAGGCAGGAGAATGGCGTGAACCCGAGAGGCGGAGCTTGCAGTGAGCCGAGATCGCGCCACTGAACTCCAACCTGGGCGACAGAGACTCTGTCCCAAAAAAAAAAAAAAAAAAAAAAAAAAAGTATGTTTTCAAATTTCCACGAGACTTGATGATTTCTAACTTTCTTGGATTTTGGTCCTTTAATATAATCTCTATAATACTGATTTTTTTTGAAATGTTTTTGAGACTTGCTTTATGACCTAGTATGTAGTAAATTTGTACCTTGAAAAGAATGTGTATTCTCCAATACACATATGCACACACACATACACAGGCCTATATAAATATATCTACATCACTTTGATCAAGCTTATGGTGAAATCATCTAAATCCCTACCGAATTTTGTGTGCCCTCTCTATCAATTACTGCAAAAGATGTATTAAAATATCCTACTCCGATGGTGGATTTATTTTATTTTATTTTAGTGACAGGGTCTCATTCTGTCTCCCAGGCTGGAGTGCAGTGGCACGATCATAGCTCACTGCAAACTCAAACTTCTAGGCTCGAAGAATCCTCCTGCCTCAGCCTCCAAAGAAGCTGGGACTGTAGGTGCATACCACCATGTCCGGCCTTTTAAATTTTTTGTAGAGATGACGTCTCAC
The DNA here is from genome assembly GCF_000001405.40 of Homo sapiens. Lineage (NCBI taxonomy): Eukaryota > Metazoa > Chordata > Mammalia > Primates > Hominidae > Homo > Homo sapiens. The sequence goes on along the minus strand of NC_000006.12, from coordinate 41,999,712 downwards.
TATGTTGACAGGCTGATCTCAAACTCCTGGGCTCAAGTGATCCTCCAGCCTTGGCTTCCCTAAGTGCTGGGATTATAGGTGTGAGCCATGAGCCACCAAGTTTAGCTTTATGTATTTTGTACCTTTGTTATTTGCGAGATGGAAATTTATAATTATTATATTATTATAGGAAACAAATTATTATTGTATCAAAATTTAGAATAATTATCGGCCAGGCACGGTGGCTCATGCCTGTAATCCCAGCACTTTGGGAGGCCGAGGCAGGTGGATCACCCATCTCTACTGAAAATACAAAAATTAGCCGGGCATGGTGGTGGGTGCCTGTTATCCCAGCTACTTGGGAGGCTGAGGCAGGAGAATCACTTGAACCCAGGAGGCGGAGGTTGCAGTGAGCCGAGATTGTGCCATTGCACTCCAGCCCGGGCAGCAAGAGTGAAACTCCATCTGGCAAAATACTCAGATCTTAAGTCTATAGTTCTATAAATTTTTTTTTTTCGAGACAGAGTTTTGCTCTTATTGCCTAGGCTGAAGCGCAATGGCGCTATCTCAGCCACCATGCCCAGCCACAGCACAAATTCTGATGGGTTTACATCCTACGTTGGCCACTTCTAGCTGTGGGACCTTGGGCAAGTTACTTAATCTTTTTATGTCAGTTTTCTCATCAGTAATATAAGGATAGTAATACCTCTCTGGGTTTTAGATTAAGGAAGTTAATATAATAAAAAGCATAGACCAGCCAGGCGGGGTGGCTCACACCTGTAATCCCGGCACTTGGGGAGGCCGAGGCGGGCGGATCACCTGAGGTTGGGAGTTTGAGACCAGCCTGACCAACATGGAGAAACTCCATCTCTACTAAAAATACAAAATTAACCAGGTGTGGTGGCACATGCCTATAATCCCAGCTGCTCAGGAGGCTGAGGCAGGAGAATCACTTGAACCCCGGAGACAGAGGTTGCGGTGAGGCAAGATCGCACCATTGCACCCCAGCCTGGACAACAAGAGCGAAACTCTGTCTCAAAAAAAAAAAATAATAATGCATAGACCAGGGACTGGCATGATGTAAGTGCTATAAAATTTTGGGTATCAGCTGGGCACGGTGGCTCACGCCTGTAATCCCAGCACTTTAGGAGACCGAGGCAGGCGGATCACCTGAGGTCAGGAGTTCGAGACCAGCCTGGCCAACATGGTGAAACCCCGTTGGCCAGGCGTGGTGGTTGGCACCTGTAATCCCAGCTACTCAGGAGGCTGAGGCAAGAGAATCACTTGAACCCGGGAGGTGGAGGTTGCGGTGAGCTGAGATTGCACCATCACACTTCAGCCTGGGGGACAAAAGCAAGACTTCGTCTCAAAAAAAAAAAAAAAATTGGATATTGTCACATTAAGGAAAAGAAAATGGTCACTTGAAATTCTTTTTTTTTTTTTTTTGAGGTGGAGTCTCGCTCTGCCGCCCAAGCTGGAGTACAGTGGTGCGATCTCAGCTTTCTGCAACCTCCGCCTCCCAGGTTCAAGTGATTCTCATGCCTCAGCTTCCTGAATACCTGGGATTACAGCCATATGCCACCACATCCAGTTTATTTTGTATTTTTAGTAGAGATGGGGTTTCACCATGTTGGCCAGGCTGGTCTTGAACTCCTGACCTCAAGTGATCTGCTTGCCTTGGCCTCCCAAAATGCTGGGATTACAGGAGCGCCACCACGCCCGGCTAATTTTTGTAATTTTTTTTTTTTTTTTTTTAGTAGATACTGGGTTTTGCCATGTTGGCCAGCTGATCTTGAACTCCTGACCTCAGGTGATCCACCCGCCTCAGCCTCCCAAAGTGCTGGGATTACAGACATGAGCCATTGTGCCTGGCTGTTACCTGAAATTCTAAAATTCCAGTTGGGAATGGACCTTAGAGATGATTGGATTTAATCTCTACATCCCCATGGGGCTCTTCTGGGTGGTGGTGAAGCACATCCAGCCAGATTCTCATGCCATAACTGGGTTGTTTTTGAGGTCTCACTGTGTTGCCGGGGCTGGTCTTAAACTCCTGGGCTCAAGTGATCCTCTTATCTTGGCCTCCTGAGTAGCTGAGACCACAGGCATATGCCACTGTGCCTGGCTCCTTCCTGGTTTTGAGCTCCCACTTTGGCTTTAAGCTGTTTGGTAAAGTAGGTAAAATTTATTGTAATGGCCTCTTAAATGAGGAAGAGGCCATTATAATTTACCCATTACCCAGCCCTTGTCCCCTTGCCGGTTTTGCTCCCAATCTACCTTTTCTACCCCAGATAACTCACACTATTTCCCACTACTCACATCTTCACTCTGCCACCTGCTTCCTACTGCACCTTAGTTCTCTTGAGTCTCTGTTCCTGAGTCAGATTCTGCATGCCTGTTAAGGTGCCAACTAGTTACTCTGATAAGCTAATTCCTCTGAAAGTACTAACTGGAGACAGTGCAAAGGTTGCTGCTTCATACAAAGGTGCATTATGACATGGGTCTTTCCAGAGAAAATGCGCTGCCCTTTGAGTCCTGGTCTGTGGGAGGAAGAGATGGAACAGCATTCAAGCTAGGAAGTCAGAAGAGAGTATTAGATCATCAGCCTCCTTTGTCAAAGAAGACAGGTCCTTTCTGTGCATCCGTTGTGTGGGCTGGCTGGGGACAGACAGGGATACTGGCAGGGATGTGGCAGGGACATTTGATAATATCTTTCTAGGTGCAGGCCTAGTTGCTGGAGGGGGTGGGCAGCAGGATATAAAAATGGGTAAGATGGCCAGGTGCTGTGGCTCACGCCTGTAATCCCAGCACTTTGGGAGGCCAAGGCGGGAGGATCATGAGGTCAAGAAATAGAGACCAGCCTGGCCAACATGGTGAAATCCTGTCTCTACTAAAAATACAAAAATTAGCTGGACATGGTGGCGCACACCTGCAGTCCCAGCTACTTGGGAGGCTGAGGCAGGAGAATCGCTTGAACCTGGGAGGTGGAGGTTGCAGTGAGCCGAGATTGTGCCACTGCACTCCAGCCTGGCAACAGGGCAAGACTCCGTCTCAAAAAAAAAAAAAGGTAAGATTTTTCCCTACCTTCAAGGATTGAGGGAAATGTTAACTACACCGGTAATAAATACACTATAAACTATGATAAATGGTAGAAGAGACATAAGTGAGACTGTAGATAAAAGTGAGCAGTCTATGCAAACTGGAAGTTTTGAAAGGCTTCGTAGAAAGGCTGATGGTGGCCTTAGACCCACATATGAGGAAGATTTTTACAAAATATAAATATATCAGGCTGGGCGCGGTGGCTTACACCTGTAATCCCAGCACTTTGGGAGGCCGAGGCGAGCGGATCACTTGAGGTCAGGAGTTCAAGACCAGCCTGGCCAACATGGTGAAACCCCATCTCTACTGAAAATATGAAAATTAGCCGGACATGGTGGCGTGTGCCTGTAATCCCAGCTACTCAGGAGGCTGAGGCTGGAGAATCACTTGAACCCGGGAGGCGGAGGTTGCAGTGAGCCGAGATCATGCCAGTGCACTCCAGCCTGGGTGACAAGAGTGAAAGTCCATGTCAAACAAACAAACAAACAAACAAAAAAAATATATATATATATATTATATATATATATATGAGAGCAGATTCTCTACTAATACTAGAAACTCTACAAATAATAGAATACAGAAAGAAAAGAAAATCCTCTACCGTCTTCCTATTCAGGGCAACTTCTGTTATCTCCAGATGATAGGATTTGGGGTGATTTCTGTTCTCTGTACATTTATGTATTTTAAAAAAATTTTATTAACATTTTAAAATTTATAACTTAAAATTTTTAGTATTATTAAAAAGAAATAGAGACAGGGTCTCTCTGTGTTGGCCAGGTTGGTCTTGAACTCTTGGTCTCAAACAGTCCTCCTGCCTCGGCCTCCCAAAGTGTTAGGATTGCAGGCGTGAGCCACTGTGCCCAGATCGTTTATGTATTTTTATCTCTCGTGTGTTTTAGAATAAAAAGAGCACATATTTATAAAAACAAAATTTAATGCCCAAAGACAACTCAGTGCTAACATTTTAGCATATTGTCCTCCTAGTCTTTTTGCAATACACAATTTTATCATTCCATTTATACAATTGTTTATACTGCTTTTTTCAATTTCTCAGCATTTGTCCTGTTTATTAGAAATACTTTGGGCATGTGCAGTGGCTCACGCCTGTAATCCCAGCACTTTGGGAGGCCAAGGCGGGCAGATCACAAGATCAGGAGTTCGAGACCAGGCTGGCGAATATAGTGAAACTCCATCTCTACTAAAAGTACTAAAATTAGCCGGGTGTGGTGGTGGGTGCCTGTAGTCCAAGCTACTTGGGAGGCTGAGGCAGGAGAATTGCTTGAACCCTGGAGGTGGAGGTGGCAGCGCGCTGAGATCGCACCACTGCACTCCAGCCTGGGCGACAGAGCAAGACTGCACCCCACCCCCCACAAAAAAGAAAAACCTCATACATATAACTGAGTGGTTGTGGGATGTAGTTTATATAGCCATTTCCCTCCCATTGGACTGTAAGGTTGTTTACAAATTTTTTGCTATAATAAATAACCATTTGTATGTTCTTATGCATAAATAAAAATTTTAACTAATATACTTTATTTATTTATTTATTTTTGTTTATCTATTTTTGAGACGGAGTCTCACTCTGTCGCCCAGGCTGGAATGCAATGGCACGATCTCGGCTGACTGCAACCTCCGCCTCCTGGGTTCAAGTGATTCTCCTGCCTCAGCCTCCCGAGTAGCTGGAATTACAGGCGGCTGCCACCACGCCTGGCTAATTTTTGTATTTGTAGTAGAGACGGGGTTTCACCATGTTGGCCAGCCTGGTCTGGAACTCCTGACCTCGTGATCTGCCCACCTCGGACTCCCAAAGTGCTGAGATTACAAGCATAAGCCACCGCGCCCGGCCTATATTTTATTTTTTTAGAGTAGATTTGGTTCACAGCAAAATTGAGCTGCAAAAGTACAGAGTTCCCATATAATTCCTACGCCATACATGCACAGCTTCCCTCACTATTGACACCCTGCACCCTAGTGATGTATTTGTTACAGGTGATGAACCTACGTTGATATATTATCACTGAAAGACCAGCATTTACCTTAGGGTTCACTTTTGGTGTCCATTCTTTGGTTTTTGACAAACATATGACATGTATCCACCATTGTAGTAATATACAGAATACTTTCACTACCCTAAAAATCCTCTGTGCTCTGTTTGTTTGTCTCATGCTTTCCCCTAATTCCTGGGAACCACTGGTCTTTTTGCTCCCTCCATAGTTTGGCCTTTTCCAGAATGTCATCTACAATCATGCATCACTTAATGAGGGGGGTATGTTCTGATAAACGAGTTGTCAGGTGATGTTGTCATTGTGTGAACATCATCGAGTGTACTTACACAAACCTAGATGGAATAGCCTCCTACACCCCTAGACTATATGGGATAGCCTATTGCTCCTAAGCTACAAACCTGTATAGCAGGTTACTGTACTGAATTCTGTAGGCAACTGTAACACAATGGCAAGTAGTTTGTCTATCTAGAGGTGGAAAAGGTAGAGTAACAATAAGATATTATAACCTCATGGGACCACCGTCATATATGCAGTCCATTGTTGACCGAAAACTGTGTGGCATATGACTGTATTTGGAGTCATCTAGTATGAAGCTTTTTCAGATTGGCATTCTTCACTAAGTAATATCCACTTAAGTTTTCTCTATGTCTTTTCATGGCTTGATAGCTCTTTTTTTTTTTTTTTTTTTTTTTTTTTTTTTTTTTTTAAGACAAGAGTCTGTCGCTCTGTCACCCAGGCTGGAGTGCAGTGGTGTGATCTTGGTTGACTACAACCTCCACCTCCCGGGTTCAAGCTATTCTCCTGCCTCAGCCTCCCAAGTAGCTGGGATTATGGGTACCCACCACCATGCCCAGCTAATTTTTTGTATTTTTAGTAGAGACAGGTTTCAGTATGTTGGCCAGGCTGGTCTCAAACTCCTGACCTCGTGATAGTGAACCACTGCACCCAGCCAGCTTTTTTTTTGGAGGCCGAGGTGGGCGGATCATCTGAGGTCAGAAGTTCAAGACCAGCCTGGCCAAATCGTGAAACCCCATCTGTATTGAAAATACAGAAATTAGCTGGGGATGGTGGCGCATGCCTGTAATCCAGTTACTCCAGAGGCTGAGGCAGGAGAACTGCTTGAACCCAGGAGGCAGAGGCTGCAGTGAGTTGAGATGGTACCACTGCACTCCAGCCTGGGCAACAGAGCAAGACTCCATCTCAAAAAAAAAAAAAAAAAAAGAAGACATGAGCTTAACAAATATATTGATATATGGGAAAATGTTCAACATCACTAATCATCAGGGAAATCCAAGTAAAACCACAATGAGGTATCATCTATGCTGTGAGGATGAGGAGAAAAGGGATCTCATAGACGGTTGGTGGGAATATAAACTATTGCAGCCACTATAGCAAACATTATGGAGTTTCCTCAAAAAACTGTAAATCAGACCAGGTATGGTGGTTTCCACCTGTAATCCCAGAGCTTTGGGAGGCCAAGGTGGGGAGATCACTTGGAGCCAGGAGTTCAAGACCATTTTAAGCAACACATCAAGACCCTGTCTCTACAAAACATTTTTAAGCCAGGCATGATATAGTGTGCCTATAGTCTTGTTACTTAGGGGCTTAGGTGTGAGGATTGCCTGAGCCCAGGAGTTCAAGGCTACAGAGAGCTATGATTGTACAACTGCACTCCAGCCTGGATGAAAGAGTGAGACTCCATCTTTAAAAACAAAAATAAAAACAAGGCCAGGCACAGAGGCTCATGCTTGTAACCTCAGCACTTTGGGAGGCTGAGACAGGAGGATTGCTTGAGGGAGGACGAGATTGCAGTGAGCCATGATAGTGGAACCATACTCTAGCCTAGGTGACAGAGCGAGACCCTGTCCCAAGATAGATAAAATATTGCTGGGTGTTGTGGCTCACACCTGTAATCCCAGCACTTTGGGAGGCCGAGACCAGTGTATCACAAGGTCAGGAGTTCGAGACCAGCCTGGCCAACATGGTGAAACCCCGTCTGTACTAAAAATACAAAAATTAGCTGGGCGTGGTGGCGCATGCCTGTTATCCCAGCTACTTAGGAGGCTGAGGCAGGAGAATTGTCTGAACCCGGGAGGTGGAGGTTGCAGTGAGCCACTGCACTCCAGCCTGGCACAGAGCAAGACTCCATCTAAAAAAAAAAAAAAAAACCGGCTGGGTGTGGTGGCTCATGCCTGTAATCCCAGCACTTTGGGGGCTGAGGCAGGAGGATTACTTGAGGTCAGGGGTTTGAGACCAGCCTGCCCAACATGGTAAAACCACGTCTTTACTAAAAATGCAAAAATTAGCCGGGCATGGTGGCAGGCACCTGTAATCCCAGCTACTTGGGAGGCTGAGGCATGAGAATCTCTTGAACCCAGGAGGTGGAGGTTGCAATGAGCTGAGATCATGCCACTGCACTCCAGCCTGGGCGACAGAGTGAGACTTCTTCTCAAAAATTAAAAAATAAATAAAACAAAAAAACTACAAATCAAACTACCATATGATCCAGCAATCCCACTACTGGGCATTTATCCAAAGGAAAGGAAATCAGTATATTGACGAGACATCCACACCTCCGTATTTATTGCAGCGCTATTGACAACAATCAAGATATCGAATCAACCTTGGTGTCCAACAGCTGATGAATGGATGAAGAAAATGTGGCACGTACACAATGGAATTCTTTTCAGCCATAAAAAAGAATGAAATCCTGTCATTTATGTCACCGTGGATGAAACTGAGGACATTATGTGAAGTCAGATAAACCAGGAATAGAAAGTTAAACACCGCATGTTCTCACTCACACGTGGAAGCTTTAAAAAGCTGATGTCATAGAAGGAAAAAGTAGAACAGAAAATACTAGAGGATGGAAAGGGGAGGGGAAAGGAAGCATAGGGAGAGATTTGTTAAAGGTTACAAAATTACAGCTACATAGGAGGAATAAGTTCCAGTGTTCTATGCCACTGTTGGAATGACTACAGTTAAGAATAATAATAATAGTTTCAAACAGCTAGGTGGAGGATACTGAATGCTCCCAAAACAAACAAAATGACAAATGTTTGAGATGATGGATATGCTAATTACTCTGATCACTGTACACTATATGTATTGAAACATCACTATGTACCCCATAAATATGTACAATTATTATGTATCAATTAAAAAATACAATTATACTAAATTAAAAAGAAACAAACTGGTGCATCCAGACAATGGAGTATTATTTTGTGGTAAAAAGAAATGAGCTATCAGCTGAGCTATGTACCTGAGCGGGGCTGGGCATGGTGGCTTACGCCTATAATCCCAGCACTTTGGGAGACCAAGGCGGGTGGATCACCTGAGGTCAGGAGTTTGAGACCAGCCTGGCCAACATGGTGAAACCTTGTCTCTACTAAAAATACAAAAATTAGCCGGGTGTGGTGCCACATGCCTGTAGCCCCAGCTACTTGGGAGGCTGAGGCAGAAGAATCGCTTGAACCCAGGAGGCAGAGGTTGCAGTGAGCTGAGATCACGCCATTGCACTCCAGTCTGGGCAACAAGAGGGAAATTCCGCCTTAAAAAAAAAAAAAAGTTTTCCCAGCACCATTTCTTGAAGAGACTATCCTTTCCCCAGTGAGTGTTCTTGGCACCTTTGTCAAAAATCAGTTGGCTAAGCCGGGGCAGTGGCGCACACCTGTAATCCCAGCACTTTGGGCGGCTGAGGTGGGCGGATCACCTTAGGTCAGGGGTTCAAAACCAGTCTGGCCAACATGGTGAAACTCCGACTCTACTAAAAATACAAAAATTAGCCGGACATGGTGTCAGGCGCCTGTAGTCCCAGCTACCCTGGAGGCTGAGGCAGGATAATCACTTGAACTCCGGAGGCAGAGGTGCAGGGAGCTGAGATTTTGCCACTTTGCCACTGCACTCCAGCCTGGGTGACAGAGCAAGACTCCATCACAAAAAAAAAAAAAAAAAAAAAAAAAAAAAAATCAGTTGGTTATAGATTCATGGACTAATTTCTGGGTTTTCTATTATTTCCTATTGGTTTATGTGTCTATTTTTATGTCACTACCATGCTATTTTAGTTACTACAGCTTTGTGGTATATTTTGAAGACTGGTAGTGTAATGCCTTCAGCTTTGTTCTTTTTGCTCAGGATTGCTTTGCCTATTTGGGGTCTTTTGTGGTTTCTTATGAATTTTAGGATTTTTTTTTCTATTTCTATGAAGAATATACTGACATGTTGATAGATAGTACAGTGAATCTGTAGATTGCTTTTGGTAATACGATCATTTTAACAATATTAATTCTTCCAATCCATGAACATGGGCCGTCTTTCCATTTGTATCATCTTCAACTTCAATTTCTTTCATCAGTGTTTTGTAGTTTTCCTTGTAGAAGTCTTTCACCTCCTTGGTAAAATTTATTTGTAGGTTTTTTTTTTAGAGCTATTATAATGGAATTGCATTCTTGATTTCTTTTTCAATTAGTTCATTGTTCATGTATAGAAACACTACTGATTTTTGTATGTTGATTTTGTATCCTGCAACTTTACTGAATTTGTTTATCAGTTTTTTGGTAGTCTTTAGCTTTTTCTATGTATAGGATTATGTCATCTGCAAACTGGAACAATTTGACTTCCTTCTTTTCCAATTTATAAGTCCTTTATTTTTTTTCTCTTGCCTAATTGCTCTGGCTTTGGTATCCATTCACCTACTGAAGGACAGCTTGGGCCTCAGAGTTTTGACAATTATGAATAAAGCCACTATCAACATCTGTGTGCAGGTTTTTGTGTGCACGTAAGTTTTCAGTTCATTTGGGCAGATACCAAGGAGTATAACTGCCGGGTTATAGAATAGTACTTTTAGTCATATAAGAAACTGTTAAATTGTCTTCCAAAGTGAATATACCATTTTGCATTCCCACCAGCAATGAATGAGAGTTTTTGTTGCTTCACATTCTCACCAGCACTTGATATGCCAATGTTTGGTATCTCAGTCATTCTAATAGGTGCATAGTGGTACATCATTATTGTTTTAATTTGCAATTTTCTAATGACATATGATTTAGAACACCTTTACATATGCTTATTTGCTATCTGTAGATGTTTGGTGAGATATCAGCTTGGTTCTTCTGCCCACTTTGTAATCAGATTGTTGTTTTCTTTTCTGTTTTTTTTTTTTGTTTTTTTTTTTTGAGACAGTGTTTCACTCTTGTCGCCCAGGCTAGAGTACAATGGCACAATCTTGCTCACTGCAACCTCCATCTCCCAGGTTCAAGCGATTCTCCTGCCTCAGTCTCCCGAGTAGCTTTTAATATACCAAAGACCACACCCAGCTAATTTTTGTATTTTTAGTAGAGATGGGGTTTCACCATGTTGGCCAGGCCGATCTCGAACTCCTTACCTCAGGTGATCCACCCGCCTTAGCCTCCCAAAGTCTTGGGATTACAGGCATGAGCCACAGTGCCCAGGTTGTTTGTTTTCTTATTGTTGAGATTTTAAGAGTTTTTTTTGCATATTGCGAATAACAATCCTTTATCAAATGTGTTCTTTGCAATTATTTCCCCCTAGTCTGTGGCTTGTCTTCTCATTCTTTTGACATTGCCTTTTGTGGAGCGGAGGTTTTAAATTTTAATGAAGTTCAGCTTATCGGCCGGGCGAGGTGGCTCACGCCTGTAATCCCAGCACTTTGGGAGGCCGAGGCGGGCGGATCATGAGGTCAGGAGATCGAGACCATCCTGGCTAACACAGTGAAACCCCGTCTCTGCTAAAAATACAAAAAAATTAGCTGGGCGCGGTGGCAGGCGCCTGTAGTCCCAGCTATTCGGGAGCCTCAGGCAGGAGAATGGCGTGAACCCGGGAGGCGGAGCTTGCAGTGAGCCGACATCGCGCCACTGCACTCCAGCCTGGGCGACAGAGCCAGACTCCGTCTCAAAAAAAAAAAAAAAAAGAAAAGAAGTTCAGCTTATCAATTATTTTTTCATAAATCATGCCTTTGGCATTATATCTAAAAAGCCATCCCCCATGAGGCCAAGAGGCCATGGCCATGTTAGCCCAGCTGCAAGGCTGGCCATCAGTTGTAGGAAATCCGTACTCCTTTAGGAACAGTATTGTGAATACATTTAGAAAAAAAGGAAAATGATCCAGCAGTTAAAATTCAGAGCTGGTTTACAGGATATTGACATGTTCAGGCATACATTAGGCACTTAAAAGAATTGTAATAACTATTCAAAAATGGGGTAGTTATTTAGGCAGCAGTGGCTATCAGGATTGAGAGAAGATGGTGAGCGGCTGTAAGAATGAGAAATACTGTTTTAATTTTTATTATTATTATGTTTTGAGACAGAGTTTCACTCTTGTTGCCCACCCAGGCTGGAGTGCAATGGCACGATCTCAGCTCATCACAACCTCTGCCTCCCGGGTTCAAGCAATTATCCTGCCTCAGCCTCCCGAGTAGCTGGGATTACAGGCATGCGCCACCATGCCTGGCTATTTTAGTAGAGACAGGGTTTCTCCATGTTGGTCAGGTTGGTCTCGAACTCCTGACCTCAGGTGATCCGCCTGCCTTGGCCTCTCAAAGTGCTGGGATTACAGGCATAAGCCACCGTGCCTGGTCTGTTTTAATTATTTTTATCTGAAGGAGTACCTGAGAATGGTTTGGGGAACCAGTGATGCAATTTAGGGAGGCACTAGAGGAGTTTGCAGAGATAAAAAAGAGAGAAGAGAACAAAGCTAAGCTCAAAAAGGAAGCAAAGAAAAGAGATCACTAAGTGTAAAAGATGCATTTTCTCCTCAGCACAAAGCAGATTCCAGGTGTATATAATTCACCATTCAGAAAAAAATTCCGTGGCCTGTCATGCTGGCTCACACCTGTAATCCCAGCACTTTGGGAGGCCAAGGCAGGAAGATCACTTGAGCCCAAGAGTTCGAGACCAGTCTGGGCAACATAGCAAGACCCCCTCTCTATTAAAAAAAAAAAATTAGCTGAGTATGGTGGTACACACCTGTAGTCCCAGCTACTTGGGAGACTGAGGCTGGAGGATCACTTGAGCCACTGGTAGCCTGAACGACAGAACAAGACTCTGTCTCTAAAACACACACACACACACACACACACACACACACACACACAGAGAGAGAGAGAGAGAGAGAGAGAGAGAGAGAGAGAGAGAAAAGCCTGGTCCATGGGAGTTGTGGTTACAGAAGGCAAAGCTTTTAATATACCAAAGATCTAAAGTTAAGCAGAAGTACTCCATAAGCCTTACCAATTGGCTAGCTTGTATAAGCACCCAGTCTTTTCTGAAGTGCTGCTACCTCTCAATAGGAAGCAATATCGGGGTCCTTCCAAGGTATCACTGAAGTATTAGGACAATGCCACAAGCCTTTGGAGCCAATGTTACAGGCACCAGAACCAATCAGTGAGTTAAAGTTAAAGTGAGGAGCTCAAAAGAGAGGAATGAGTGCGAAATGTAATTGACAATATGTTTTTGCCATTTTCTTCCTACTGTAAAAATAGAAAGTCCATCCCATTAATCCAGAGTTAATTAATATCCAGAGCTGGTTTACAGGATATTGACATGTTCTGGCATACATTAGGAATTTACACAGAATAGTAATGACTATTCAAAAATGGGGTAGTTATTTAGGCAGACGACTTTATCAACTAATTGTGAAGGTAGCATATTATACTATGAAGATGAATCTCTACAATGCAGTGGCTATCAGGATTGCATTAATCATGCAAGTATGGGCCTGATTCTTATGGAGAACATTTCCAAAGTGAAAATCCTCAGAAATAGATCCGTGACAAGGAACAAGACAAGGATGCCCATTCTCACCACTTCTATTCAATATAGTATTGGAGGTCCTTGCTAGAGCAATTGGGTAAGACAAATAAATGGCATCCAAATTGGAAAAGAAGAAGTAACATTGTCTCTGCAGATGACATGATCGTATATTAAAAGAAACCCCAAAGACTCCACCAAAAAGCTGTTAGAGCTAATAAATTTAGTTAAATTATGGAATACAAAATCATCATACCAAAGTAGTAACATTTCTATACACTAACAACAAACTATCCCCCAAAGAAATCAAAACAATAATCCCATTTATAATAGCATCAGCAAAAATAATATACTTAGGAATAAATTTAATCAAGGAGGTAAAGGACTTGTACATAGAAAACTATAAAATATTGATGAAATAAATTAAAGAAGACACAAATAAATGGAATGATATTCTGTGTTCATGAATTGGAAGAATTAATGTTTAAATTAATTATTACCTGACGTTACCTACAGAGCAATGCAATCTCCATCAAAATTCTGATGACATTTTTTACAGAAATAGAAAAAACAATCCTGAAATTCATATGAAACCACAAAAGATCATGAATAGCCAAAACAATCTTGAGCAAAAAGAACAAAGCTGGAGGCATCTCACTACCTAAATTCCAAATATACTGTAAAGCTATAGCAATCAAAATAGCATGGTACTGGCATAACAATAGACATATAGACCAACGGAACAGAATAGGGAACCCAGAAATAAGTCCACACATTTATGGTCAATTGATCTTAAACAGAGCTGGCATGTATGCACACTGGGGATAGGACAATCTCTTCAATAAATGGTTTTGGGAAAACTGCATATCCACATGCAGAAGAATGAAATCGGACCTTTATCTTAGACCACCTCAAAATAGATTAAAGACTTAAACTGGGCCGGGCGCGGTGGCTCACGCCTGTAATCCCAGCACTTTGGGAGGCCGAGGCGGGCGGATCACGAGGTCAGGAGATCGAGACCATCCCGGCTAAAACGGTGAAACCCCGTCTCTACTAAAAATACAAAAAATTAGCCGGGCGTAGTGGCGGGCGCCTGTAGTCCCAGCTACTTGGGAGGCTGAGGCAGGAGAATGGCGTGAACCCGGGAGGCGGAGCTTGCAGTGAGCCGAGATCCCGCCACTGCACTCCAGCCTGGGCGACAGACCGAGACTCCGTCTCAAAAAAAAAAAAAAAAAAAAAAAGACTTAAACTGGCCAGGCATGGTGGCTCACGCCTGTAATCCCAGCACTCTGGGAGGCCGAGGCGGGTGGATTACCTAAGGTCAGGAGTCCGAGACCAGCCTGGCCAACATGGTGAAACCCCGTCTCTATTAAAAATACACAAAATTAGCCAGGTGTGGTGGTGGACACCTGTAATTCCAGCTGCTCGGAAGGCTGAGGTAGGAGAATCTCTTGGACCCGGGAGGCGGAGGTTGCAGTGAGCTGAGATCAAGCCATTGCACTCCAGCCTGGGCAACAAGAACGAAACTCCATCTCAAAAAAAAAAAAAAAAAAAAAAAAAAGACTTGAACTGAGACCTGAAACTGTAAAACTACTGGAAGAAAACTTAGGGAGAAAGCTTCTTGACATTGGCCTGGGCAAAGATTTTTTTGGATATGGCCCCATAATGACATAGGACAGGCAACAAAAGCAAAAATGGATAAATGGGATTGCATCAAACTAAAACTCTGTATAGCAAAGAAAACAATCAACAGAGTGAAGAGACAACCTACAGAATGTGAGAAAATATTTGCAAACCACACATTTCATAGGAAATTAATATTCAAAATATATAAGGAACTTATGTAACTCAATAGCAAGAAAACAAATAACCTGATTAAAAAATGAGCAAAGGTCAGTTGAGAGAGGAAGAGAAAAACAATATGAGTAAAAGACTTTAATAGACCTTTCTCAAAAGAAGGTATGTGCATGGCTGATCTGTGCATGAAAAGGTACTTAACATCATTAATCATCAGAGAAATGCAAATTAACATCACAATGAGGTATCGCCTCACACCTGTTAGAATGGCTACTATCAAACAGACAAAAGATAAACATTGACAAGGGTGTGGAGAAAAGGGAATGCTTGCACACAGTCCCGTTGGTGGGAATGTAAATTAGTATAGCTACTATAAAGGAAAGTATGGTGATTCCTTGAAAACTTAAAAACAGCAACTACCCGCCGAGAGTGGTGGCTCATGCCTGTAATCCCAACACTTTGGGAGGCCGAGGCAGGTGTATCACCTGAGGTCAGGAGTTCGAGACCAGCCTGGCCAACATGGTGAAACCCCATCTCTACTAAAAATACAAAAAATTAGCCGGGTGTAGTGGCAGGCGCCTGTAATCCCAGCTACTCAGGAGGCTGAGAGAGGAGAATCACTTGAACCTGGGGGGCGGAGGTTGCAGTGAGCAGAGATTGTGCCATTGCACTCCAGCCTGGGCAACAAGAGCGAAACTGCGTCTCAAACAAACAAACAAACAAAAAAACAGAACTACCATATGATCCAGCACTCCAACTTCTGGGTGTATATCCAAAGGAAATCAAATCCGTATGTCCAAGAGATATTTGTACCTCTATGTTCATAGCAGTGTTATTCCCAATTGCCAAGATATACAATCAACCTAAATATCCATTGAATGATCAATAAAGAAAATGTGATTTATATATGCAATGGAATAATATTCAGCCTTAAAAAAGAAAGAAATCCTGCCATTTGTGATAATATGGATGAATATTGAGGACATTATGCTAAATGAAATGTCAGGCACAGAAAAATCAATATTTCATAATTCACTTATATGTGAAATTTTAAAAAGTCAAACTCTTGGGAGTAGAGAGTGGAATGGTGGTTGCCAGGGGATTGGTGGGAGGGGAGAATGGGGAATGTTGGTCAAAGGGTACAGTTTCAGTTTGATAGGATAAATAGATTCAGAGATCTATTGTACAGCATGGTGGTTTGCTTATTTTTAATTTTTATTTTTTGAGACAGAGTCTCACTTTGTTACCCAGGCTGGAGTACAGTGGTGTGATCTCAGCTCATATAGCCTTAACCTCCCAGGCTCAAGCGATCCTCCTACCTGAGCTTCCCGCAGCTTCCTAGCTGGGACCACAGGCAGGCACCACCATACCCAGCTAATTTTTGTATTTTTTGTAGAAATGAGGTTTCACCATGTTGCCCAGGCGGGTCTTGAATTCCTAGGCTCAAGCAATCTAATCTGTCTGCCTTGGCCTCCCAAAGTTCTGGGATTACAGGTTTGAGCCACCTCACCTGGCCACATGGTGATTATAGTTAATAATGATGATATTTGTATACTTGAAAATTGCTAAGAGTATAACTCAGAAATGGTTTTACCACAAAAAATTATAACTATATGTTATGGATATGTTAATTAGCATGATAGTAGTAATAATTTCATTATATATATACCACTAACATACACCTTTTTTTTTTTTTTTTGAGACAGAGTCTCACTGTTGCCCAGGTTGGAGTGCAATGGCACGATCTCGACTCAGTGCAACCTCCTGGGCTCAAGCGATTTTCCTACCTCAGCCTCCCGAGTAGCTGGGATTACAGGCGCCCGCCACCATGCCCGGCTAATTTTTGTATTTTTAGTACAGACAGGGTTTCGCCATGTTGGCCAGGCTGGTCTTGAACTCCTGACCTCAGGTGATCAGCCTGCCTTGGCCTCCCAAAGTGCTAGCATTACTGGGGTAAGCCACTGCACCCGGCCAACATATACCTTTTTATTTGTCAATTATACCTCAGTAAAGCTGAGTGATGAAAAGTCATCACTCTACCCAAGGTCATCTAGATTTTTATCTGTGCTATCTTTTAGGAGTTTTATGGTTTTGTATTTTACATTTAGGTCTATGATCCATTTTTAGTTGACCTTAGTGAAGAGCATAAGATCTGTATCTAGATTCTTTTTTTTTTTTTTTTTTTTTGCATGTGGATGTCCAGTTGTTCCAGCACCATTTGTTGAAAAGGCTATCTTCACTTCATTGTATTGCCTTTGCTCCTTTGTCAAAGATCAGTTGACTGTATTTCTATGGGTCTATTCCTGGGTGCTCAGTTCTGTTTCATTGATCTATTTGTCGAGTCTTTTGCCAATACCACACTGTCGTGATTACTGTTGCTTTATATTAAGTCTTGAAGTCAGGTAGTGTCAGCCCTCTGTCTTTGTTCTTTTCCTTTAATATTATGTTGGCTACTCTGGGTCTTTTGCCTCTCAATATAAACTTTACAATCAGTTTGTCACTACCTGCAAAATCAATTGCTGAGGTTTTAAGTGAGATTGCTTTGAATCTCTAAATCGGGTTGGGAAGAATGGACATTTTGACACCATTGAGTCTTCTCTATTGATTGAGTTCTGCTTTGATATCTTTCATCAGAGTTTTCTAGTTTTCCACATATAGACCTTGTACATATTTTGTTAGTTTTAAACTTATTTCATTTTAGGGGTTCTAATGTACATGGTAATGCGTTTTTCATTTCAAATTCCACTTGTTCATTGCTAGTATATAGGAAATGATGAACTTTTTTTTTTTTTTTTGAGATGGAGTCTCACTCTGTTGCCCAGGCTGGAGTAAGTACAATGGCACAATCTCTGCTCACTGCAACCTCAGCCTCCCGGGCTCAAGCGATTCTCCTGCCTCAGCATCCCAAGCAGCTGGGACTACAGGCACCCACCACCACACCCAGCTAATTTTTGTATTTTTAGTAGAGACAGGGTTTCTCAGTGTTGGTCATGTTGGTCTCGAACTCCTGACCTCAGGTGATCTGCCCGCCTCAGCCTCCCAAAGTGCTGGGATTGCAGGCATAAGCCACCGTGCCCGGCCATGATTGACTTTTTTAAAGAGATAGGGTCTCACTATGCTGTCCAGGCTGACCTCAACCTTCTGGGCTCAAGCAATCCTCCTGCCTCAGCCTTTTGGGTAGCTGGGACTACAGGTGTGTGCTACTGTGCCTGGCTTTGACTTTTGTATATTAACTTTATATCCTTGGCTGGGCACAGTGGCTCAGGCCTGTAATCCCAGCACTTTGGGAGGCTGAGGTGGGTGGATTGCCTGAGCTCAGGAGTTTGAGACCAGCCTGGGCAACATGGTGAAACCCCATCTCTACTAAAAATACAAAAATTGGCTAGGTGTGGTGGCACATGCCTGTAATCTCAGCTACTCAGGAGGCTGGGGCACAAGAATCTCATGAACTCCAGAGGCAGAGGTTGCAGTAAGCCGAGAACACGCCACTGCACTCCAGCCTGGGTGAAAGAGCAGACCCTGTCTCAATAAATAAATAAATAAATAGGCTGGGCGTGGTGGCTCATGGCCGGGCGTGGTGGCTCAAGCCTATAATCCCAGCACTTCCAGAGGCCGAAGCAGGTGGATCACGAGGTCAGGAGCTCCAGACCAGCCTGGCCAACATAGTGAAACCCTGTCTCTACTAAAAGTACAAAAATTAGCCAGGGATGGTGGTGGGTGCCTATAATCCCAGCTACTCAGGAGGCTGAGGGAGAGAATTGCTTGAACTGGGGAGGCGGAGGTTGCAGTGAGCAGAGATCGCACCGATGCACTCCAGCCTGGGTGACAGAGGGAGACTCCATCTCAAAAAAGTAAATAAAAATAAATAAATAAATATTTTTATATCCTGCAACTTGCTATAATTGCTTATTAGTCCCAGAAGGATTTTTTTGTCAATTCTTTTGGATTTTCTACATAAATAATAATTTTATCTTCAAACAAAGATAATTTTATTTCTTCCCTCCCCATCTTATGCTTTTTATTTTCTTTTCTTATTGCATTAGCTAGGACTTCCAGTACAATGCTGAAAGAAAGTGGTGAGAGAAAACCTCCTTCGCTTGTTCCTGGTCTTTGTGGGAAAGCTTCTAGTTTCCCACCATTGAGTATGATGTTAGTTGTAGGGTTTTTTGCAGATGTTCTTTATCAAGTTGAGAAAGTTCCCCTCTATTCCTAATTTGGTGAGTTTTTATCATGAATGGATGTTCGATTTCATCAGTGCTTTTTCTGCATCTCTTGACGAGATCATGTGATTTTTCTTTTTTAGCCTATTGATGTGGCGGATTACATTAATTGATTTTCAAATGTTGAACCAGTTTTGCATACCTGAGCTATATCCCACTTGCTCATAATGTATAATTCTTTTTATACATAGTAAGATTAAATTTGCTTATATTTTGTTGAGGATTCTTGTATCTGTGTTTATAGGAGATATTGGTCTATAGTTTTCTTCTAACATTTGTGTCTGCTGTTGATATTAGGATAATGCTGGCCTTATAGAATGAGTTAAGGATTTCCTCTGCCTCTGTCTTCTGAAAGAGTTTGTAGAGAATTTGTATAATTTCTTCCTTAAATGTTTGCTAGAATTTTCCAGTAAGGCCAGGTGCAGTGGCTTACTCCTGTAATCCCAGCACTTTGGGAGGCTGAGGTTGGACAATCACCTGAGGTCAGCAGTTCGAGACCAGCCTGGCCAACATGGTAAAACCCCGTCTCAACTAAAAATACAAAAATTAGCCAGGAGTGGTGGCAGGTGCCTGTAGTCCCAGCTATTCAGGAGGCTGAGGCAGGAGGATCACTTGAACCTGGAAGGCAGAGGTTGCAGCGAGCCAAGATTGTGCCACTGCACTCCAGTCTGAGCAACAGAACAAGACTCTGTCTCAAAAAAAAAAAAAAAAAAAAAATTCCAGTAAACCTATCTGAGCCTGATACTTCCTGTTTTTAAGATTTGTCTTTTAAGATAGATAGAGGATTAGAGGATTCTGGTCAAAGGTTTGATTGTGTGTGTGTGTGTGTGTGTGTGTGATTTTGAAAGCAGCATATGTTCATTGTTAAATAAACAAACCATGTAGAAATATACCAAGTAAAGAAGTGAAACTTGGCTGGGCACAGTGGCTCCCACCTGTAATGCCAGCACTCTAGGGGGCCGAGGCAGGGGGATCACTTGAGACCAGGAGTTGGTGGCTAGGCTGGGTAACATGGCAAGACCCAGTCTCTATTAAAAAACAAAAAAAATAAAAGTTTCTCAACACCCACCTTCCCCAGACAGACTCCACAGGAGTGATCACTGTTAAGGATTTGCTAAAGAATTTTTTTCAAACATTTCCTATGCCTGGTTTGAAGAGAGATAGATAAATAGATCCATATATATATATATACATATATATATATAGAGAGAGAGAGAGAGAGAGAGACAGAGAGAGATTTTTTCCTTGTCTGACAATGGAAGGTATTTTGAATATATTGAACATATATATATATTTTTCTTTTTTTTTTTTTTTTGAAGTGGAGTCTCACTCTGTCACCCAGGCTGGAGTGCAGTGGCACAATCTCAGCTCACTGCAAGCTCCACCTCCCAGGTTCATGCCATTCTCCTGCCTCAGCCTCCCGAGTAGCTGGGACTACAGGTGCCTGCCACCACACCAGACTAATGTTTTGTATTTTTTAATAGAGACGGGGTTTCACCGTGTTAGCCAGGATGGTCTCGATCTCCTGACCTCGTGATCCACCCGCCTTGGCCTCCCAAAGTGCTGGGATTACAGGTGTGAGCCACTGTGCCCGGCCGTTATTTTGAATATTTTTAAAAGCCTTGATAAGTTACTTTCCAAAAGAACAAGTCAGGATTTTTTTTTTTTTTTTTTTTTGAGACAGAGTTTTGCTCTTACTGCCCAGGCTGAAGTGCAATGGTGTGATCTCGGCTCACTGAAACCTCCGACTCCTGGGTTCAAGCGATTCTCCTGCCTCAGCCTCCCAAGTAGCTCGGATTACAGGCATGCACTACCACACCCAGCTAATTTTGTATTTTTAATAGAGACAGGGTTTCTCCATGTTGGTCAAATTGGTCTTGAACTCCTGACCTCAGGTAATCCGCCTACCTCCCAAAGTGCTGGGATTAAAGGCGTGAGCCACCCCACCCAGCCAGGATCATATGTAGTAGGAGTGAGATTTAAATTTTTTTCACTTTTTTCCTAAGTATAGAAATGCAACATGTCATTGTAGAAAATAAATAACATTTTTAAAGAAAGGATTTTAAATCACCCCTAACCACCCATATAGAGAT
The DNA here is from genome assembly GCF_000001405.40 of Homo sapiens. Classification (NCBI taxonomy): domain Eukaryota; kingdom Metazoa; phylum Chordata; class Mammalia; order Primates; family Hominidae; genus Homo; species Homo sapiens. The sequence goes on along the minus strand of NC_000006.12, from coordinate 41,978,755 downwards.
GACCAATAGTAATATTTAGAGTATTTCTCTCTGGGTGTAAAACAGGGGCACAAGTCATAGCTTTCATGAAAGAAGCACAGGACGCCAGATCAGTAGATAGAACACATCAGCACCACACTTCCCCCAACACCTCCCCACCCATGTTTTGTATTTTAATGTGGTAGGAATCCTCTTTTCAACTCAGGTAGTTTTGAGGGGTTTGTTGTTGTTGTTATTGTTGAGACTAAGTTTCGCTTTTGTCATCCAGGCTGGAGTGCAGTGGCACACTCTCGGCTCATTGCAACCTCCACCTCCTGGGTTGAAGCGATTCTCCTGCCTCAGCCTCCCAAGTAGCTGGGATTACGGGGATGCGCCACCACGCCTGGCTAATTTTTTTTTTTTTTTGAGATGGAGTCTCGCTCTGTTGCCCAGGCTGGAATGCAGTGGCCATCTCAGTTCACTGCAAGCTCCGCCTCCCAGGTTCATGCCATCCTCCTGCCTCAGCCTCCCGAGTAGCTGGGACTACAGGTGCCCGCCACCGTGCCCGGCTAATTTTTTATATTTTTGGTAGAGATGGGGTTTCACCATGGTAGCCAGGATGGTCTCGATCTCCTGACCTCGTGATCCACCCGTCTCGGCCTCCCAAAGTGCTGGGATTACAGGCATGAGCCACCACGCCCTGTCAAAAAAAATCTTAATGGTTAGAGTTTTTTTCTTTTTTTGAGACAGGGTCTCACTTTGTCACCCAGGCTAGAGTGCAGTGGCATAATCTCGGCTTGCTGCAACCTCTGCCTCCTGAGCTCAAGTGATCCTCCCACCTCAGCCTCCCAAGTAGCTGGGACTACAGGCTGGTGCTGCCATGCCCAGCTAATCTTTGTACTTTTAGTAAAGATGTGGTTTCACAATGTTGGCCAGGCTGGGAGGTTAGAGTTTTTGAAAATAATTGGGCTGTTTCAAAAACCTTTAGCTCTCCATCATTGAAGAAGTTCAAACAAGGGCTTCATGGTCGATTCGGGAGGCTGGTAAAGGACTGTGGTTCCAAATTAGTGTCCACCAGATAATGCACTGAATTTTTCATATAAGAAAATGCATTCCATTTAAAGTACAGTTGGCTGGGCATGGTGGTTCGCGCCTGTAATCCTAACACTTTGGGAGGCCTAGGTGGGTGGATCACCTGAGGTCAGTAGTTTGAGACCAGCCTGGCCAACCTGGTGAAACCCCGTCTCTACTAAAAATACAAAAATTAGCTGGGCATCGTGGCAGGTGCCTGTAATCCCAGCTACTTTGGAGGCTGAGGCAGGAGAATCGCCTGAACCTGGGAGGTGGAGGTTGTAGTGAGACGAGATAGCACCATTGCATTCTAGTCTGGGCAACAGAGCCAGACTCTGTCTCAAAAAAGAAAAAAATAAAGTACAGTTATTTGTTCTGAGCCTTCCTCAACGGTTTGGTGTTCAGGCATTCTTTATTTTATGAAATGCAGTATATATAGACTATGGGTTTTTTCTCTCATAACCTTACTTGGCAACAACCTTACTTTTTGGTCTCAAAATTTTGGGGGAAATTTTATTGGTCTTTGAAATGTAAATTTCTGGGAAGTATGGTTGTGGGGAAAATGAATATTTTGGTTAGGTTGAATTAGGTGCCTCTGAGACCCCTTTCTGACCCTGAGATTCTCTCAGGGCTGCAGGCTGGATTCCTTATGCCAATGAGTCATTCAACAAACGCGAGCTTTTGGATAGGAGAGTGGGTAAAAGATGTAGGCGGATCAGCACAGCTCTGCTGCTACAACTGTTGTACGGTTCTTTGCATATACACTCCTGGCAGTGAGTCAGTCTGGTTTAGGGACTGCTGCCCTATGACCCTGAACAAACAGCAGCCTCAAGCATCCTTCCATTCAAATTAGCAAGTGTACGCTGATGGGAAAGCTCTGTGCTGTGTGCTGTGGGCCAGGAGGCGTCATTGAGGTGAGTCTGGGGGTATCTAGCCCCCAGGAGCTTATAGTCTGATATCCTTCATATATCAAAGACAGTTTTGTTATCACAACTTATCAAAGCCTCAATTTCTTCATATATAAAATGGGAGTAAGAATAATGCATCTAAAAGCCACAGTGACTGAGACCGTTTTTATTTTTAGTGATGGGGGTCTTCCTCTGTCACCCAGACTGGCTCAATCACGGCTCACGGTAGCCTTGACCTCCTCAGCTCAAGCAATCCTCCCGCTTCAAGTCCCCAAGTTTCTGAGACTACAGGTGTGTGCCACCACACCTGGCTAATTTTTGAAGTTTTCATGGAGATGGTGGTCTCGCTGTGTTGCACAGGCTTGCAACACACTCCTGGGCTCAAGCCATCCTCCTATCTCAAGCCCCAGAGTATCTGGAATAACAGGTGTGTGTTATCACACCCAGCTAATTTTTTTTTTCTTTTTTTGACAGAGTCTTGCTCTGTCGCCCAGGCTGGAGTGCAGTGGTGAGATCTCAGCTCGCTGCAACCTCCACCTCCCAGGTTCAAGCGATTCTTCTGCCTCAGCCTCCTGAGTAGCTGGGACTACAGGTGTGTGCCACCATGCCCAGCTAATTTTTGTATTTTTAGTGGAGACATGGTTTCACCATGTTGGCCAGGCTGGTCTTTAACTCCTGACCTCAGGTGATCCGCCCACCTCAGCCTCCCAAAGTGCTGGGATTACAGGTGTGAGCCACAGCGCCCGGCCAGACCCAGCTAATTTAAAATTTTTTTTTATAGAGACAGAGTCTTGGTATGTTGCCCAGGCTTGGTCTTGAACTTTTGGGCTCAAGTGATCCTCCTGACTCAACCCTCTGAGGATCTGGGAGGACTGCTTGAGCCTGAGAGTTCGAGGCTGCAGTGAGCCATGATCAGGCCACCACACTCCAGCCTCAGTGATAAAGCAAAACCCTGTCTCAAAAAAAACAGACAAAAACAGAATGGCTTCCAATCAAGGCTTGGTTGTCACTAGCCCACAAAATTCACATATCTAGGAAGAAATGTTCATTAGCCCTCGATACTTAAAAAAAAAAAAAAAAAGTCAAGCAAGCAAGAAGTCAGTGAGTGGAGAGGTAGCCTGGCGTGGCCTGGAAATTTTCACTACTCCCAGTGAGTCCCTGGAACCCTTTGGCTGCCTCCCTTAATTCTCCATCACCCACCAAGTAAGTCCCCTTGGGATTCCCCACTGACTACCCCTGGGGAAGATCCTACAGTAAGATAATGTGCCAGCCGAGGCCCCCAGCACCTCTGTTTACCACCATCTGTTTAGATGTGGCCGTGGGGGTGTGCCACTGTCTTAGGGTGCTGGTTACCATGAGTCCAGCCTGGGAGTAGGGCCACTCTGGATGTATTGCCAGCTTATATTTTGGAGCCTGTGAGGCTGAGGAGGTGGGCCTGGGAATGAGATACCCTCGCTTGGGTTGCACCACCCATGCAGCCACAGAGCCAACCTCCATAGGCAACACCCATCTCCACGGTTTCACCTCTCCCTTGCTGGAGTTTCTCCAACTCGAAGCTCACAGTGTTCTTGTGAAGATGAATCAGTTAGTGGAAGAGAAAGTGCTTTCTAAAATAGTTAAGCATTATATACATGTAAATTATGACAATCATGTATGTATAAACTCTTTGAAAAGTATAATGTACCATATGAATTACCCTAATTCTGTTGGAAGCCAAGAACTGTGGGGGCCAGGCACGGTGGCTCACGCTTGTAATCCCAGCATTTTGGGAGGCCGAGGCAGGTGGATCATGAGGTCAGGAGTTTGAGACGAGCCTGGCCAACACAGTGAAACCCTGTCTCTACTAAAAAATACAAAAATTAGCTGGGCGTGGTGGCAGGCGCCTGTAATCCCACCTACTCGGGAGGCTGAGGCAGGAGAATCGCTTGAACCTGGGAGGCGGAGGTTGCAGTGAGCCAAGATGGCGCCATTGTACTCCAGCCTGGGCAACAGGGCTAGACTCCGTCTCAAAAAAAAAAAAAAAAAAGAACTGTGGGGAATTGACAGTTAGGCTTAAGAGAAATACCAGATTGGCCACCCGCCCCATCCCCCTTTTGGGGTTAAATTGATAATAGTGTCAGAGTTTACCCAGAGGAAGAACTAAGATGGGAACTGAACGGTGCTGTGGGTTCAACAGGTGGCTGCCTCTCTGTGACCCGGCTAAGTTGGGCTGTTGTTGAGTAATAGCATGGGCACTTGGGACCCTCCATCAGGAGCCCTCTGCAGACAGCTGTGGGTTTCCAGTCAAGTTCAAAGGCAGAATGCACCATCACGGGCTCACTGTACACTGAGTGAGCCCTAGCAACCCCCAGCTACTTCTATTAGAGGGGAGGGGGCTGGCACCTGGTTACCCAGTTCTTAATGATGATGATGATACCCCCTGCCAGAAAGCCCACCTGAGATGGATGCATGCTGATGTTATACATCTGGTGTAGCACAGGTGTTCCTTTTCAAGATGGTGCACTCTAAGTGACTTGGATGTGTGTTTATATTTAGAAATCACTCGTGGAGTTGGAAGTGGGGTATGGGTGCACGAATGATAGTATCACATGAGTTGTGCTAGGCACTGTTCTTGTTTTGTTTTGTTTTGTTTCTTCGAGACAGAGTCTTGCTCTGTTACCCAGGCTAGAGTGCAATGGCACAGTCTCAGCTCACTGCAACCTCCACCTCCCGGGTTCAAGCGATTCCCCTGCCTCAGCCTCCCGAGTAGCTGGGACTACAGGTGCACACCACCACACCCGGCTAATTTTGGAATTTTTAGTAGAGATGGGTTTTTGCCATGTTGGCCAGGATGGTCTCGAAGTCTTGACCTCAGGTGATCCACCCACCTCAGCCTCCCAAAGTGTTGGGATTACAGGCGTGAGCCACTGCGCCCGCCCACTAGGCACTGTTTTAAGGGTTTTACATGTGTTATCTCTTTTAATTCTCACCCAGGAGAAAACCCTGTGTGGTATATCCTGTTTATACATGAGAAGACTGAGCAACAGAAAGCCTAATTAACTGTCCATGATTGTACAGCTATTAGAAAGTGACCGAACCAGGATTTAAACCAGGCAGAAAATCTGACAGTGAAATCAGGGCTTTTTATTATTATTGTCATTTTTCCAATGCACAACTAAGGCAGAGCAAGACTTGTCAAGGTCATGCAGCTGGTAGGTGGTGGATCTGGGAATCAAACCCAGGTCAGTCCAACTCCAGGATTTACAGTGATAACCACTACTCCATTCTACATCCATGGTTGCTTTTAATATTCAATCATAATATGGAACATTATAGTACAGTAGTCTATATAACATAGTACAATTTTCTATTATAGAGCAATATTCTATTATAAGGTTATAATTATTTAATGAGTCCTCTATGGTTGGATATTTTGATTGTTTCCATTTTTAAACTATTATAAAATGCTAAGATTTTAAAAAAGAGAAATGGCAGGAATGTTGTTTGGCTTATCAGTTTGTTTATTTTAAAGGATTTAGGGCAGATGAGCTGAACTTTCAGAAGCTGGAAGAATTGGAGGCTTTGGATTGACTGCTTAAGTGGAGAATGAAATTCTGATTAGGAATTGTGCGGGTGTTAGAGAGAAGGGAAGAACAGACTGTGTTTTACCCCAGGGATTTGTCATTGCCTGCTGAGACAGAAAATTTGGGGATGCATTTCAGAAATAACTGTAATTCCCCCTTTGGATATTTTAGTGTTCTCTACCATTTTCCAGCCCAACGTCTCATTGACATTACCCAGACACACATGGGTGGGGTTGGGCAGAGAGGAAAGCTGTTCTCTTCCCCAGCTTAGCCATGTGCATTCATCTGGAATCACACCATCTGGCCATCCCATGTCCCTTGCCCCTTCTGCCCCTCTCCAACTCAGTCATATATATATATATTTTTAATTTTTAAATATATATATATATATGTAAATTTTTTGTAGAGATGGGGTTTCACTCTGTTGCCCAGGCTGGTCTTGAACTTCTGAGATCAAGCGATCCTCCCATCTCAGCCTTCCAAAGGGCTAGGATTACAGCCATGAGCCACTGCACCTCAGTCTCCCTTTGATGTTACCCCCTCAAATTCTACATTCAGACCCAAAACAGACAAGGAGGCGTGAGGCTATCAAACGTAGTAATGCTGAGTCCTCAGCACAGTACTGTGCACTTTCCAGGCGCCATCTCTGTCACAACAGCTTTAGGTGATGGGAACCTTTATGCAACCACCATTTTATAAAGGAGGAAAAGGAGGCTTTAAGAGGTGAAGCCTGGTTATGTGTCCAAGGTCACATAACCGGGGCTTGATGGAGCTGGGATTCAGAGCCAAGGCTATCTAAACTCCATGGCCACATCATGTTTACCACCACATATTCTTTGCAGCCTTCATGATGTAGTATAAGCAGAGGACGTTGTAGCTCTAGGGGAAAATCTTCAGAAAAATCAGCAAGAACACATTCAGTTAGCTGAATTATGTGTATACAGAATGGGCTCACTTACAGAATGTTAGAACTGCAAAGGATTCTGGAAGTATCTCTTTTCTTTTCTTTTCTTTTTTTTTTTTTTTTTGAGATGGAGTCTCGCTCTGTTGCCCAGGCTGCAGTGCAGTGGCGCGATCTTGGCTCACTGCAAGCTCCACCTCCCAGGTTCACGCCATTCTCCTGCCTCAGCCTCCCGCATGGCTGGGACTATAGGCGCCCGCCACCACGCCCAGCTAATTTTTTTGTATTTTTTTAGTAGAGACGGGGTTTCACCATGTTAGCCAGGATGGTCTCGATCTCCTGACCTCGTGATCCGCCCGTCTTGGCCTCCCAAAGTGCTGGGATTACAGGCGTGAGCCACTGCGCCCGGCCGGAAGTATCTCTTTTCTACCTTATTTTAAAATTGGGGCAAATGAGACTAAGGAGATACGACAAGTAAATGCAATGTGTGATCACACCAAAAATAAAGAAAAAGGAAGGCCGGGTGCGGTGGCTCACACCTGTAATCCCAGCACTTTGGGAGGCCGAGGCGGGCGGATCATGACGTCAAGAGATCGAGACCATCTTGGCCAACACGGCGAAACCCCGTCTCTATTAGAAATACAAAAATTAGCTGGGCGTGGTGGAGCGCCTATAGTTGCAGCTACTCGAGAGGCTGAGGCAGGAGAATTGCTTGAACCTGGGAGGTGGAGGTTGCAGTGAGCCAAGATCATGCCACTGAACTCCAGCCTGGCGACAGAACGAGACTCTATCTCAAAAAAAAAAGAACCTGGGTTCTGACACCAGGCAGACCTGGATTCATATCCAGGTAAGGTACTCCACCTCTCTCAGCCTCTGTTTCCTTATCCACAAAATGGGGATTATAAATACATAATTATCATCTTGGAGCCAGGCTCAGTGGCAGGTACCTGTAGTCCCAGCTACTCAGAGGCTGAGGCGGGAGGATGGGAGGATCACTTGAGCCCAGGAGTTCAAGTCCAGTCTAGGCAACGTAGTTACACCCTGTCTCTAAAAGCAAAACAAAACTGAAAAACTAAATACTTATCATCTAGAGCCACTGTGAGAATGAAATGAAATAATGCTTCTAAAGAAACTGGAGGCTGGGCGCGATGGCTCATGCCTGTAATCCCAACACTTTGGGATGCCGAGGCTGGTGGATCACCTGAGGTCAGGAGTTCGAGACCAGCCTGGCCAACATGGTGAAACCCCGTCTTTACTAAAAATACGAAAATTAGCTGGGCATGGTGGCATGCACCTGTAATCCCAGCTACTCGGGAGGCTGCGGCAGGAGAATCGTTTGAACCTGTAAGGTGGTGGTTGCAGTAAGTCAAGATCGCGCCACTGCACTCCCGCCTTGGTGACAGAGCAAGACTCTGTCTCAAGGGGGGGAAAAAAAAAAGAAACTGGAGCAAGTTTGTGGAAAAAAGAGAATTTTGGGGTTGAGTTGGTGGAAAAAAAACAGAACACAAAACTGGTAACCAAATAGATGATTTCAAAAGAAAACCAAAAGGCCAAGTATTTCTCAATTGCATCTGATTCATTATTTCTCACAGGCACTGTCAGTTGGGCACCCATTCGACTTTCCCCACGTGGAAGCGCATGGGTGTAGTGTGTGGGGACGTCTCTATGACTTGTCTTTGGTGAAGAGGGAAGGATGGGTTAGATTTACTTCCATAATACAGGCTTGCTGTTTACTTCCTGTTTTGAAAGGGATGGGAGATTGAGAGGAAGTGAGGTTGTTAATATAAACTTCAAATCCAGATTCTTTCTAAAGGACATTCACTCTGCTATGTGACCTCAAATGAACCTCTCACTGTCTCAATTGTCTTCTCACCACAGGCTTATTAAGATGGCCACAAAATTGGCACTTTGCATTCAGCATCTTATTTAATTCTCAAGACAAGCCTGCAAGATAGATATTACCATCCCATTTTGTTTTTTATTTTTATTTTATTTATTTTATTTTATTTTTATTTTTGAGACGGAGTCTCGCTCTGTCACCAGGCTGGAGTGCAGTGGCGCGATCTTGGCTCACTCCAACCTCCGCCTCCTGGGTTCAAGCGATTCTCCTGCCTCAGCCTCCCAAGCAGCTGGGACTACAGGCACGTGCCACCACGCCCAGCTAAATTTTGTATTTTTTGTAGAGATGGGGTTTCACCATGTTGGCCAAGATGGTCTCAATCTCTTGACCTCGTGATCCACCCGCCTTGGTCTCCCAAAATGCTGAGATTACAGGAGTGAGCCACCGCGCCTGGCCTATTTTATTTTATTTTTCTTAGATACGAGGTCCTGCTATGTTGCTTAGGCTGGACTTGAACTCCTGGGCTTAAGCAGTTCCAGCTAAGCCGCCCAAGTAGCTGGGACTACAGGCGTTCACCACCATGCCCAGCTCACCATTCCATTTTAGAGCAAACAACTGAGGTTCAGGGAGATTAAGTAACTTTTCTCAGGCCACACAGCACACAAGAAGCAAGTGGTAGATCTGTGATTTAAGCCCAGATGTGACACCAAAGTTCATATGCTTTCAAGTATACCCAGGGTAAATTCTGTTTTGCTTTTTTTGTTTGTTTGTTTGTTTTTTGAGATGGAGTCTCACTCGGTCACTAGGCAGGAGTGCAGTGGTGCCATCTCGGCTCACTGCAACCTCCACCTCCCGGGTTCAAGCGATTCTCCTGCCTCAGTCTCCCTAGTAACTGGGACTACAGGTGCGTGCCACCACGCCCAGCTAATTTTTGTATTTTTAGTGGAGACGGGGTTTCACCGTGTTGGCCAGGATGGTCTTGATCTCTTGTTTTTTTTTGAGTCCGAGTCTCACTCTGTCACCCGGGCTGGAGTGCAGTGGCACATTCTTGGCTCAATTCAACCTCTATCTCCCAGGTTCAAGCCATTCTCCCACCTCAGCCTCCCGAGTAGCTGGGATTACAGGCGTGCGCCACTATGCCCAGCTAATTTTTGTATTTTTAGTAGAGATGGGGTTGCACCATGTTGGTTGGCCAGGATGGTCTCAATCTCTTGACCTCGTGATCCGCCCGCCTGGGCCTCCCAAAGTGCTGGGATTGCAGGCATAAGCCACTGTGCCTGGCCCAGTCTTGATCTCTTGACCTCGTGATCCACTCACCTCAGCCTCCCAAAGTGCTGGGATTACAGGCGTGAAGATTCTAGTTTTATGGGGTCTAAAGCTTATGTAATCTGGGGAGCCGTCTTTAAACAACAATACAGAGGCCGGGCATGGTGGCTCACACCTGTAATCCCAGCACTTTGAGGGGCCGAGGCGGGCAGATCACTTTAGGTCAGGAGTTTGAGACCAGCCTGGCCAACAGGGCAAAACCCCGTTTCTACTAAAAATACAAAAATTAGCTGGGCACCCTTGTAATCCCAGCTACTCAGGAGGCTGAGGCAGGAGAATCGCTTGAACCCAGGAGGTGGAGGTTGCAGTGAGCAGAGATCGCACCACTGCACTCCAGCCTGGGTGACAGAGTGAGACTCCGTGTCAAAACAAACAAACAAACAAACACAAACCAATACAGAAACATTATAAAATCACAGATATAAAAGATACAAAAGTGAATATTTAGATTTTGAAATGAAATCACAACGTATTAGAAAAAAGAGCTGAAACATCAAGATCACACACATCTCAAAATCCAGAAAGGTAACATACTATTTGTGTTAACTCTTTGACATTCCTCTATAATACTTTTTTTCCTATGTCTTTGTTGTTGTTGTTTGTTTTTTAGAGATGGAGTCTTGCTTTGTCACCCAGGCTGGAGTACCATGGTGTAATCATAGCTTGGACTTCTGGGCTCAACAATCCTCCTGCCTTAGCCTCCCAAGTAACTGGGATTACAGGCCCGATTTTCCTAGGTTTTTTGGCTGCATCCTTCTTAGCTGCATCTTCATATCATAATAATTTTGTAATATTTTCCATAGAATTAAAAAAACCAGTATTCCTCTAGCATGATTGATTATAAACTTTTTCTATTATTGATAGTCCAGAAAAGCTTATTTCAGCTTCAGAAGTCATTATTGGTAATGTCATAAAGATATTAGGATTAGTGTCAAATTTGGGACATCAAAGTTTCTTTCATATATGAGCTGTGAGATTTTAGGGCATTTTTTTCCAGTGCACAGTGATTCATTGAATTGATGACACTTTATACCCCATTTGCTGTTAGCTAAATGTTATCTTCATTGATATCAGCATTTTGTGTCAAATCAGCAGGAAATTCTACTCTTTCCCCATACTGCTTCTCCTCTCCTACCACTTTAGTTGGAATGAAGATGGTTTACATTCAGAAAAGACTAATAATTAAACTCCCTTCTCATAAATGTCTGACCTTTTAAAGGGAATTTATTACAAAATCCTGGGTGCAAAAACATTTGAAGCATTTAGAATGATTTGGCCTACTCAAGGGAAGGCTGGAGAAGGCAAATAAATAACCACCTTGAAGGATGTGGACATTAGTGGGGGTTAGAACCACCAGGGTGTGTCTGAGACTTTGATTCTGGGGACTGGGGAAAGAATCACGCAGCTGCATAGTTAACAGGTTCTGCAAGTCACTTTGACGCACTAAAATTGATACAATGGATAAGAAAGTCTGTGAGTGAGAACAGCTAAAAATTGCCTCAGTGTGGACTCCAAGTGTGATCTTCACTACTCAAGGTGTGTCCCAGCAGCTGCTGCGGGAGATGGATAGAAATGCAGATTCCCGGGCTCTACCCGGAAGCGTTGAATTAGCATCTGCATTTACCAAAGTTCCAAATGATTCATGTGCAGGTTATTGTCTAAGAAGCCTGGACTAGAGAGTTGAGAAGGAACTTGCTGATATGTCCTGGCCCAGCTCCTTTTATAGATGAAGAAATCGAGGCTTAGTCACTTGCCCAGTGTCATAAGTGACAGAGGTAGGAATCAAATCCAGGGATATTTGATTCCAAATCTTTCAGAGGGAATCAGTAAGTGCTTGTTGAATTACTTATTAATTTTTCATTCAAGCATTCATTAATATTATTATGTATTCATTGAAGAGACTTAGGGTAGGATGAAAATGTGGCTGTCTAGCCTTGGTGACTCTGCTGCCCTGGGAATAGGAAGGTGACACTCCTCCGCCTTCCCCCTTTCAAAATGCCGTTCTCCATGACTCAGCAAAGGAACCATGGGTCTGAAACCAGAGGTGAGACAAAGAAAACCTCAAAAATGTTTTGTTTTGTTTTTTTCCTAGAGGAATTTCCTTTCATGTCATTCATTCCTCTGCTAGGGAATCCAGGAAGCCTTCGACCTATGGTTAGCCGGCACTTAAAACAAGGCCTGACACAAAGCATGCTATATAACTATTGTTATATTATTATTAATTATGGAGCAGTTATTAATACCTAGAGACTTGCGTCAACTTGTGTTAAACTTCTCTTTCCATTTGTTCTAGTCTCACCCCAGAATTTGTGTGAATTCTCAATTATTCATGCTGTAGAGGGCTTAAGGGGTCAACTGCAAATGAGTGAATAAATTAATAAATCAAAAAGCTTGGGTTCCCCTCTAAAATGAGATTATTGTAATGGATGAAGAGGCATGACTCAGTAGATGGTTGATTTGGGAATAACCACATCCAGTCTAGAAGGGAGCTGACCCTCAGAATTTCTAGCTATGGGATAGACAGACCTGCCTAACTAAGAGACAGTTTACTGATAGACTGTGGTAAATTCTGTATGGAGATATACAGACAACAGAAGGAGAACATAATTCCTGGTTCGGTGGGGAGGGGAGGGTGTGCTTGTGGTTCTCAGCCCTGGATGTGTTTCGGAATCACCTGGAGATAAACATATAGAACCTGGGCTCCATGCCTAAGATTCTGATTTTCAGTTCTGGGAGTATAACAGGGCCATCAGAATTCTCTTTTTTTTTTGAGACAGGGTTTCACTGTCGCCCAGGCTAGAGTGTAGTGGTGGCAATTATGGCTCATTGCAGCCTCGACCTCCTGGGCTCCAGGGATCCTCCCACCTCAGCCTATAACTGGGACTACAGGCATGCACCACCATATCTGGCTGATTTTAGTTTTTGTGGAGCTCGGATATCTCTGTGTTGCCCAGAAGGTGGCCATCAGAATTAACAAGCTTACCAGGTGATCAGGACCTGAAGCCAAGCACTAAACATAATAATAACAGCACATACTATAAACTGGACATCTTAGGTATTTTCTCTTATTCTCATAACCATCCCTAAATGCAATTTATATTATCCCCATTTTACAGGCAGGAACACTGAGGTTTAAGTAATTTGGCCAAGGTCACACAGCACAGCCCATATTTTAATTAAGCTCTCAGTCTAAAGGCCTAAGTTATTTTGCCATATCCCATACAGCAGGAGGTCAGCCTGGAAGAATCTTCCCAGAAATTTAAATTAAGATAATTAACTCAGATGTAAACTGTAAAATCTGTACATAATGGGTCAGACAAAGATATGCAAGCGGATTTAAAGAGACACAAAGGCTCCGAGCTAGTGAAAGTTCGACCTTAACCCTACGGCATCGATTAACATATCAAAAGGAAGAATGTGTCCTTTGGGGTGGGAGGGCGCTTGGGCCAGTTAGTCTGATACTTTGTGAGCTGAGGGAGGGTTCCTGGCCCTGGCAGCATTGTGATCTGGTATTAACTCTTTCCCGTGGCTTCTGGTTTCTCCTGACCTTCCTGGCTGTTCTGTTTCCTTCCGTTTCTCCACCTACCCCTTAAATGTGGATGTTCCTTGCATTCCACTCTCCCCGTATTCCCAGGATGACTGCATCCACTTCGGGGCACAGCTGCCTGTGCTAAGGACTTCCAGAGGCGTGCACTCCTGAGGTCCTGACTCAAGGCATCAAGGCAATCCAGGGGAGTGGGAGAGGTGTTCTCAGACAGGACTGGAGTTCACATCCTAGCTGGGCGTCTTACTGGCTATGGGTCTTAGAAGTTACCTATTATTGCTGGGTGTGGTGGCTCACGCTTGTAATCCCAGCACTTTGGGAGGCCGGGGCAGGCGGATCACGAGGTCAGGAGTTCGAGACCAGCCTGACCAACATGGTGAAACCCCGTCTCTACTAAAAATACAAAAATTAGCCAGGCGTGATGGTGGGTGTTTGTAATCCCAGCTACTCGGGATGCTGAGACAGGAGAATTGCTTGAACCCAGGAGGCGGAAGTTGCAGTGAGCTGAGATTGTGCCACTGCACGCCAGCCTGGGCAACAAAGAGCGAAACTCTGTCAAAAAAAAAAAAAAAAAAAAAAAAAAAAAGCAACGTGAAATAGAGAACATTTTCCCCAAATCTGTTCTTCCACTTGGATTCCTATCAGAGGAAATAGAAACACCTTCCATGAAATTGCCAGAACCAGAAATCCTAGAGTCATCCTGGACTATCCCTCCACTACCAACAAAGGGGTCACTGAGTTCCAGTGATTTCTGTCTCCTGCATTTCTTTTATTCTCACAAGCTGCCCTTGGAACTTCTCACTAGGTTCTTGCAAGAACCTCTTAACTGCTCTCTACTTACTGGTTCCCAAACCTTAATGCTTAGCACTCAGGGTGTGGTTCAGATGAAACCCTGTAACAGCCCTCTGCTCCCTTTAGGGGACAAGTCCAGGTCTCTTGCAGACTCCTGCCACCCTGCTGTCATGCACCCAACCTGCTGGGTCTGCTGGCAGTGCTGAACCACATAGGCCAGATGCTCTCTCCTCACCTAGTTAGTTCCCACTCAGGATGCAGCTCAAGCAGCAGTAAGCAGCATCGCTGTCTTCCCTGGAAGAAGACTGTGTGCATGTGCATGCACACACATACACACTCACACACACACACACTCACACACACACATTCACACACACTCACACACACACTCACACACAGACTCACACATTCACACATACACACAAACACATTCACACACAGACACACACATTCACACATGCACACACACACTCACACACATTCACACATACACACACAGACTCACACACATTCACACACACATTCACACACACAGACTCACACACATTCACACATACTCACACACACACACATACACACGCTGGAGGAAGTGCTCCTCTCCTGAAGCTTCTGTCTTTCCAACAAGACTGGGAAACCCTTAACCCCCCAATACCTCTTGGGCATCTCTGGGTGCCTGGTATGTGGCATGCTCTCAGCAGGAGGCTCTTCTAATAAGGTTTAACATTTACGGAGCTTTACTGTGGGTCAAGCTCAGTTCAAAACATCTTCACAACTCTGTGGGGTGGGTATACTTTATTCATCCATTCTACTAATATTTATTGATTACTTCCCTCTGGCTAGGCCCTGGTCCAGGCACTGGGGATATGGCAGGGTAAAGATGATGGACAGTGCTAGAGGTGGGGGGAAGAGTCCCTGTTTTATCTCAGAAGATCAGGAAAGGTGAAAATGGAGCAGAGACTGAGGGAAGTGAGGAAAGGAGCTATGTGGAGATCTAGGGAAAGAGTGGTCCAGGCAGAGGGAACAGCCAGCTCAAAGGGGACTATTTGATGGTTTCTTCCTCCATTTGATGGAGTCCAGGTAAGTTATCCAGAGTCACAGACTAAGTGGCAGAGCTAGGTTTCAAACCCAGGTTCTGTAACTCTTGACTCATACCTCTTGAACCATGCTTCTTTACCATGTTTTGTGGGACACAGTAGCTGCCTTAGCAAGTGGTTCCACGTTCACCACCTCCCCCTCTGATTGGAGTTTGGCCTCCTGTGTCAAGGACAGCATGGCTGATTGCCTGCCTTGGTATCCAGCTTCACTTGTTGCCTCTGCTTTTCTGCTTTGTGTATTCATTTCTGTGGTCTGTATTAGAGACAGTGAGATTGTGTGTACTCTTCAGGCAGCTTCAATAAAGCACACTTTTCCTTATGTAAAGCTGAGACCCAGACCCTGAAATAGTGTGACTTGGCCAAGGCAAATTCCCCTTTACTAGTCAGCAATTAGGGTAGCCTCTGTGGGCAACCTGTGTGTCTCACATCACACCTTCCTTCAAGCTCCTTCAAGAGCTTCCTTCAAGCCACCTCTGGGGCTCTTTGCAGAGGTGATATTTGAGTTGGCCTTGAAGGACATGGAGCATTTCAAGAGGTGGAGATTGGGGAAGGATTTTAGGCAGAAAGAAGTGTGTGAGCTGAGCAAAAGCATCAATGCTGGGCCACTCAGGGACCTGGAGAGTAGATGCCTGTGTGTTGGGGAAGCAAAGATAAGGCTGGACGGAGAATTTAGGTCATGTCATGGCAGCCTTTAAAAAAATTATTTTTGGCCAGGCGTGGTGGCTCATGCCTGTAATCCCAGCACTTTGGGAGGCCGAGGCGGGCAGATCACGAGGGCAAGAGATTGAGACCATCCTGGCCAACATGGTGAAACCCCGTCTCTACTAAAAATACAAAAATTAGCTGGGCATATGGTGGCACGCGCCTGTAGTCCCAGCTACTTGGGAGGCTGAGACAGGAGAATCGCTTGAACCCGGGAGGTGGAGGTTGTGGTAAGCCAAGATTGCGCCATGGCGCTCCAGCCTGGGCAACAGAGTAAGACTCCGTCTCAAAAAAAAATTATTTTTTTGAGACAGGATCTCACTCTTGTCACGCAGGCTGGCGGGCAGTAGCATGATCACAGCTCACTGCAACCTCAGCCTCCCAGGCTCAAGTAATCTTCCCACCTAAGCCTCCTCAGTAAATAGGACTATAGGTGCACACCACATTTAGGTAATTTTTAATTTTTTTGTAGAGACGGGGTCTTGCTAGGTTGTGCAGTCCGATCTCAAACTCCTGGCCTCAAGCGATCCTCCTGTCTTGGCCTTGCAAAGTGCTGGGATTACAGGTGTAAGCCACTGTGCCTAGTCTGGTTTTAAGGTTTTGGGGAGCAAAAGAAGCACATGTGCATTCCTGAAGTCTTTGAAAGACTGCTTGGGCAGCCAGGCGCAGTGGCTCATGCCTGTAATCCCAACACTTTGCGAGGCCGAGGCAGGTGGATCACCTGAGGTCAGGAGTTCAAGACCAGCCTGGTCAACATGGTGAAACCCTGTCTCTACTAAAAATATAAAAATTAGCCAGGGTGGTGGCACGCACCTGTAATCCCAGCTACTGGGGAGGCTGAGGCAGAAGAATCGCTTGAACCTGGGAGGCGGAGGTTGCAGTGAGCCGATATCGTGCCACTACACTCCAGCCTGGGCGACAAGAGTGAAACTCCAACTCAAAAGAAAAAAAGAAAGACTGCTTGGGCAGTTGTGGGGAGCACAGGTTAGAGATGGTAACTGGTGGAAGAGAGGCTATTGCAGGAGTCCAAGTATTAGATGGGAGCACCTGAGCACTGAGTGGAAGGACCAGATTCCAGAGACATTTTGGAAGTATTGATGACAGGTCCTGCTTACAGGTTGATGTGGAAACTGTAGGAGCAGGAGGAGCTGAGAAAGAATGATGTCAGCATTTTCAGCTTGGGTGACTCAGCAGATCACTGTGAACTGACACACAATACACAAGAGAAGGGACAGGGACAGGATTTGAGCATCTTGAGTTTGAGGTACCGGGTGTGACATCCAGGTGGGGATGTGGGCTGGGAGTTTGGGGTGGAGGGTAGAGCTGGAGCAATGTCAAAGCTGAGGCTGAAGGAATAGAGGAGGTGTATGAGCAGACAGGGACTTGGCTTATCTAGAGGGAGGCAATGAAGGAGCTGTGGAGGAGCAGTTCGGAAGGCTAACGTAAGCGAGGACTGTTAGTTGTTGTTGTTTTTGTTGTTGTTGTTTTTTGAGACAGAGTCTCACTCTGTCACCCAGGCTGGAGTGCAGTGGCGCTATCTCGGCTCACTGCAACCTCTGCCTCCTGGCTTCAAGCGATTCTCCCATCTCAGCCTCACGAGTAGCTGGGATTACAGGCGCCTGCCACCATGCCCAGCTAATTTTTGTATTTTTAGTAGAGATAAGGTTTCACCATGATGGCCAGGCTGGTCTCAAACTGCTGACCTTGTGATCTGCCTGCCTCACCCTCCCAAAGTGCTGGGATTACAGGTGTGAGACACCACGCTTTGTTGGCCATGCTGGTCTTGAACTCCTGACCTCAGATGATCCACCTACCTCAGCCTCCCAAAGTGCTGGGATTACAGGCGTGAGCCACCACGCTCGGCCACAAGGATTGTTTTGATGAAGGCATTGCTGGGATTGTTTGACAGGGCTCAGCATCCGATGTCCCCACATCTCATGGAGACAGCAGAGTTGACCTCCCCTGGATTGTTTGCTCAGAAACGAGGGTTGCTTCTGCTCAGCCTGTGCTTCTTTCCTTGGCCTTTGTGTGTGCTGTCCTCTTCCCCTGCACATGACCAGCTTCCCTCTGCTGAGGGGAAACTCCTGAAAGTGGAGATCCTGAGTTCTCCCCCATTATTCTCCAGGAAGCTTAGCCTAGAGCTGTGCCCTGTGAGGCACAGAACACTAGCAAGGGGATTGAATGACTGAACAGAATGGGTGGCAGTGGTGATCTTGGTCCCCTGCTTTGCTTGGACGTTGAGGCCAGCCTTTTAAGGAGAACATCTTGTTTGAAGGAATGGGTATAATTTGCTCTCTGAATCTTGAGTTGCTTCAAGCTTACACCATCCATCCCTCTGTCCATCCATCCACCATGTACCAGATTTTTGCCAATGTAAATATCTACTAAAAGTTAAGCACTTTCAACATGGAGGTTGGGGGTCTCCTTGCACTTTTCATGCCCTCTGAGGTAGATAGTACTCCCCTATTTTGCAGATGAGGAATCAGATAATTTCCCCCGGTCACACACAAGTGGTAGAGGTGGGATTCACACCCAGGTTTGTCAACTTCAAAGCCCCCGTGCTCTCAATCACTCGTGTTAGAGGCCTCCCTGGAGAGAAGATGACCATGTAATTTATTATCCAAATTGGAATCCTTTATAAAAAAGTTTTATTGAGTTATAAGTTACATACCATAGCATTCACCTATCGAAAGTACAATCTTTTTAGTTTTTAGCATGCTTACAGAGCTATGTAGCTACTACCATAATCTAATTTTAGAACATTTTCATCCTCCCCAAAATAGACACTTGGGACCCATTAGCAGTCACTCTCCATTATCACCACCACCCAGTCACTGGCAACCATGAATCTGCTTTCTGTCTCTATAGATTTGCCTGTTCTGGATGTTCCAAATAAGTGGAATCATATTAATATGTGGTCTTTTGTACGTGGCTTCTTTCACTTTTACCGTGATGGTTTCAGGACTCATCCGTGTTGTAGCATGCATCAATACTGCACTCCTTTTTATGGCTAAATGATATTCCACTGTATGCATATGCCATATTATTTCATTTATTCATATGTCCACAAATGTTGGGTTGTTTCCATTTTTTTTTTTTTTGAGACGGAGTCTCGCTCTGTTGCCCAGGTTGGAGTGCAGTGTCGCGATCTCAGCTCACTGCAACCTCTGCCTCCTAGGTTCAAGCGATTCTCCTGCCTCAGCCTCCCAAGCAGCTGGGACTACAGGCACGTGCCACCATGCCCAGCT
The DNA here is from genome assembly GCF_000001405.40 of Homo sapiens. Classification (NCBI taxonomy): domain Eukaryota; kingdom Metazoa; phylum Chordata; class Mammalia; order Primates; family Hominidae; genus Homo; species Homo sapiens. The sequence goes on along the minus strand of NC_000006.12, from coordinate 41,959,808 downwards.
AATTTTTGTATTTTTAGTAGAGATAGGATTTCACCATATTGACCAGGCTGATCTCCAGCTCCTGACCTCGTGGTCAGGCTCCCAAAGCGCTGGGACTACAGGTGTGAGCCACCGCGCCTGGCCTGATTTAGTCTTGCTGTGTCGCCAGGCTGGAGTGCAGTGGCGCAATCTCGGCTCACTGCAACCTCCGACTCCCTGGTTTAAGTGATTCTCCTGCCTCAGCCCCCATCCCGAGTAGCTGGGATTACAGGCACACACCACCACGCCCAGCTAATTTTTTGTATTTTTAGTAGAGACGGGGTTTCACCATGTTGGCCAGGATGGTCTCAATCTCCTGACCTTGTGATCTGCCCACCTTGGCCTCCCAAAGTGCTGGCCTGGCTCACAGGCGTGAGCCACTGCGCCTGGCCTGGGTTATTTCCATTTTTGGCCATTATGAATAATGATCCTCTGACATTTGTTTGTTTGGTTTTGTTTTGCTTTTTGTTTATTTTGAGATGGAGTTTTGCTCTTGTTGCCCAGGTTGGAGTGCAATGAGGCAATCTCGGCTCACCGCAACCTCCGCCTCCTGGTTTCGAGCCATTCTCCTGCCTCAGCCTCCCGAATAGCTGAGATTACAGGTATGCGCTATCACTCCCAGCTAATTTCGTATTTTTAGTAGAGATGGGGTTTCTCCATGTTGGTCAGGCTGGTCTCGAACTCCTGACCTCAGGTGATCCACCAGCCTCGGCCTCCCAAAATGCTGGGATTACAGGCGTGAGCCACCGTGCCCGGCCGATCCTCTGACATTTGTATACAAGTTTTTGTGTGGATGTACGTTTTTATTTTTCATGGTGTATACCTAGAAGTGGAATTGCTAGGTTAGGTGGTAACTCTATTGAACATTTTGAGGAACTGCAGAACTGTTTTCTGAAGTAGTGATACCATTTTACATTTTTACCAGCAGTGTGTGAATGTTCTAGTTTCTCCACATTGTGACTAACACTTGTTTCCGAACTGAGACGCTTCTGAGAGTGAAAGGGTGCACCATTAAGAAATATGCCAATAAGACTGACATTAACTGGAACATATTCTTACCCTACCTAGATACCAAAAAAATTAGAAGATTCAATTCCTGATTTCAGGGAACTTTCTGGCCACATGATGAGTCAAAGCCCCAAACCCACATACTTGAGTCAATTAAATAATCAAGTAAAGGTAAATTAGTAAGAAGGAAAGCAAAGCACATCTAAATTCCCCCAGGAGACTATATTCTCTTTAAGAGAAAAGAACTGTTTTATTTGTCTTTGTATTGTTTGTGGCCCCAGGTATATCTTGTGTTTGATAGGATCTCAATAAAGTTCTGTGGACCAAGTGAATGAATAATACAAATTCTACTGTACAGAATAGAATGACTCACCTAGCAGGGGTTTTCGAGTTTGGGGGAAGTATGGCTTTTTGCTAAAAATGTAAATATATATTTTTTGCTCCATGCTGTAACAACCCTAATGACAATTTAAAAATGAAAAAGTAGGCCAGGCATGGTGGCTCACACCTGTAATCCCAGCACTTCGGGAGGCCAAGGTGGGCGAATCACTTGGAGTCAGGAGTTCAAGACCAGCCTGGCCAACATGGTGAAAACCCGTCTCTACTAAAAATACAGAAATTAGCTGGGCATGGTGGCTTGCAACTGTAGTCCCAGCTACTCAGGAGGCTGAGGCAGGGAATCACTTGAACCCAGGAGGTGGAGGTTGCAGTGAGCTGAGATTGCATCACTGGTCTGTCTGTCTGGGTGACAGAGAGATTCTGTCTCAAAAAAAAAAAAAAAAGATAAAGATAAAGTAAGGTAAAGTTTGGTGGCTCATACCTGTAATCCCAGCACTTTGGGAAGCCGAGGTAGGAGGATTGCTTGAGGCCAGGAGTTCGAGACCAGCTTGGACAACATAGACCCCATCTCTGCAAAAAATTTTAAAAAACAAAAATAAATAGAAATGAAAAAGCAAATAACCTACAATGAGAGGAATCTGGAACTGTGAATGGCTGACAACAGGTTGGGAAAGACTATCCAAACAGGGGAATTGCCTGAGCAGAGAGGCAGGAATCAAAGCACACATCTTCATGCAGGGTACCTCTTCCAGCAGGTTAACCTTTGGAACTACAAAGATGTGGTGCCTACCCTCAGGAATTTCCATTTTTTTGGGAGAAAACAGGATTTATTCACAGGAAACAAGGAGAATACTTTACAACAACCATTAAGTGGATGCGTGCCCTTAAGCGACATTGATCCTTCTGGCCCTAAATTTCTGTGATCTTTCAATTCCACACCCTGCGAGCTTCATGGAACAGATGGGCCAGGAGCTAGGCCTTAAGGGAAGAGGCTGGATTTGGAGAAAGAAGCAGGATGCCAGCGGTGGGTGATAAGGCCCAGAGGTGGGCTGGAGTGCTAGGGCTGAGATAAAATTGGTTAGGGCTGCTGGGGCCTCTTCTTGAAGGCAATTTTGAAAACCAGGCTGGTTGTCTTTTAAATTTAACCTGATAAGCAGGTCCTTGGACTGAAGACGAAAGGAGTGTCTGTGAGAGATTAATCAGATGGCCTTGGGCCATTGATTTGGATCTATCTGGAAGCAATGTGAAGATGAGGCTCTCTGGGAGGCTTTTGCAACAGTAATATAGGCCCAGCCTTTCAACGGAGGATTTGAAAACCCCTAGGAAAACTCCTTCTGCCAGTTGTTTGTGTGGAGTTAACTTTTCCTTTAGTAACTTAAACCATTGTTTTTTGTTTGTTTGTTTGTTTGTTTTGAGACGGAGTCTCATTCTGTTGCCCAGGCTGGAGTGCAGTGGTGCGATCTTGGCTCACTGCAAGTTCCGCCTCCCGGGTTCATGCCATTCTCCTGCCTCAGCCTCCCCAGCAGCTGGGAATACAGGCGCCTGCCACCACGCCCGGCTAATTTTTTTTTGTATTTTTAGTAGAGGCGGGGTTTCACTGTGTTAGCCAGGATGGTCTCGATCTCCCCACCTCGTGATCCGCCCGCCTCAGCCTCCCAAAGTGCTGGGATTACAGGCTTGAGCCACCGCGCCTGGCCACCATTGTTTTATATTACAACAATTAGGGCTATCTTAAGGGCCAGAATCCAAGATGTATATAGGTTTCTAAGGCAGAATATTTAGACTTCAAATAAATTTCAGTTTTGCAGAGGGCAATCAGATTTAGATCATGCTATCAGATTCCTCAGAGAAATCCATTCTTCTTTGCTGTAAAGGGTTTAAAATCTGAGGACTAAAGAAAGATGGTGCCATACATAAACATGTGTAAGTTGCAAGCAGGGTGGGAATATGATGGCCTACCTTTAGAACGTTGAGGATCAGCCTTGCTTAGTACTAGGAAAGTTCTGGCCAGGTTGGTAATGGAGGCGGAGCCAGCACCTCATGGTCTTTCCCAGCCCTTTCTAAAGGCCCTAGTTCTGCCCACTGAACTGGCATGTTTGGCACTTTCCTGGTTTATGTTTATTTATTTATTTTATTTTATTTTATTTTTTTTGAGAAGGAGTCTCGCTCTGTCGCCCAGGCTGGGGTGCAGTGGCACAATCTTGGCTCACCGCAACCTCCACCTCCTGGGTTCAAGTGATTCTCCTGCCTCAACTTCCCAAGTAGCTAGGATTACAGGGGCCCACCACCACACCCGGCTAATTTTTGTATTTTTAGTAGAGACAGGGTTTCACCATGTTGGCCAGGCTGGTCTTGAACTCCTGACTTTGTGATCCACCCACCTCCGCCTTCCAAAATGCTGGGATTATAGGCGTGAGCCACCACGCCCGGCCCTACATTTAAATATATACATATTTAAAATTTTTATTCAATCAGCTTTCTCAAGTTGAATTTTTTATTTTCTTCTGAGATACGGTTTCGCTCTGCTGCCCAGGTGCAATCACACCTCACTGCAGCCTTGACCTCCTAGGCATAAGCAATTTTCCTGCCTCAGCCTCCCATGTAGCTGAGACTGCAGGCATGCACCACCATACCTGGCTAATTTTTAATTAATTAATTTTTTTTTGTAGAGACAGGGTCTTACTTTGTTGCCCAGGCTGGTTTCAAACTCCTGGCCTCGAGCAATCCTCCTGCCTCCTTAGTCTCCCAAAGTGCTGGGATTACAGTTTGGCTAATTTTTTTTTTTTTTTTTTGTAGAGATAGGGTCACCATGCCGGCTTGCCTGGTTTACTTTTAATGTGTCACCACTAAGATGTTTGCTGTGGGGTTTCAGTAGCTATCCTATGTAAGACTAGGGAAGTTCCCACTTATCCCTGCTTTGCCAAGAGTTTTTTCTTATGAATGGATGTTGACTTTTATCAAACACTTTTTTGGTATCTGTTGATGTAGTCATATGATTTTCCCTCTTTAATCTGTTAGTGTGATCAATTATATTGGTTTTTTTTCAAAATAATAAACTAACCATGCACTTTGGTATACAGTCAACTTAATCACAACATATTACCCTTTTTACATATTGGCTGGAATCAGTTTGCTAATATTTTGCTTAGGATTTTGCATCCATGTTCATAAGTGTAATTTTTTTTCACATATTGTTCTTGTTGGGTTTTGGAATCATTATATTAAAAATGATTTGAAGTGAACCTCTCTTTATATTCTCTGAAAGCGTTTGTGTAAGATTGAAATTACTTCTTTCTTGAATGTTTGGGAGAATGCTGCCTGTTTGCTATTGAAGGTTGCCCCATCAGGTGGGTGTTAGTAGAGAAAGTAGTGATAGTAAAGATATTTAACTTGAGGGGTAAACATAGCTTAAACAATAAGGAAAATTTTATATCTTTCACACATCACAAAAAGTCCAGAGGTAGGTGGTTCAGGATTGGTTAATTCAGCAGCTTAATAACATCATCAGGGAGGAAAATTCATTCCAGTCATTCTCAGGTGCCAGCTCCTTCTTTCATTATTGCAAGATGGCTGCAGCTGCTCCAGGCATCGCAGCACAGTGGTTAAGCATGTTGATTCTACATGCCAAACCTGGCTCCAAAGCCCATCACTGTAGGACAATTGAGTAAATTGCTTAACCTCTCTGTAAAATGGGATAATAATACTTTAATTCAGAAGTTTGATATTATGTGGATTAAATGAATGAGGCTAGGCACGATGGCTCAGGTCTGTAATCCTAGCACTTTGGGAGGTGGAAGCAGAAGGATCACTGGAGGCCAGGAGTTCAAGACCAGCCTGGGTAACACAGTAAAGCCCCCTCCATCTCTAAACAAAATTTTTTTTTTTTTTTTTTGAGACAGAGTCTTGCTCTGTCACCCAGGCTGGAGTGCAATGGCGCTATTCTCCGCTCACCGCAACCTCCGCCTCCAGGGTTCAAGTAATTCTCCTGCCTCAGCCTCCCGAGTGGCTGGGATTACAGGCGCACGCCACAACACCCGGCTAAATTTTTGTATTTTTAGTAGAGATGGGGTTTCACCATGTTGGCCAGGCTGGTCTGAACTCCTGACCTCGTGATTCGCCTGCCTCAGCCTCCCAAAGTGCTGGGATTACAGGTATGAGCCACCACACCTTTTTTTTTTTTTTTTTTTTTTTTTAAGGCAGAATCTTGCTCTGTACCCCAGGCTGGAGTGCAGCGGTGCAATCTCAGCTTACCACAACCTCCGCCTCCCAGGTTCAAGTGATTCTCCTGCCTCAGCCTCTGGAGTAGCTGGGACTATAGGTGCACACCACCACACTGGGCTAATTTTTGTATTTTTAGTGGAGATGGGGTTTTGCCATGTTGGCCAGGCTGGTCTCAAACTCCTGGCCTCAAGTGATCCACCAGCCTTGGCCTCCCAAAGTGCTGGGATTAAAGGCGTGAGCCACTGCCCCCGGCCACCAAAAATTTTTTTTAAATGAGATTTATTTTTTTTTCAAACTCTTAAAGTAGTGCCTGGCACATAGTAAGTATTCAGTAATGTGCCATGTCTTCCTCCATTCTCACACAAAGCAGGAAAGAAGCTGTTTTCCTCCCGTGCCCCACTGATGGAAGTCCCTTAGCAGACCCACCTCCACATTTGATTGGTCAGAATTACAGCAAGTGCCCATTCCTAAACCACTTGTGGAATTACCGTGATTTGGTTTGGAGTAACTTGGATTCAACCTCCAAGACCAGGGAGTCCCTGACCTCCCCTGAAACACAAGACCACCGGATAGCTCAACAAAACCTGGGTTCTGTTCACAACAGAGAGGCTGGAGTGGTGAAGGTGGGAGTGGTCTGTTGGGTCACACAAGGAAGGGCAAAATGGGAATCCCCATTCTTACTGGTTCTCCATGAGATTCCTTGGGCACTGAAATAATTACCCCTTGGATTTACCTACTACTGCAGTTTACTTAGTGCTTTTTAACTCATGCATTATCTCATCCAGTCCTAGAGCCACCCTCTAAGTAGTCTTGTTATCCCCCTTTGACAGGCTGAGAAAAGCTCCCAGAGTCAAGGCACTTGCCCAGTTGTGTATATATAGTTGGGACAGAGCCAGGTCCTGGGACTCAAGTCGAAGTCTTCAGACTCAATGTTTTGCACCTTTTTTTTTTTTTTTGTGAGAGGGAGTCTCACTCTGTCACCCAGGCTGGAGTGCAGTGGCGCGATCTCGGCTCACTGCAACCTCCGCCTCCTGGGTTCAAGCAATTCTCCTGCCTCAGCCTCCCAAGTAGCTGGGATTACAGCCATCACGCCCGGCGAATTTTTGTATTTTTAGTAGAGACAGGGTTTCACCATATCGGCCAGGCTGGTCTTAAACTCCCGACCTCAGGTGATCTGCCTGGCTCGGCCTCCCAAAGTGCTGGGATTACAGGCATAAGCCACTGCACCCCCTGTTTTGCAGTTTTATTTGTCTTCCATCAATTCCCAATGCCTGTCATTGGCCACCCTGACAACTGCCACATCCTTGTGCCCCTTCTGCTATTGTCTATGTAATATTATATTAACAATTATTCATTAAGAAGAAACTTGATGAAATCCCACGTTTCATGTCACACACACACACACACACACTCACACTCACTACTTTAAAATGAGCACAGTGTATTTATTTGGGCTTAGAGCGTGGGCTCTGGCATTTGATTGCCTTGGTTGGAGTCCCAGCTCTGCCACTGTAGCACATGCAGTTGGTCTCCACCCAGGTGTCCATGGCACTTACCATTCGAGAGTGCACCAGCCTCACTTCCAAGTGCTGACACTGTCACTTTGCTTGAGGGCTTCTTCTGACTATCAGAGTCCATCGCGCCCTCCCACAAAAAGGCTGGAAGTACTGGGGAATTAATTCCACTCCTCCTCCATCCCCAAGCAGCCCTCATACAATGGCTGTTGGGAATTGGTAGACAAGTCTCCCTGCTCCCTCACGCCTCAGGTACAATAGCTGTCAAGCACGCACTTTTGATTGTCTCCCAGTTCCAAGGCAGGATTGAGCTCCATTTGTCCACCATGGTTAACAATAACGCAGTCTTCACTGGCCTCTGTCCCTTCCCTGCTCATTTCTCCACCCGCTTTAGCTGCTTCATGGAATCGCCTCTCAGGTAAATTATTTCACTTGAATCCTTGTCTCAAGGTCTGCTTCTGGGAAGCCCAAATTGAGACAGACTTTTGCTAGCTGTATGGCTGGCACTGGGTGTTGCCTAATCCCTTTGTATCTCTCTTTTTCCTATCTGTAATGGAAGGAGAATAATAGCACCTCTACCTCACAGTACAGGTGTGGTACAGCTCTCAGTGCCTGGCTAGGAGAAAGCACTTAACAAGTGGGATCTAGGCTGGGCGTGGTGGCTCATGCCTGTAATCCCAGCACGTTGGGAGGCCGAGGCGGGTGGATCACCTGAGGTCAGGAGTTCAAGACCAGCCTGGCCAACATGGTGAAACCGCGTCTCTACTAAAAATACAAAAAAAACTAGCTGAGTGTGGTGGCGAGCACCTGTAATCCCCGCTACTTAGGAGGCTGAGGCAGGAGAATTGCTAGAACCCGGGAGGCAGAGGTTGCAGTGAGCTGAGATCACACCACTGCACTCCAGCCTGGGCGACAGAGCGAGACTCTGTCTCAGAAAATAAAAAAAATAAAAAATAAGTGGGATCTATTATTATTACTACCTAATAGTATTATTACTATTATTGCTCTGGTGTGCTATCAGGGGTGTTGTGCCACACTGGGGACATACTACTCCTGACCCCCCACCTAAACTTTCTTTGGATGCCCTCTTCTTCCTGCTTCTCTCTTCTTACTCCCACTTAATCTTTTTTTTTGTGTGTGTGTGTGTGTGTGTGTGTGTGTGTGTGTCGCTCAGGCTGGAGTGCAGTGACATGATCTCAGCTCACTGCAAGCTCTGCCTCCCGGGTTCACGCCATTCTCCTGCCTCAGCCTCCCGAGTAGCTGAGTAGCTGGGACTACAGGCGCCTGCTACCATGCCCGGCTAATTTTTTGTATATTTAGTACAGACGGGGTTTCACCATATTGGCCAGGTTGGTCTCGATCTCTTGACTTCGGATCCACCCACCTTGGCCTCCCAAAGTGCTGGGATTACAGGCGTGAGCCACCGCGCCTGGCCTACTCCCACTTAATCTCTAAACTCCTGCAATCCCATTTCTTTCACCATGGCTGTTTCATGGAATTCAGGTGATCAGAACCACCAATCTCCACCAGTCCCAGGACAGCCCACCCTTCCTGTCACACAAACCACCCTGCCTACTTCTGATGGGTGTTGCAAATGCCGAGGTAAAAGTCTTCTGTCTTCATGACATCTTAGGATTCCTGCATCATGGAGGATCATCATATCATGCACTTTAGACTGGAAGCTTAAAAGGGTGGCTTCTCGGCCCAGCGCAGTGGCTCACGCCTGTAATCCCAGCACTTTGGGAGGCCGAGGCGGGCGGATCACGAGGTCAGGAGATCAAGACCATCCTGGCTAACACGGTGAAACCCCAACTCTACTAAAAATACAAAAAATTAGCTGGGCGTGGTGGGGGGCGCCTGTAGTCCCAGCTACTCGGGAGGCTGTGGCAGGAGAATGGCGTGAACCTGGGAGGCGGAGCTTGCCGTGAGCTGAGATCGCGCCACTGCACTCCAGCCTGGGTGACAGAGAGAGACTCCATCTCAAAAAAAAAAAAAGAAAAAAAAAAGGGAGTCTTCTCATCTCTGACCCATGTCCAGCATGTCCCAGGGCTTCCGAAGGCCTGCCTGATGTATGGAAGGCACATGATAAGGCACCTGATTGTTAATGACCACAGCTATCTTTATTGACCACCTACTATGAGCCTGGGACAGCTAAAGTACTTTTCCCTTATTAATCCCCTCATTCACCATATGAAATAGGAGTTGTTACCATCCTCCTTTTGCAAATGAGAAGGCTGGGACGGAAAAGTTAAGTAAACTGCCCAGGATCACACAATCACACAGCTGGCAAATAGCAGAGCTGGGCATCAACCTAAATCCAGAGCTCACTTACTTAATGACTAAGCCAAACTAATGCCAGTGCTATCTCCTGCCTAGAATGAGGAATGCTTGCCAGCCAAGAACCGAAGACAGCTCTCTTTTTGCAGGTATATTGCTGTAGCAGGTTACCCTTCCACACCTGAGGCCCTGTGTGCACCTCAGTCTTACCTGTGGAACAGGAATCTCAAGCAGAATGACAGAACAGGAAAGCCTCATTTATTCAGAACCCAGACAGCCAGAAAAAGGAAGAAAAAGCAAATGCTTAAATATATAGGTTGTATTCTTTTTTTTTTTTTTTTAATCTTGCTCTGTTGTCCAGGCTGGAGTGCAGTGGCGTGATCTTGGCTCACTGCAAGCTTCCCGGGTTCACGCCATTCTCCTACCTCAGCCTCCCGAGTAGCTGGGACTACAGGCACCCGCCACCACACCTGGCTATTTTTTTTTTTTTTTGATATTTTTAGTAAAGACAGGGTTTCATCGTGTTAGCCAGGATGGTCTCAACCTCCTGACCTTGTGATCCGCCCGCCTCGGCCTCCCAAAGTGCTGGGATTACAGGCTTGAGCCACCACACCCGGCCCTGTAGGTTGTATTCTTATTTTATGAGGAGAGACTTGACAGTTTCAGGCTAGTACCTGAGGTTTCTTTTCCCAAGCAGCTTATAAGCTAGAAATTGCAAACTGCTTTTTGTCCCTCAGACCTGGTATATAGGCATATTATGTGTGGCTTGCACGGTTTTGTTACTGTTTTTCAACTCAAGTAATATAGATATTTTAGGAAATTTCTTTTTTTTTTGTTTTGAGACGGAGTCTCGCTCTGTCGCCGCCTCCCAAAGTGCTGGGATTACAGGTGTGAGCCACTGCGCCTGGCGGAAATTTCTTTTCTTTTGAGACACAGTTTCATTCTGTCCCCCGGGCTGGAGTGCAGTGGCACGATCTCGGCTCACTGCAACCTCTGCCTCCTGGGTTAAAGCGATTCTTCTACCTCAGCCTCTTGAGTAGCTGGGATTACAGGCGTGCGTCACCATGCCTAGCTAATTTTTGTATTTTCAGTAGAGATGGGGTTCCACTATGTTGGCCAGGCTGGTCTTGAACGCCTGGCCTCGCTGGTCTTGAACGACTGGCCTCAAGTGATCCACTCACCTCAGCCTCCCAAAGTGCTGCGATTACAGGCATGAGCCACCACACCCAGCCTTTTTCTTTTCTTTTGTAGTAATGGGGTCTTGCTGTGCTGCCTAGGCTGGTCTTGAACCCCTGGCCTCAGTGATCCTCCCAACTTAGCCTCTCAAAGTGCAGGGATTGCAGGCGTGAGCCATCATGCCCGATCTAAGAAATATTATCTTGGGGAAACAGGGAATCTATGGCCACACTCATTACTATGGTGTAGCAAAAGTCTGAAGCTAAGCAGTACTTTTTGAGCTTTGGATGGGACATGTGCTATCTACTGTGTCTGGCCCCAACAGCTCCCTTAACCCCATGTGAGTTGCCATTTATCATGTGGTGTATGCTGGTGTTTTTCTTTTTTCTTTTTTTCTTTTTTTTTTTTTTGAGATGGAGTCTCGTTCTGTAGTCCAGGCTGGAGTGCAGTGGCACGATCTCAGCTCACTGCAACCTCCGCTTCCCGGGTCCCGGTTCAAGCAATTCTCTTGCCTTAGCCTACTGAGTAGCTGGGATTACAGGCACGCGCCACCATGCCCAGCTAATTTTTTTGTATTTTTTACTAGAGACGGGGTTTCACCATGTTGGCCAGGCTGGTCTTGAACTCCTGACCTAGTGATCTGCCTGCCTCGGCCTCCCAAAGTGCTGGGATTACAGGCGTGAGCCACCGCGCCCAGCCTGGTGTTTTTCTTATATCCAGTTTGTTTTATTCATTAACTCAAAAAAGATTTATTGAGCCAGACGTGGTAGTGCACGCCTATAGTCCCAGCTACTTGGGAAGCTGAGGTGGGAAGACCACTTGAGCCTGGGAGATAGAGGCTGCAGTGAGTCGTTATCATGCCACTGCTTCCAGCCTGGGTGACAGAGTGAGACCCTGTCTCAAAAAAAAAAACAAAAAAAAACAAAAAACTTACTGAACATCTACTATGAACTGGATACCATCCTGTTTTGGTGGTGTGGTGTGGGAGTAGACAAGCTGTAAACAGAATATGCAAGCAAAGTATATGCTATACTAGTGATCAGTGGTAAGCAGAAAAATAAAGCAGGGAAAGAGCATAAGAAGTGTCAGGGCTGGGGAGCTGGCATTAAAAATTTAGGTAGGATGGCCAGGAAAGGCTGTAAGAGGAATGCAACTTTTGGACTTCCTGAAGGAAGTGAGGGAGTGGGCCATGTGGATATCCGGAGGCAGAACATTCCAGGCAGATGGAACAGCACGTGCAAAGAGAACATGTCTGCCCGGTGTGTTCCATGAACCGTGTGGCCAGAGCACAGTGAGGGAGAGTAGTGGGAAATGGGGTGGGAGTATAGATGCTGCAGGGTCTTTGGCAGTCACTCCAAATGAAATGGGGAGCCTCTGAGAGTGATGGGTTGAGACTAGACTGGAGGGCCAAGGGTGGGTCAGGGAGACCCGGCAGGAGGCTACCACTGTAATCCAGGTAAGAGATGATGCAACTCGGACCGGGGGGTAGAAGTGGAAATCGAGAAAAGAAGGGGATTGGAGATGTATTTTTGACGTAGAATCAACCAGAAGTGGGTCGCAGGTTGGATGTGGGGGACCAGTAAGGTCAAGGAAGAACTGAGTTTGGACAGAGGAAGTAACAGAGGAGGAAAAAAAGAGTAGATTTTGGAAATATTTTGAAATTATTAATAGCTCCTCTGTGATCTGCTGATCAGAGTGTGGGGATTGTGTGGGATTTGAGAAAGAGGAGTCAGGAATGACACCAAGTGTTTGGCCTGAGCCATTGGAAGGATGGAGTTGCCATTTTCTGAGATAAGCCTGTAGGAAGAGCGGGTTTTTTGGGGAAAGATTAGGATATCAGTTTTGGAGAAATTGAGTTTAACTGGCCTATCGGACATCCTTGTGGTGTTGCCAAGAAGGCAGCCTCCAGTATAAAATGGAAACTAAAAACAGGTCAGTTCACACCAACTCTGATTTGGTAGTGCTGCCTAAAGTGCTGTGTTGGGATTTTAAATGCCCATCCAGGCTGTTTCTTTTCTTTTCTTTTTTTTTTTTTGAGACGGAGTCTTGCTCTGTTGCCCAGGCTGGAGTGCAGTGGCGCGATCTCAGCTCACTGCAACCTCTACCTGGTGGGTTCAAGCGATTCTCCTTCCTCAGCCTCCTGAGTAGCTGGGATTACAGGCATGCGCCACCATGCCCAGCTAATTTTTTTTGTATTTTTAGTAGAGATGGGGTTTCACCATGTTGGTTAGGCTGGTCTCGATCTCCTGACCTCGTGATCTGCCCGCCTCGGCCTCCCAAAGTGCTGGGATTACAGGTGTGAGCCACTGCACCCAGCCAATTTTTGTATTTTTAGTAAAGATGGGGTTTTGCCATGTTGGCCAGGCTGGTCTTGAACTCCTGACTTCAGGTGATCCGCCCACCTCGGCCTCCCAAAGTGCTGGGATTACAGGTGTGAGCCACCGCGCCCAGCCGAAGAGTGCTCAATTTTTACTGATAGGAATGGACAAGCAAAGAGTTTTAAAGATTAATGTGAAATATTGTACAAATATTACAGATGCTCATAATAGTGACCTGGAATACTGTAAGCACCGAGATAGCTCCTTGATTCTCAAAGAAAAAAGCTAAATTATATGTAGTTTGGTTTACTGCTTTTTTTTTTTTTTTTTTTTTTTTTTTTTGAGACAGGTCTCTGTTGCCCAGGGTGGAGTGCAGTAGTGCGATCTGGGCTCACTGCAATCTCCATCTCCCAGGCTCAAACAATTCTCCTGCCTCAGCCTCCTGAGTAGCTGGGACTACAGGCGTGCGCCACTGCGTTCGGCTAATTTTTATATTTTTTTTTTGGTAGAGATGGGGTTTTACTGTGTTGGCCAGGCGGTCTCAAACTCCTGGCCTCAAGTGATCTGCCTGCCCCTGCCTCCCAACGTGCTAGGATTACAGGTGTGAGCCACCGTGCCCGGCCAACTTTGTGCTTTTAAGTCCCGCAATCACAACTAACTTTTTAAAAAAGGGTTCACCACGTGCCAGCCACTCTTCTATGTATTTTAAACAAATCAACCCATTTCCTCCTCACAACCACTCTGTGGGGGGGTACTACTGTTATCACCATTTTTAGAAAAGGAAACTGAGGCACAGAGAGGTGGTTTAACTTAGCCAAATTCACACAGTGAGGGAGTGGAGTGGCAGAGGGGTGTGGCTCCAGGCCCTGGAGGGTCCTCTCCATACGCTAGACCATGCGTTTACCGTTAGAAGCCAGGTCTTCAGGATTTGCTAGAGATGCAATTCTAGGAGTAGGGCTCTTGCTGCTCAAACTTTTGCTTTTCTTAGAGGGGTTATGGATGCATGTTCATAACAGAAAGGGTACTCCTTGAGAAAGGGAATAATAATAATCATTTCAGAAACTACTATCTCTGAATGCTTGCTTTGTGCCAGGCACAGGTAAGACATTTTCTGCTTGTTTAATTTTCAGAACATCATTATAGGGCTATTATATTATCCCCACTGGATAAAAGAGGAAGCAGAGAGGTTCCAGTAATTCTCTCAAAGTCATAAGCTGTGGAGCCAGGTTTGAACTGAAAGCAGTCTCTGACTCCAGAACCCTGTTTAGCACCCCTGTTCTCAGCCCCATGGCTCGCTTGGCTCTCCCCAGCATCTCAATGGGTCTGAAGGTAACTAAGCCATGGCATGTGGACTGTGGGGTGATGGGCCTCACCCATCACCTTGTTCAGCCTCTCACTTCTCAGATGCGGACTTTTTTTTTTGGAGACAGAGTTTCGCTCTTGTTGCCCTGGCTAGAGTGCAATGGCACGATCTCGGCTCACTGCAGCCTCTGGCTCCAGGGTTCAAGTGATTCTCCTGCTCAGCCTCCGGAGTAGCTGGGATTACAGGCATCCACCACCACACCTGGCTAATTTTTTGTATTTTTAGTAGAGACAAGGTTTTACCATGTTGGCCAGGCTGGTCTCGAACTCCTGACTTCAGGTGATCCACCCGTCTTGGCATCCCAAAGTGCTGGGATTACAGGCGTGAGCCACCGTGCCTGGCCCAGATGGGGGTATTTTGATGATGAAGAGGAAGAGAAAGAAAATGTATCTTTCCTCCTTGGGGTTTCTTATTTGGCCTGTGACATTCCATTCCCACCCCTCCTCCAATTTGCCATTTTATTGACTTTTTCTAACTGGATGTACCTGGGTAGAAACTCCTCATACTATTGGCCCTGGTCATTGCTTTGTCTTTAGTTTTCCTTTTAGAAAAACAAAAACAAAAACAAGAAAAACAAGAGGAGCCTCTATTTCTTTGAGGTGGAGGTAACTGGTGAACTTGTGCTGGTCCTGCATTGAGCTCACCTGCCTCCCCAGTGGCCAGTCCTTGGCCCTGAAAGTCAGGGATGATCTAGCTCTAGGCATGGCTATTCCATCCAGGGGTGAGGCAGAAGTATCTCTCCTAAAGTCCTGCTCACCAGGAGCTCCCGTCCCCATACTACAGGTTCACATCCAGCTTTCAGGACTAGTCAGTCTATGTGGCCCTCCCTCAATTAATAAATCAGCAACTAATTTGCCAGGTGCGGTGGTTTGTGCCTGTAATCCCAGCACTTTAGGAAGCTGAGGCAGGCAGATCACTTGAGGTCAGGAGTTCGAGACCAGCCTGGCCAACATGGTGAAATCCCGTATCTACTGAAAATACAAAAATTAGCCGGGCATGGTGGTATGCACCCGTAATCCCAGCTACTCAGGAAGCTGAGGCAGGAGAATCACTTGAAACCAGGAGGCAGAGGTTGCAGTAAGCTGCACTCCAGCCTGGTGACAAGAGCAAAACTTTGTGTCAAAAAAACAAAGAAAACCAAAAAACAAAGAAAAACACAAAAAACCCTTCTATTTGTTAAAAAAAAAAAAATCCACCGTGAACCAAAAATTAGTAAAAACAATGAACTAAAATTTTGTTTTTGCAAAATGTATGATAACAAAATGTTAAGGAAGGTCATGTGCCGTTATGGTTCACTGCAGCCTTGAACTCCTGGGCTCAAGCGATCCTCCTGCTTCGGTCTCCCTAGTAGCTGGGACTACAGGCTTGTGCCACCGCACCCAGCTTATTTTTTTTTTTTATTTTTTGTAGAGATAGGAGTCTTGCTTTGTTGTCCAGGCTGGTCTTCAACTCCTAGCTTCCAGTGATCCTCCTGCCTCAGCCTCCCAAAGTGCTGGGCTGATGGGACATTTTTATACATAGTGCCATGTTACTATAAATGAGAAGTTTTAAAAATACTGATTTTAAAAATTAATTTATGTCAAGAATTTTTATAACCAAAGTTAAAAAACCAAACAAAAAATATGAAAAGGGTTAATATCTTTGAGAGGTGATGAGAACTTATAAGTCAATAAGAGAAAACAAACATCCCTATAAATGAATAAGCTAAGGACATGAATGGGTAATGTACATAAGAAATGTAAATGTCTAGTAATATGCCAAAATAGATTTATTATTACTAATAAGCCACTTTCACTCTCTAGTTGGCAGAGTTGTTTTGAAAAATAGATATGTAATGATGGTGGAAAAGATTGGTTTAACTATTCAGCAGGAAAATTTGGCAATTAGAAGTGTATCAAAAGCCTTAGAATGTTTCATAACCTTAGATTGGGAAATTCCACTTCTAGAAATTAATTCACTTCTAGAAATAATCATGAGTGTGCACAAAGATATTACCACAAAAATATTTTACAGTATTATGTCTAATAGAGAAGAACTAGAAATAATTTAAATTTCCACCAATACAGGTTTGCCAAAATACATTTTGTACATTCACCTAATGGTATATTATGTCCCTATTACAAATTATGTCCTAGAATATTTAATAGCATGGAAAAGTGTTAACAGTATTTTTTTAATGAAAAAAGCTTACAAAACAGTTTGTGATGATTCCATTTAAAATGTGTGTTTATTCATAGAACAAAGATTAGAAAAATAAACATTGATATATTAAAGGGTTATTTCATGGCAAATTGCAAATGATTATTTCCTTTTTTTGTGGCTTATTTGTATTTTTGAAGTTTTCTACAATGTAAAAGAATATTTTATGATATGAAAACTACAATACAATTTATAATATAAGAAAGAATAATTCGGCCGGGAACGGTGGCTCACGCCTGTAATCCCAGCACTTTTGGAGGCCGAGACCGGCGGATCACGAGGTCAGGGGTTCAAGACTAGCCTGGCCAACATAGTGAAACCCCATCTCTACGAAAAATACAAAAATTAGTCAGGCATGGTGGTGCGTGCCTGTAGTCCCAGCTACTCGGGAATTGCTTGAACCCGGGAGGTGGAGGTTGCAGTGAGCCCAGATCGCACCACTGCACTCCAGCTTGAGCAACAGAGTGAGACTTCGTCTCAAAAAAAAAAAAAAAAAAAAAAAAGAATAATTAACAGAAAATGGTTAGACACTTCCTTAGTGTCTCCTAAGTCAGGAGGACCCCAGTAGGGCAGGGATCCTCATGGCCTCCTCCCATTTGGAGCATTATTGGAGGTCTTTTTCGGCCTCTTCGTCAAGTGGAATCTAGCTTCCGGTAAAACTACAAAGTAACCAAAAGTTTGGGAGGTGGAAGAAATGCAACCGGTAGATCTCACAGAGTCTGTGCAAGAAACTGATTCAATGAGAATCTAGTTTCTCCGTCCACAGTTTCTCCAAACAGAAACTAAGGCCGACTTTAGGGGCTTGTCCAAACCTAGGCAAGCAACTTAACAAGGTGAGGCCATGACTCCATGGCCTTTCCGTTCTGTTATATGCTGACTTAGACTAAAGCTCTCATACTTTAAAGTGCACAGAAATCTAGTTAAAATGCAGATTCTGATTCAGGTTAGGGGTGGGCCTGAGAGTCTGCATTTCTAACCAGCTCCCAGGCGATGACCACGCACGGGACAGGTCTGGGATCACAGTTTAACTAGCAATGGTGTAGAACACAGAATCTGCAGCAAGAAGGCCAGCTTCCCAATCCTAGCTCTGCCACGGACCAACTGAATGACAGTTGCCTCGGTTTCCGAGTTTTCGTGAAGATGTAGTGAGTCATTACATCGTGAGGCTTTCGAGCAGCGTTCACTAAGAACTAGCTCTGACATTATTTATCGCATTCCTTAGAGCAAGCAGCCGGTGAAGTAGGGTTTGACGAATGAATAAGTGAATGAATGACCTTTGGAGAAAAATTGTTTCCTGGGTGACTAGAGTCCGAGAAGCAAAATGGGAGGGCCCGTGGGTGGGTAGGAGGCCCACCTCCTAGAAAGTTCTCTGCACCCGGTGGTCCAGAGGGCCTGGAGTGCCCGGAAGCCGGCCGGCTTGCGCTCAGCGGCCCAATGGGGCCGCGGGAGGGAGGGGAGAGCGCTCAGCCAACCCTTTCCGTCCGGGGCGCCGCAGCCCCGCCCCTCGGAGCGTTGCGACGTCCGAGCATTCCACGGTTGCTACATCGTCGCGAGGGGCGGGGCGCCTGTCAGGGAAGCGGCGCGCGCGCGCGGGCGGCGGGCGGGCTGGGGATCCGCCGCGCAGTGCCAGCGCCAGCGCCAGACCCGCGCCCCGCGCTCTCCGGCCCGTCGCCTGCCTTGGGACTCGCGAGCCCGCACTCCCGCCCTGCCTGTTCGCTGCCCGAGTATGGAGCTGCTGTGTTGCGAAGGCACCCGGCACGCGCCCCGGGCCGGGCCGGACCCGCGGCTGCTGGGGGACCAGCGTGTCCTGCAGAGCCTGCTCCGCCTGGAGGAGCGCTACGTACCCCGCGCCTCCTACTTCCAGTGCGTGCAGCGGGAGATCAAGCCGCACATGCGGAAGATGCTGGCTTACTGGATGCTGGAGGTACCGCCCGGACGCGTCCCCCTCCCCCACCGCTCCCGGGTCTGGACACACCGGGGCCGCCCTGTCGGGACATCCCGGTCCCCACAGCAATCTGCAGGATGCTCCGAGGCTAAGACTCCCGGGGCCTGGCCTTTCACTAGGGCACCCACGCCAGCTGCCTCCCTTGCTTTCCCGAGCCCTAATCGGCTCCTCCCGACAGTGACTGCCAGTCACTTGGCACCCTAACTGTGCCTCTCTTCGGGCCGAGCAAACGGGACCAAGGACACTCTCTCCCCTTCGGCTTCTCACAGCGTCTCCCGCTTCCCTCCGCCTCCCGGCCTTCTCCGGAGAGCGCGCCTGGAAAACCCTGGGCTCGGCCGCCCCCGCCCGGGAGCCGGTTCCTGTGTCTTTCGCGGGGTTCTGGCGGGGAAGGCGATGGGGGTGGCGCGCGCCCTGTTCCGGCCGACAGGGAAATGAAAAGTGCAGGAGGCAGCGGCAGGAGCCTCCTCCCTTCCCCTCGGGTGTGTGCAGTGGTGGCGGTGATGGGGGTGAGGTCCCAGCTCTCTGGCTACCATGGGTGACCCTTGCGTCCCACTTCCCCTCGCTGTGGGGGAGGGGAGTCTCCGTTTGGAATCCTCCGTGAGCAAGGGCTCCTTGGCTTTACCACTCCCCCGTCAAGGGGAGAGGGGAGGAGGCCGCGCAGAGGAAGTGGGGGGCGTCACCTTGGGGAGGGCGCATCCTCCTCCTTTATTGGTCCTTGTCTCTCTAAGTAGCTTACCCTCTCTGCCGTTTTTGCTCCCTATCCCACCTCACTTCAGCGCTCCCACCCCCCCGCTGCTGTGTTCCCCACGCTCCAGACCCAGCAGTGACTGTGCGCCCTCCCCCAGGTATGTGAGGAGCAGCGCTGTGAGGAGGAAGTCTTCCCCCTGGCCATGAACTACCTGGATCGCTACCTGTCTTGCGTCCCCACCCGAAAGGCGCAGTTGCAGCTCCTGGGTGCGGTCTGCATGCTGCTGGCCTCCAAGCTGCGCGAGACCACGCCCCTGACCATCGAAAAACTGTGCATCTACACCGACCACGCTGTCTCTCCCCGCCAGTTGCGGGTGCGTGTGTAACTCCCCCCACCCCCGACACGTATTGTCTCCCCACTTTCCAGGAAAAGGAAAGCTTGAGATATCAGAGGCTTTCTGCCCCCTGGAGAGGAAGCAAGGGGATCAGGACCTTTGGGAAAGGAATTGGGGTGGAACAAACGATGGGGCATTGTGGTGTGATGGTTAGTATCACTCCCGCCCAGGCTTGAGCTGCAGGCAGGCATTAAACCCCCTCCTCCTGACCTCCAGGGGATGCCACTCCTTCCTGGTCTTTCCCCCAGATAGCAACAAGTCAAATTGCATGTCTACACTCACTAGTACTTTGCCTCTGGGTTTACGCAGCCACCATGAGTTATTTATTGGCAGCAGAAGGGCATGCCTGCACACCCCCACTGGAGTAGGGGAGTGGAATGTGCTTCATGTGGGGGAGGGGGTTTTGCCTTGGTTGAGTCTTTATCCTCATGTGGACTTTGTGATAGAAAAGCCTCCCAGAGCCAATTAAAGCCAGGCCCTGATTGCTTTAAGGAAGGGCTGATGTATTTCATCCCACCTTCTTTGCTTCCTCTTATATCCCGGAAGAAACAGCTTCTTCCTAATCCTTCCTCGTCCTCATTCTGAGGAACTGGAGCAGCTGCTTTGGGCCTGGTGGAAACAGCTCCCTCTTCCCCCCTTAGCCCAAGGCCCAAGCTGAGGGACAGACAGGGAGGTGAGCTGCATCTGCTTCCGATGTGATAATGGTGCCCCCTCCCCTGGCCCGCCCTCTCTGACCAAGGTCTTTCATAACCCTGTGGGGAGCTGCTGTCACTCCTGTGGTTTGGGAAGTGGCTCCCTGGGCCTCTTGCTGGAAACTTGGGCTGGGCTCAGGCCGGGCAGGAAAGTCACCGGTTCTGTCCCGCCTCAGAAGGAGCCTGGGGAGGAGGCGGGGGAGCTGCTGGATCTGGAAGAGGTTATTTAGGACATGCAGATTGTCTCCTAGGGAGGCTGGGGGAGAGGGTGGGTGAGCTGGCACCTTCCTCCACCTTGCTCTGTGGCGGGCCAAGTCTTCTGCTGACCCTGAGAGGAGTCTCTGGGCCCCATCTCCCAGGGAGGAGGGCAGCAAGCAGGCTGCTGTGATTGGCTGGCAGGGAAGCCAGGGTACTGGGGCCCCCGACTGCTGTGAGTCGAGGAACAGGATTCCTCTTCCTGCCAAGTAGCTCAGAGATGGGAGTAGGAGGCCAGAGTTGGGAATCCAGGAGGCGCCACAGCTCTTTGTGATGAATCTGGTAGTTTTTGGCAAGTCTGAAGGTGGAGCTAGTTTCCAGGGCCAGAGAGCAAGATGTTTTTGGAGGGGTTGGGGCTGGAAGGTAGAAGGGGAACTTCCTTTTTGTGAAAAGATGGAGGTGGTTTGTGTGCCCACGTATGAGGGTTTTTCAGTACAGGCAAAAAGTACTCTTCCCTCTGCCTGAGCTGGGGGTGGAGTGCCCAAAAGACTTCCTAGAAGGTCAAGGTTGGAAGGGACCTCTGAGAACTCCAGTTGGTCCAAATCCGTGTGCAGCAGAGGAGGCTGAGGCCCAAGGAAGGAGGGCAAGGTCCTGCCTCAGCATCGCACTGAGCAGATGAGTGTAGAACCTGGGTCTTCTAGCTAGACCAGGTTGCCTTAAAAGTCAGGAATGTGATGGCCGCTGCCACCTACTGAAGCTAAGCACTCCCAGGGGTGTGTTCTCCACCAGTTAACACTGGGATTCTCTGGTTGCCTGGATATGGGGAAAGGTGGCCACTTTCCCTCAAACACAACCCCTTGCCTCCCCATAGGGAGAGTCCCACTCCCAGTTGCCTTCCAGATGCTTCCTTAGAAGCTGAGTCCCTTCTGTTTACTGCTGAGTTAGGAGTTGGCTCCTGGGACATGCACTAGGGGTAGCGTTGTAATTTATCTGTCTCACTTCTGGCTCCAGGCCAGGCTATTTTCTCTGGGGCTCTGTGAGGGTAGGGGTTGATTTGAGAGGCTGACACCTAAGCTGGGGCCAAGAGAGAGACAGCTGTGGCTGGGGCCTGGAAGAGGTTGGGTGGGGTTGCCATTTCTGCCTCAATAAGGAGTCAAACCCACAAGTTCCTTCCTGAGATAAAACAATGAAGAAATCCTCATGTGTGCAACTCAGAAATGGGGCCAGGTCTGGGAACCCATGACGAGTGGACTGGGGTGGAGCTCCCAGCCTTCTCCCGAGACCTAGTACTGGCAGGTAGGCTTGGGTAGGTGAGGATAGGGCTTGATCCCTCTGGAATCATTTGGAGCCATCCTGTCTGGCTTGGCCTCTACCTATCCTCCTGAAAGTCAAGTGGCATGGGGCACTACGGGTTCCAGCTAAAGGGGGTGGGGTGGGGTGCTATACCTCAGGACCCATCCCTGATATCCTACCAAGGGGATGTGGCTTGGGTTGGGCAATCTCCCCTTTGAGGAACCTGAGAAAAGGCTCTGTGGCTGTCATTGGAGGAGTCATACTCCCTTCTGTTGATTCAAGAAGTGTGGACTTGGCTGGGATGCAGAGTTGCAGGGGAAGCTAGTGGTGATCTCCCCTTTCACAAATCCTTGGGGTTGAGAGAGTCTTTCTGCTTCATCCCAGAAGAGAGCCCAGTTCATGGTGATGCTGTGGTATCTGCTGCTTCCGTCTTTCAGCCCTGGCTGGAGAAATCCTCAGAGCCCTGAATGAAGTCAGGAGAAGGCCTGGATTATTGGCCCCTTAAACATAACCAGACAGGATTAAAAGGGATAATCCATGTAAAGCATGTTGTCCTGGCACCTAGTAAATGATCAGTAAGTGCTCAAAGCACATGCCTCCTCCTCTTCCCTGCCTTGAACTCCATGGTGCCCGGCCTTAAAATCAGAAACAGAACTGGGGTCTTGGGCTTTAAAAGTTTGATGGGCTTCCCTGCCTGAGACTTTGAGACTTCTGCTTTGCTCCCTCCTCTTCACTTCTCCAGCCACTGACCCCACCCTTTCCCCGCTTTTTCAGGACTGGGAGGTGCTGGTCCTAGGGAAGCTCAAGTGGGACCTGGCTGCTGTGATTGCACATGATTTCCTGGCCTTCATTCTGCACCGGCTCTCTCTGCCCCGTGACCGACAGGCCTTGGTCAAAAAGCATGCCCAGACCTTTTTGGCCCTCTGTGCTACAGGTAAGAGCCCTATGCACATTTTTGCCAAATTGGAAAAATCAGAAGACTTATAAGGGTGAGAGGTAACTGAAGATTCTGGTTTATACTGTCAAAATTCCTTTGTGAAAATTATACCCCCTCTGAGCCCCCAGTCTCAATGCAGAAAAGCAGGTTATAATCAGCTATATGGGATCTCAGACCCCTCCAGTTTGTAGTGGGGACACTGAGGGTATAGAGAGAAGTGACTTGCCCAAGGTCTCACAGTGAACAGGTTGGGAACAGAACCCCAGTCTCTTGGCCCTAGTTGTGTTCCCATACTAGGGAGTGTCTTGTCTATTCCCGGGACCTATGGAAACTGGCAGTTGGTTCTGATCTCTAGGAAAGATACTCTTTCCTGTCTTCCTCCCTTGCTGATATCTTGCCCCACCCACTGCTGGAGTTTTCCAGCATGTCCTCTGCTCTACTCATGCTGCCTGGCACTTTCCAAGGAGTCGGAAGTCCATGCTGGCCGTTATCCTTCAGGTTTCCTTCTCTCATGGTTCCCTTTCCTCCTCTCCAAGATTATACCTTTGCCATGTACCCGCCATCCATGATCGCCACGGGCAGCATTGGGGCTGCAGTGCAAGGCCTGGGTGCCTGCTCCATGTCCGGGGATGAGCTCACAGAGCTGCTGGCAGGGATCACTGGCACTGAAGTGGTGAGTGCTGGGTAGCTGGGCAGCAGCCTCTCCATTCATAAAGTAGTGCTATGCCCTGAGCCTCCAGTAGAGGGAAACCTCCAACCCCAACCTGGTCCCAAGTCCTGGTTTCACAACCTTGGGGCTTTGTGGCTTTTTATCTCCTGCCTTGGTCTGGGGAAGAGCAAGTATCTTGGGTGGGGTGAAGGGCACTGGCCCTAGGGGTTCTTTTCTTGCCAAGTGGTGTGCTGGAGTGGGGGTGGGGGGTTTGGTGTCAGATGCAGGGCTGCTCTCACACTCCCTTGCCACATCCTCTTGCTAGTTTCTGAGAACTAAAGAGCGATTCCTGGGGCCGGGCTGTGGCCTAACCTCCCCAGACTTCCCCATGTGTTGGGAGCTGTCCTTCCCCTGCACCTGCTGCCAGATGCTATGGGGGGAGTGTTTGCTCCTCACTCTTCTCCCATGTTCCCAGGACTGCCTGCGGGCCTGTCAGGAGCAGATCGAAGCTGCACTCAGGGAGAGCCTCAGGGAAGCCTCTCAGACCAGCTCCAGCCCAGCGCCCAAAGCCCCCCGGGGCTCCAGCAGCCAAGGGCCCAGCCAGACCAGCACTCCTACAGATGTCACAGCCATACACCTGTAGCCCTGGAGAGGCCCTCTGGAGTGGCCACTAAGCAGAGGAGGGGCCGCTGCCACCCACCTCCCTGCCTCCAGGAACCACACCACATCTAAGCCTGAAGGGGCGTCTGTTCCCCCTTCACAAAGCCCAAGGGATCTGGTCCTACCCATCCCCGCAGTGTGCACTAAGGGGCCCGGCCAGCCATGTCTGCATTTCGGTGGCTAGTCAAGCTCCTCCTCCCTGCATCTGACCAGCAGCGCCTTTCCCAACTCTAGCTGGGGGTGGGCCAGGCTGATGGGACAGAATTGGATACATACACCAGCATTCCTTTTGAACGCCCCCCCCCACCCCTGGGGGCTCTCATGTTTTCAACTGCCAAAATGCTCTAGTGCCTTCTAAAGGTGTTGTCCCTTCTAGGGTTATTGCATTTGGATTGGGGTCCCTCTAAAATTTAATGCATGATAGACACATATGAGGGGGAATAGTCTAGATGGCTCCTCTCAGTACTTTGGAGGCCCCTATGTAGTCCGTGCTGACAGCTGCTCCTAGAGGGAGGGGCCTAGGCCTCAGCCAGAGAAGCTATAAATTCCTCTTTGCTTTGCTTTCTGCTCAGCTTCTCCTGTGTGATTGACAGCTTTGCTGCTGAAGGCTCATTTTAATTTATTAATTGCTTTGAGCACAACTTTAAGAGGACATAATGGGGTCCTGGCCATCCCACAAGTGGTGGTAACCCTGGTGGTTGCTGTTTTCCTCCCTTCTGCTACTGGCAAAAGGATCTTTGTGGCCAAGGAGCTGCTATAGCCTGGGGTGGGGTCATGCCCTCCTCTCCCATTGTCCCTCTGCCCCATCCTCCAGCAGGGAAAATGCAGCAGGGATGCCCTGGAGGTGGCTGAGCCCCTGTCTAGAGAGGGAGGCAAGCCCTGTTGACACAGGTCTTTCCTAAGGCTGCAAGGTTTAGGCTGGTGGCCCAGGACCATCATCCTACTGTAATAAAGATGATTGTGAAATAAAACTGGCTTTGGCTTCTTGGATTGGTGTGTGGGTAAGTCTATTTCTGCACTGTATGAGGTAAGGAGGTGGAAGTCAATGGTCTAAAGCAGGGATCATTGAGCCTTTTCTGTAAAGGGCTGGATATTTAGGCTTTGTGGGGTACATGGTCTCTGACCCAAATATAGTCAGTTCTGCTTTATAATGTGACCTATGCGTTCCTAAAAATCACTATGCCATGCAAAATTGCACAATAAAGACCACAGGTCTCATGGGAAAAATGGGGCTTGAAGCACAACACTCAAATGAGTGACACATTTAAAAAAAAAGGATAGCTTGGTTTTTACATATGTCAAATGGTTGAGAAATTATATCACAATAAATATGGCCTTTTATCTTGAAGACATGCACTTTGCTTTTGGAAGTGGACGTCGGAAGGGTTGCTCAACACAGGTGGGGAGATGAGTGAGGTAGCTGGTACATGTTTAGGTGTGAGTTTTGTGTACTACTTAGGCTTGGTTCAGCTAGATACAGTTTCCCATATTCACCTACTATTTCTCGAGGATGAAATCACACACAAGCAAACATGAAGTCTGCGTTATGATCAAACTGTTCCCAAATATATTAAATGGGTTGGAACAAATGCGCAATTTCGAAAGCAAATAACAAGGGTTATAGCAGGATTATACTTAAACTCTGCTGTTGTAGCACAAAACCAGCCACAGAAAACATGTAAATGGGTGAGCATGGCTGTTCCAACAAAACTATTTATGGATGCTGAAACTGGAATTTCATGTAATTCCTACCTATCACAAAATACTGTTTTAATTTTTTCCCCATTTAAAAATGGAAAAATCATTCTTAGCTCATGGGCCACACAAAAATGGGCACTTGGGCTGGGTGCAGTGGCTCATGCCTGTAATCCCAGCACTTTGGGAGGCCGAGGCGGGTGGATCACCTGAGGTCAGGAGTTTGAGACCAGCCTGGCCAACCTGGTGAAACCCCTTCTCCACCCCGTCTCTACTAAAAATACAAAAATTAGCCAGGCGTGGTGGCACGCACCTGTAGTCCCAGCTACTCAGGAGGCTGAGGCAGGAGAATCTCTTGAACCATGGAGGCGGAGGTTGCAGCGAGCCGAGATCATGCCACTGTACTCCAGCCTGGGCGACAGAGCGAGACTCCGTCTCAAAAAACAAATCAACAAAAAAAGGGGCACCTGGCCCTAGTTTACTAGTCACTAGTCTAAAGCTTTCATTGGCTGAAAAGCCAGAAAGGGAGCCTGTTTGATGCTAGCTCTGATCTAACCATTCTTGGGCCCAGCCTTATTCTCTGGCCTTTTTTTTTTTTTTTTGAGACAGTCTTGCTCCGTGGCCCAGGCTGGAGTGTAGTGGCCCCAATCCTGGATCACCGCAACCTCCACCTCCCAGGTTGAAGCGATTCTCCTGCCTCAGCCTCCCAAGTAGCTGGGATTACAAGCACACGCCACCACACCCAGCTAATTTTTGTATTTTTAGTAGAGAAGGGGTTTCACCATGTTGGCCAGGCTGGTCTCGAACTCCTGAACTCAGGTAATCCACCTACCTCAGCCTCCCAAAGTGCTGGGATTACAGGCGTGAGCCACCAAGCCCAGCCTCTCTGGCCTTTCTTGACTCTTATCTCTGCTTTCCCCAAGGAGTTTTCTCTTGTAGTCCTTTCATCCACTGCTGAGACACGACCATCTTTGGACAACCTGCTCCTGGCTGCTGTAGCCTGTGATGGGGGAAGGCAGAGGATGTGTCCCCTGGGGGCTAACAAGGTGAGTGCAGCCTGGAGAAACAAGCTTGGAGATCAAGGGAGGTGGGTCCTATATAAACAGGACAAGAATGTCCTCCGTCCTCCAAATACTAACAGGAGTAATGCCTACCTCCATTGACTACACCAAACACAGAGGTTCAATAAATATCTGTCTTTGCCTTTATCCACAGTGACCTGACACAATAGCCATAGAAAAAGTACTCACACCAAGCCCCAGCTGGGGACTGGGAATGCTAGCATATGGTATCTCAAGTTGGCTCTCAGAACTAAACAGGGATAAGGGCCTAGAATGGAAGAGGGAACCAGCCAGACCCTCAGTCCTTCCTGTCCTGGACTGGGAGCCACAGATGTCCCTGTGATCTGTCACTGCCCTGATCTGGGTCTTCAGCCATTAAAGCTCAGTGTCATCTTCAGTCACCAACGGGGGTCTTGGTGTCCTTCCAAACCCCTTTGGCCAGGACAGCTGACTGTTTTCCTCACTCCACGGTGATGGGAACATCTTCCACATCGCGGGGGACTGCACTCTGAAGCTCACGCCTGATTTCGGGCGATAGCTGTGGATGGGGCTGCAGCCGGAGCAGTTCTAAGAGGGCCTCTTTCTGGTCTGTGGCCAAGTCGGCCTTGTAGCGCTGGACCAAAGTCAGGAGGCACTGGTGCCACAGCACAGGCAGTTCACGCTTCTCTGTCCGGAACCCCAGGAAGTGGAAGACTAGGGCATCCAGCACCCGGTAAGGCAGTGCATACTTCTTATCCAGCAGCAGTCGCAGGAAGATGCTGTTGGCACCGCTGTATTCCATCTCAGCAATTTTCAGCATGGCCGCACTAGTGGGAAAGGGAGGTGGGGTAGAGTAAGCAGGGAAAACATTGGAAGAAGGATCCTACTTCTCCCTCTATGCTTTCCCCTTTTTTTCTTCCCCTCTGCTGGCCCTTACACTATGGTATTCCCCAGGGACCTTCTCACCTACACAATCATATTATACTCCCTTGACCTCAGTCACCATCTCTACAGGGATCCACCCAAATCTCTATCTCTAGCATAGACTGCTTGTTTCAGTAACCAACTAGAGTATGGTCCAAACATCTCAACGTCTCCACCCTAACTACTTTCTTCCTGTGTTTCCTACTCATTTGTTTATCTATTTACTGAGAACTTACTTTATGCCAGGCACTCGGGCCCTGTTGTTGCACAACTTACATTGAGGGGGATAATGATACACCTACTCATTGGCTTAAACAAGCACAAACCCAAGGCTTTCCTTAGCTCCTTCTCCACTCTGCCCATTCCCAAGTCCTGGCAATTCCACTATCTGGATATCCACTGACCAGCCCCCTTCCACCCCCAGCAATACTACCTGGAGTGCAACACAGGGATGGAGCACTTGGTGATGATGCTACCCACAATGATGGCTTCCCGGAGGGTACAAGTGCCAGACTCGCACAGTGGAATCAGGATCCCTAGGGAGAGTCAAAGGGCAGCCACTGTGAGCCCAGGATGAGAAAAAGGAGTTACAGCAGGAAGCATTCCCACCCAGCCCAGGGACAGCTAGCAATTTCCCACACCAGGCCTGCTGTGTTCCCCATAGAAGCTCCAGCCCTTCCCTTTCTTCCGTGCCTCTGGGATCCCACCTTTGAACCAGGCTCCAGGTTTGAAAAGGGCCTTCTTGAGAGCCATGTAGAGATGGAAGTTGAGTCGTTTGTATTCAGCAACGTCATCTCGTACTCGAGGGAGCAGGACAAGGTTGTAGAAGCGCTGGGCCATGCGTTCCTTCAGGTTAGAGGCAAAAATCCTAGTGGGAGTTAAGCGGGGGAAGTTTCCAACTCACACGACAGTCTGGACCCGGCCCATTAAATATCACCATGGATAGTGCATACAAGAGGTTTTAAAGTAAAATATGGGACCTTTCTTTCAGTGGGGGATGTGTGGGAGCTGTGTGCATGCAACACCCATCAGCTTAGAGAGAGAATAGGAGGGGCAATGAGATATACCCAAATGAGGAGCACCGTTTGTCTGTGGGAGAGCCAGAGCTCGTGCAAACTGATGGCTACTCAGCATCAGTTGAGTAGCCCTGAGCATGCCTGGGCAGTCACAGACTTCTGAGGGTCCTGCTACAGGGTTGTATCCCAGTGGCTATAAAAGCCTCTCCCCTAGAAATTCATCACAGAGGGTTGTATCCCAGTAGCTATAAAAGCCTCTCCCCTAGAAATTCATCACGGAGGGTTCCTAACTGGCTAACTGGGTCTTGGCCCCAAAAAATGACACAGGAAAAGCTAGAAAAATGATGCTATAAAGTAGCACAGAGAGGGCCCTGGGGCAAAGCTCAAATGCCCTGGGGCCAGAGGCAAGGAAAGCCTGTCCGTCCCAAACTCAGCCTGCACCTATAAACCCAAGGCCCCCGAACCCCCAGCTACTCTACCTGGTGGCCTGGTACATGGCAGCTGCAGTCCAGGCCTCCGGCTCTGTGACGTAGAGGATTTGCTCCCAGTTGGAGAGTGCAGGGATGATCTTAAATGCCTTGGGCAGTTTTCCACTGCGGTACTTAGATAATACCTAGGGATGAGGGAGGTAAAACAATCATCGTCATCCACATATGGCAAGCTTGCTGTGGGCTAGGAACTTGTCTGGGTGCTTTTAATATATTAACTCATTGCATCCCCACAATAACCTATAAGGAGGTGCCATTATTATGCTCATTTTACAGATGACCAGTGAGAGTTCCAGTAACCGACCCAAGGATGCCAAGTCATTTACAGGCAGAGCAGGAATCTGAACCCACACACTCTGCCTCTTAGGTCTGTTTTCTACTCCCATGACTTCTTTAGTATGTGATGCAGGCAAAAGGCAAAAAAGCCTGTGGCAGGAGCCCACAGCCCCCAAAGGGGTCTTCCACCATGGCTCCCCTCTCAGCTCTTACCTCCCGGACCCCCCTGTACACTTCTAGGACCCGGGGGTCCAGCTGGGGCATAGGGAAGCCCGACACCTCTGACATGACTGTCTCAACCTCTGTCTGCTTCTCAGTCAGCTTCTCCATGATGATGTCAGCCAGGGTGCGCCTAAGAGGGGAAGTGCCAAGAGGAGGGGAGAGAGGGGGCAAGGAGCACTGTGGTCACTGTCCAGGAAGCTCCAGACTCCCCACAGTCCCCTGTGAGCACCGCCATACTGCGATCCTGCTGGGATATGCAGCTTAGAGTTCTCTCTCTGTGCCCATTCATCCACCACAGACAGAATCACTGCAGGGTGCAAAGGAACTGAAAGTCATTCCATTTAGGACAAAGCTAGCAGTTGTACGGAGGTTATTATGAACCTCAACTCTGAAGTCAGTCTGCCCAGGTTCAAATCCTGGCTCACCCACTCCCTGGTATGATCTTGGGCATGTTACTTTACCTCTCTATGCCTCTGTTTCCTCATTTGTAAAATAGGGATAATAACGGTACCCACCTTAAAAGATTAATGGAAGGATTAAATAAGTTAATGTCTGTTCATTACTTGGAATGGTCAGTACACAGTAAGCGTTATCTATGGAAATATTTCTAAGACTGATTATATTCTTTTCAGCCTCCTTAAACAGTATTGTTGGGTGTATCAAACATAATCTTATCTTAATGATTCAGAATTACCATCGCCTTGAGCTGTCATATAATACTAGCATCTTCAGAGGCTGCTGAAGTGTATTTATTTATTTTTTTTGAGAGAGAGTCTACCTCTGTTGCCCAGGTTGGCATGCAGTGGCACCATCATGGCTCACTGCAGCCTCTATCTCTCTGGCTCAAGCGATCTTCCCGCCTCAGTCTCTCGAGTAGCTGGGACCACAGGAACATAGTACAAGGCCCAGCTAGTTTTTTATTCTTCTGTAGAGATGGGGTCTCCCCATGTTGCCCAGGCTGGTCTCACACTCCTGGGCTCCTGCCTTGGCGTCCCAAAGTGCTAAGATTACAGGTCTGGGCCACCATGCCCAGACTGAAATGTATTTAAAGCTGCTTCTCAGTTGGGCGCAGTGGCTCACGCTTGTAATCCCAGTACTTTGGGAGGCTGAGGGAGGTGGATCACGTGAGGTCAGGAGTTTGAGACCAGCCTGGCCAACATGGTGAAACCCTGTCTCTACTAATAAAACAAAAATTAGCCAGGCGTGGTGGTACGTGCCTGTAATCCCAGCTACTCGAGAGGCTGAGGTTGCAGTGAGCTGAGATCATGCCACTGCCCTCCAGCGTGGGTGACAGAGTGAGATCCTGTCACAAAACAAAACAAAAAACAAACTGCTCCTCTTTTCTGAGGTCCTACTCAATGCCAGGCACTGAGTTTGGGACTTTTCAGTCCTAGAGTCAGCGCAACACTTATAGGACACGGAAACTTATGCAGACATGGGAACTGGGCCTCAGGTTAATAACTCACCCAAGGCCTCACAGCTGTCAGGTGGGGGTAAGAGTCAAACTCAGGTTTTTGGAAGTCTTGAGTTAAGGTGCTTTATAGTACCTTATAATGTGCCCCCAAACTAAATGGCCTCTGATTGTTGAATTCATGTGGATCTAGGCTTGCTTTCTGAAGATGCCAGCTATCATTTCTTACGACTGCCAGGAGTTCTGATTACTTCAAGGAGCTTGTCTACTCTATTTACTACAAGCTGGAAAAGCATTCTGCTAAATTGGTCAGCATTATCAGTGAAGTAGGAGTTATGAGGTGCTGAGTGAGAACCTGAGAGGCTCTCTGGGGGGACAAGCCCAAGTACATACTTTATGACATATATTTCAACTGTTAGGCATCAATCTGGGAGAGGGGCTCATTTTCATTTCTTCATTCTGCATTTTCAAATAAGCTGCCACAGAATTTATCAGCCTCCCTGTCCTTTTATAGTATGATTAGCAATGAGATGCATTAGCCCAAAACAGCCTAAAGTATCAGGGACACCATTATGTTAATATCACAGGGTCAGAATGAACTGGTTGAGGACCCTTATCCTAGACTCCACTCCCAAGGGCCAAAATTTATGGGCTCAGGAGTTTGACCACAGGCAGTCTAAATGCCTGCATGTTTTGGAGCTAGCATTTATTATAGATGGGAATAAATTAGTGGTCCTGACTAGGGGCAGTCTTGCCTCCCAGAGGACATTTGGCAATGTCTGATGTCATTTTTGGTTTTCACAACTGGGGGAAGGTTGCTACTGGAGTCTAGAAGTAGAGATCAGAGATATCTACTAAACCTCCTACACTGCACAGGACAGCCTCCACACACACACAAAATTACCCAGCCCAAAATGTCAATAATGCTGAGGTTGAAAAACCTTGGCTTAAATGAAGCTTAGGATATGAAGACTTGTCCAAGGAAGTTGAGCTTACCGCTAAAAAAACTAAGAATACCAAAACCAAATGCAATAGGATGGCTCTCCCCAGAGGTGTAAAAGGGGCCTGGAACTGTTTCCCTGGCAACTGGGCAGTTGTACAACAAATGGACATAAGGACACAATGTTTTTTGAGGCTGGGTCATTCCTACTCACAGTGGTCCTTTGAGGATGGGCCAGTTTTGTCAAGGTGGTCCCCTACAGCTAGCAACTCCAGGGCCCTTTCCAAAGGTAGGGAATCATAAGTCTGCCAGGGAACTTGTTTTCCTGTGGGAACTTTCTACAAGGACTCATTATCCCAAATCCCCAGGCCTACCTGGCAGGAGGGTTCTTGTTCATGAACATCTCTATGGCACGCTCATCCTCAGGGTCCACAACCACCTCTGCATGATGGCCCGCTGCTGTCATTGTGGCAGCCTTCTCCAGGGTGGGCCACTCCTCGTCCTCGTCATCTGATCCATCCTGAGGCATTCTTGGACCTAGAAGAGGGGAGACTAAATGGATGAGCACAGCAAAAGGTAGCTGAGGGATTTCGTCAGTTTAACTTTAGCCATTATGTAGTACAGGCCTCACATGTGGTTGTGATAGACGCAGGTATGTGCAGTGAAACAAATGCATTAGCTCCCTGTCCCCAGGGGCTTGCAATCATGCTTGAGAAACAAAATGTATATACAGGAAACAATAAGAAAAGCAATGGCCATAAATAATAGTTAACATACCATACTCAGTTATGTAGAAGGAACTTTTTTTTTTTTTTTTGAAATGGAGTCTTGCTCTGTCACCCACACTGGAGTGCAGTGGCTGGATCTCAGCTCACTGCAAGCTCCGCCTCCCGGGTTCATGCCATTCTCCTGCCTCAGCCTCCCAAGCAGCTGGGACTACAGGCATAAGCCACCAGCCCGGCTAATTTTTTGTATTTTTAGTAGAGTTGGGGTTTCACCATGTTGACCAGAATGGTCTCGATCTCTTGACCTCGTGATCCGCCCGCCTTGGCCTCCCAAAATGCTGGGATTACAGGGCGTGAGCCACTGTTCCCGGCCTGTAGAAGGAACTTCTAAACACTATACCCATGTTAACTGTTTAATCCTTATAAACCCAAGAAGTGGCCGGGCACGGTGGCTCACGCCTGTAATCCCAGCACTTTGGGAGGCCGAGGCGGGCAGATCACGAGGTCAAGAGATCGAAACCACCCTGGTCAACATGGTGAAACCCCATCTCTACTAAAAATACAAAAATTAGCTGGGCGTGGTGGTGGGCGCCTGTAGTCCCAGCTATTTGGAAGGCTGAGGCAGGAGAATCACTTGAACCCAGGAGGTGGAGGTTGCAGTGAGCCAAGGTCACGCCACTGCACTCCAGCCTGGTGACAAAGCGAGACTCCGTCTCAAAAAATATATATAAAATTAAAAAAAATAAAATAAACCTTCTTATGGAACAATGGCAAATAAATAAATAAATAAGAATAAACCCAAGAAGTGGATACTATTACTATACCCAGTTTCAAATGAGGACATTGAAGCACTGAGAAGTTGGGTAATTTGCCCAAGACAGGTAGTCTGGGTCTAGACTGCATTCTTCACCACTATTCTACACATATTCGGGTTTGATTATATGCCACAATGAGTAGTAGAGACAACATATGCACTTAAAGGATGAGTGGTGAGGACAGTTAGGAGCTGGATGGGCAGTTTGGGAGCAGAAGGAGTGTGTTCCAGACGCAGAGAAAATAAGGCTTGGATATAAGAGTCTCCTAGGCAATAGCAAGAAATAATGCTAGGTACGTGGGAAAGGTGAAGCCAGACTGGAGGGCCTTTAAATTCAGGCAGTAGAGTTCAGATTTCAATCCACCAGTCCATTTAAATACATGAAGTTGGCTGGGCGTGGTGGCTCACGCCTGTAATCCCACCATTTTGGGAGACCAAGGCGGGTGGATCATGAGATTGGGAGTTCGAGACCAGCCTGACTAACAGGGAGAAGCCCCGTCTCTACTAAAAATACAAAATTAGCCGGGCTTGGTGGCGCATGCCTATAATCCCAGCTACTTGGGAAGGCTGAGGCATGAGAATCGCTTGAACCCGGGAGGTGGAGGTTGAGGTGAGGTGAGCCGAGATCGCGCCACTGCACTCCAGCCTGGGCAACAACAGCAAAACTCTGTCTCAAAAAAATAAATAAATAAATAAATAAAAATAAATAGGCCGGGCGCGGTGGCTCACGCCTGTAATCCCAGCACTTAGAGAGGCCAAGGCGGGCGGATCACGAGGTCAGGAGACCGAGACCATCCTGGCTAACACGGTGAAACCCCGTCTCTACTAAAAATACAAAAAATTAGCCGGGTGTGGTGGCGGGCGCCTGTAGTCCCAGCTACTCGGGAGGCTGAGGCAGGAGAATGGTGTGAACCCGGGAGGCGGAGCTTGCAGTGAGCCAAGATCGTGCCACTGCACTCCAGCCTGGGCGACAGAGCGAGACTCCGTCTTAAAAAAAAAAAAAAAAATGAAGTTAGTCCATTTAAATAACTTCTGTTTTTGGAAGGCTACATGTCTGGGCATCTGGAAAGGGGTCTAATAATCCAAGTGGGGAGCTATAATGCTACGTATCAATAGGTCATTAACAACAAAGGCAGTGTGTGATAAACACTAAATAAGGGGGAACAGACATTTTGTCTCCACGTTCCAACGGTCCCCCAAATTTGTACTTTGTAGGTGGTTCTCCTTAGTGCCAGACCCTAACTCCAGGTGTCTCCTGTAAGCTGCTCTTGGATGACTCACAGGCACCTCAAATCTCACCCGTTATCAACTAAACTAATTTTCTTTCCCTCCTAGGTCTACACTGCTAACCATCCACAGCTCAGTAAACGGCACCATCGTCCACCCAATGCTAAGCCTGGGAGGTACTCTTGCCTCATCCCCTGCCCTCACCCTCAACACCCAATCAATTACTAAATCATATTCAATTTTACCTCATAGACTGTCTCTCACATGCTTCACAGCCCCATCTAAGCCTAGATCAGCATCATCTCTTGCCTGGATTTATTCAACAGTCGCCCACTGGTCTCTATGTTTCTGACCTTGCTTCCCTCCAACTCATTTTCCACTCTGCAGACGGTCACCTTCCAGAAACACATATTTGATTTGATCAGCCCTGTCCTTAAAATTCTCCAGTAGCTTCCCATTCTTCCCACTGCTGTTAGGATGGTTTTAAAATCTTTTGTAGGCTTGGCTCCCACCTACCTGACCATCATTCATTACCGATTAACCCAGTCATTCAGCAAACACCAAGCACCTACTATATGTGAGGCACTGTTCGGGGTGCTGGCAATATATCCACGAACAACCGAAACCAAAAGACTTTGTTCTATACAGCTTACATTCTAATTGGAGGAGATAGTCTACGACCATACCACCCTGAACGCACCCAATCCTGTCTAAATGGAAGAGACAGACATAAATAAACATATAAATATATTGGGTTAAAAGATAAGTACTATGGGCTGGGTGCAGTGGCTCATGCCTGTAATCCCAGCACTTCGGGAGGCCGAGGCGGGTGGATCACCTGAGGTCAGGAGTTTGAGACCAGGCTGGCCAACATAGCGAAATCCCCAACTCTACTAAAAATACAAAAAAAAAAAAAATTAGCTGGGTGTGGTGGCGGGCGCCTGTAATCCCAGCTACTTGGGAGGCTGAGGCAGGAGAATCGCTTGAACCCGGGAGGTGGAGGTTGCAGTGAGCCGAGATCGTGGTATTGCACTCAGCCTGGGTGACGGAGCGAGACTCTGTCTCAAAAAAAAAAAAAAGATAAGTACTATGAAAAAAAGATAGGGCAGAAATGCTGGGAGTATGGAGATGGAGTAGAGTGCTGCAATCTTAAATGGAGTGGATAGGCCTCTCTGAGAAAGTAACCCTACAAGTGTATGAGAACAAACTATCCCAGAGAGAAGGAACAACCAGGCCAAACCCCCTAATTTCCCACGTTTAAGGCACAATGAAGCCTAAATAGGTGGAGTGGAATGGGCAAAGAGGAAAGCAGTAGAAGAGGTCAGACTGGCAAAGGAGGCAGATCATATAGTGCATTGTAGACCATTGTAATCCCCCACCTGTGAGTACTTTGTAGAGAGTATGAGACACGGCAGGGTGCAGTAGCTCACACCTGTAATCCCAGCACTTTGGGAGGCCAAGGCAGGGAGGGTCGTTTGAGCCCAGGAGTTTGAGACCAAACTGGGCACCACTGTGAGACCTCATCTCTACAAATAATTAAATAATTAGCGGCCAGGTGCGGTGGCTCACGCCTGTAATCCCAGCATTTTGGGAGGCAGAGGTGGACGATGACCTGAAGTCAGGAGTTCAAGACCAGTCTGGCCAACATGGTGAAACCCCATCTCTACTGAAAATACAAAAATTAACTGGATGTGATGGCTCACGCCTGTAATCTCAGCTACTCAGAAGGCTGAGGCAGAAGAATTGCTTGGACCTAGGTGGCAGAGGTTGCAGTGAGCCAAGATTGCGCCACTGCACTACAGCCTGGGCGACAGGCTCAAAAAAAAAAAAAAAGAATTAGTTGGACATGGTGGCACACACCTGTGGTCCCAGCTACGTGGGAGGCTGAGGTGGAAAGACGACTGGAGCCCAGGAGATTGAGGCTGCAGTTAGCTATGATTGTGCCACCGCACTCTATCCTGGGTGACAGAGAGAGAGAGAGACTCTGTCTCAAAAAAAAAAGAAAAAAAGAAAAAACGGAGAATATGAGATACTAACGAGGAGGCTACTGTGATAATCCAGGTGAGAGACTGTGGTGGCTACGACAGGATGGTGTTCCAAAGCGGTGAAAAGTGGTCTCATTTTGGATACACTTTGAAGGCAAAGTCATCAGAATTTCCTTACAGATCAGATGTGGGGAGGGAGAGACAGAGAGAGGAGATGGTGGGGGCAGGGAGAGAGAGGAGTCTAAAGTTTATCTCGAGCAAATGAAAGAATATGCTACTAACTGAGACAGGGAAGGCAATGGTGAGAGAAGCAGGTTTGGAGGGAAGGTCAGGATTTCTGTTTTGTACATGTTAAATTTGAGCTGTCTGTTAGATTTCAAATTGGAGATGCCAAATAGGCAGTTGAATATAAGAATCTGGATTTCATGGAAGAGATCAGGGCTAGACTATAAAGTTAGGAGTAGTCACTCAAGGATGGTATTTAAACCATGAAACTTGCCAGCACCAGAGAATATTTGAAGAGGTCAGAGGACTGAGGAGAAGAGGTTGCAATAAGAGTCAGCCAAGGATACTGAGAAGTGAGGTGGCAGTAAAACAGGAGTGTTGATGTCTTAGAACCCAAGTAAGGATACTGTGGCCAGAAGGCCACTATTCAATTGTGTCAAATATTGCTTTAGATGAGATCTGAGAAACGGATGAAGCACCTCAGAGGTCAACACTCCCTCCCTAGTGAGAAAACATCAGACGTCTTTCAATTCATCTCTCTCGCTCTTTGGCTGCTAAACAATGTGTTTTCTGCTCATAACACTTCCCATTCGTTTTTCAGTTCTCAGCTTAAAGGTCCTGCTGCAATCGGAGAAGCTTCTCAAGACCAATGCTATTGTTACCAGGGAAACGATACTTTATCATGGAAATATATTATTCTAAGAGTCTACTTAATTGCCTCTCTGCTGGGCTTGACTGTAAGGTCCTTAAGTTAGACGTGCCTGTGTTGTTTACTTCTGTACCCAAACATTCGATAGAATTCCGAGCATAGCGCAAAGCTCGTAGTGGGTATCCCATAAATATTTACAAAACCAATGGATACATGCTAGGAGCACTTAGTGGCGCGATCGATTACTGTTGGCCTAACTTCGGGGGTGTCTAGAAGGGAGTGCCTAAAACTAGGAGTGGACGCGGAGGGCTCTAGACAGGGTTCAGTCTCCTTTGCAAGTGTAATACGGACCCCTTTGTTGACTCGAAGCAATTCCCCTGCCAGACACTTTTTAGCTGCCCACCCCGCCCCACTACTGGCCACTGTCTTCCTCGGACCTCATCCCAGACACTCACCCAGCCGCGTGGTGCGTTCCCGCGGCGCCGCGGGCTTGTCCCCAGTCCCATGCTCGGCCTCGAGTTCCTCCTGTTGCTGCCGTGCTTGCTGCAAAATCCGTCGGCTCAGCCGGGGCCCCACATACTCTTCCTCCGCTTCTCCTGTCCCGCGACCCCGCCGCTTCTCCCGGACCCCCGCCCGCACCGCATTCCCAGCCAGGATCTGATCGGCCAGGGGCGCATGTTTTTCCTGACCCCCCACCCCACGGGCCGCCTTGAATTTGGGCATTTTTCTCGAAAAAGTTGCCGGGAAGGATCGCACGTGGGGACTGAAGAAAGGCCAGGATGCGCTTGCGCGGTGGACTCCCAGCGCCCAAGAGGCCGCCCGGCGATCACAGCGCCCCCTAGCATTCGGAGGCCAGAAGCGCCATCAGCGCCGCCCCTCCCACTAAAAGAGCTCCCGGGTTCCGGAGCTGGACTCCCGAATATATTCACTGCCTTTAACGTTAGCTTCTCTCAATAGTGCAGTCTTTGAGTGTCGCTCTCCTAGCTTCATGGATGTAGGCCTAGAGTGCTCAGCCAAACGGGAATGTCTGGATTTAGAAACCTCGGGGCGGGAATCCGCAGATGATGTCAGTGGAGGCGTCACCGAGGGGTGCCGAGACACGCCCCATTCCTTGGGGAAGGCGTGGACCCGGCGCTCTGTTTTTACGTATTTCCGGAGTCCCTTCTGAGACAGAAGGTTGTGTTGGGGAACTGAAGGAGTTTCTGTGGGCGGACAGGGAACCCTGCGTTTCTACTGTGTGATTCTGCCACCTTCCTGGCCCGACGCCATGGGAGTGACTTGGTAGGACTGCAGGGGGTTTTGTGGGGCGGGGCTTGGAGTTGTGAAAGGCCGGAAAGAGGACCTTGACCATGGTCCGCCGTCCTCTGGGAGCTGAGGGAGATGTCCTCGGGTTGTGTAGATGAGAGGATGCCGTCCGGGCTGCGGGTTCCCCGGGCTTGTTTCCTCAGAGATGCGCCCCTTCCTCTTGGAAGGCGGGAAAGCAAAGGTTTTTTTTTTGTTTTGTTTTGTTTTTTTTAAGACGGGGTCTCGCTCTGTCGCCAGACTGGAGTGCAGTGGAGCGATCTTGGCTCACTGCAACACTCCGCCTCTTGGGTTCAAGCGATTCTCCTGTAGTCCCGAGTAGCTGGGACTACAGGCGCCCGCCACCACGCCCGGTTACTTTTTGTATTTTTAGTAGAAATGGGGTTTCACCATATTGGCCACGCTGGTGTCGACAAAGCAAACTTTTTATCCCAGGAACCTATCAATGGTTGTATACCTCATTCTCTTCTGGATACATCTTCCTTCCCGTGAGGCCATAGTACTGCCTGCAGTGGGACCTCAGGGTTGGAAATAGGGTCTTTGGACTATGACCCACCTGCAGACAGGGTTGGAGGGAGTGGGCCATAAGCAATCAGGAGATAGTATTTTTTAAGATTTTCGCCTGCTCTTCCCTCAGCCATCAAATACAGTTAGACCCGCTTGTGTCTGTTTCTAATTTGCTCATTTTAAGATCTTGGGTCTAGAGGAAAAAAGGGTATTGATAATAAGGAGATCATGGTTCCAGGCACTTTATCTCTTTAGGACCCGTTTCCCACTATGTTTAATTCCATGGTTGGTCTAGTTTCAATGGAGTTTTTATCTTTCATATGTTTTAAGTCTCAGTTGAAAGAAGATGAGGTGGCAGGGAAAGGTATGGGTCCAGTGCTCGTGGAGGCGTTAGTTGTAAGGTGCCAGGTCCCAGAACATTTTTTTCTTATCTCAGTAGATGTGAGCATTTTTCCCGTGGGAGAAATCCGGAGGCCAGGATATTTGAAGCCAGTGGATATAGGCTTCTCATACAAAAGCATGTGTAGGGGAAATACTTTTCCTCCTGGTAGCCCAGGTTCTTGCAGGTTTCTCAGTGATTGCACTCTTGCTTCCTACGATTGACACGATCCTCCTGTGTTCCTTAATGGAAGCAAGATATGTGAGGAATGGAAATGGAAAGGATGCAGCGTAGAACCCTGGAACCCTTGCTCTTTCTTTTTTTTAAAGAAATAGAAATGGGGTCTTGCTGTTTTGTACATGCAGGTCTTGAATTCCTGAACTCAAGCGAGCCTCCTGCTTTGGTCTCCCAAAGTATTGGCATTATAGACATGAGCCACCGTGCCCAGCCACCCCTGCTCTTTAAATGGAGAAGGCAGCTCCAGGGAAAGGGCTCTCTGTTGGCCCCCTTATCAACGTTTTCAGAATCCTAGGACTTCTGTCACTTGTAGCGTCAGTTTAGGGATTCTTTTGTATTTCAAAATAAGGCACATTAGCAACATCGTTTATCAGTGTTTTTTTCTGATAGAGTAGTGACAATTTTTAGCAACAGAAGGACTCTACCTTAATAGATTCATTTAGTTGATCATAAAGCAATGTCATCTATGACTGTTTTCTTGATTTCTATATAGCTAAGTACTGCTTGTACTATTGTTTATTAATTTTTTAATCGATTTTCCTTAATGTTTTAACAGGCACTACATCCTTATACAGGCAGTCTAGTTAGTGGTTAAGAGCATGGACATCAAGCCAGGTTGCTGGGCTTTGAGTCTTGAGTGTACCACCCATTAACTGTGTGACCTAGTGCAAGTTATTTAACCTCTTTGTGCTGTACTTAAGTTTCCTCTTTTTTTTTTTTTTTTTTTTTTTTGAGGCAGAGTCTCACTCTGTTGCCCAGGCTGGAGTGCAGTGGCGTGATCTCGGCTCACTGCAAGCTCCGCCTCCCGGGTTCATGCCATTCTCCTGCCTCAGCCTCCCGAGTAGCTGGGACTACAGGCGCCCACCACCATGCCTGGCTAATTTTTTTGTATTTTTTTTTTTTTTTTGAGACGGAGTCTCGCTCTGTCGCCCAGGCCGGACTGCGGACTGCAGTGGCGCAATCTCGGCTCACTGCAAGCTCCGCTTCCCGGGTTCACGCCATTCTCCTGCCTCAGCCTCCCGAGTAGCTGGGACTACAGGCGCCCGCCACCGCGCCCGGCTAATTTTTTGTATTTTTAGTAGAGACGGGGTTTCACCTTGTTAGCCAGGATGGTCTCGATCTCCTGACCTCATGATCCACCCGCCTCGGCCTCCCAAAGTGCTGGGATTACAGGCGTGAGCCACCGCGCCCGGCCATTTTTTTGTATTTTTGGTAGAGACGGGGTTTCACCGTGTTAGCCAGGATGGTCTTGATCTCCTGACCTCGTGATCTGCCCGCCTTGGCCTCCCAAAGTGCTGGGATTACAGGCGTGAGCCACCGTGCCTGGCCAAGTTTCGTCTTTTTTTTTTTCTTTTTGAGATGGAGTTTCGCTCTTGTTGTCCAGGCTGGAGGGCAGTGGTGCGATCTTGGCTCACTGCAACCTCCGCCTCCTGGTTTCAAGTGATTCTCCTGCCTCAGCCTCCCATGTAGCTGGGATTACAGGCGCACACCACCATGCCTGGCTAAGTTTTGTATTTTTGGTAGAGACAGGGTTTCACCATGTTGGCTAGGCTGGTCTCGAACTCCTGACCTCAAGTGATCCGCCCACCTCGGCCTCCCAAAGTGCTGGGATTACAGGCGTGAGCCACCATGCCCGGCAGTTTCCTCATTTGTAACAAGTTGATAAATAACACACCTTCATAGGACTATCGTGAGGATTTGGAGAGTTAATTCATCTAAAGGCCTTAGGATGCAGTCTGGCACGTTGTTGGTTGGCAGTTGGTTACCTACCACTCCTAAAGTGGAAGCCACCATAAGAGGTTCACTCACCATAGGAGGAAACCTTAGAAATAACGTTTTTTTTTTGTTTTGTTCCATTCTTTTGATTCAATTTTCGTGAATACTGTTGCCTCTCATTCCCAAAGATTATAAACTTGAAGACTGCTTTTCTTTTTTTGTTCCTAGGGCTGTTGAATAGCACTTTCTGTGATGATGGAAATGTTCTCTAACAACAGTGTCCAATACACTAGTCCCAGCCACCTGTGGCTCTGGGCTACTGTGCTGAACAGCTCAAGTTCACAGAGTTGGTAAAAACATGTTAACCCAAACGGAGACTTTTCCCTTGATGTAGTCAGAACTGAAAGAGTTGCAAAAGGAATCCCTTTTTCATTATATGACTCAGCATTATTGAATTCTCAGTCCGTGTGTCATCTAGAATCTTTGGCATGCCACACTTGAGAACGCCCTGTGATAGGAAGTTCATTGCCCTGGTGCGAGAATCCTGAGAACTGTGCTCCAGTTCTTAGAGGGGCTCTCAGGGACTGTGGTCCTCTATTCCTTGTCTTTACAATGGGGGACTGGTCCAAGTGTAATGAGTTATCTTAATTGATTGTTCACATTCAGTTACAGATTGGACTCCTTGTTCTACTCTTCCCCACTCTAACTACTGCACTTGACTGGTCTTAAATTTTTTTTTTTTTTTAAGATGGCGTCTCGCCCTGTCGCCCAGGCTGGAGTGCAAGGGCGCAGTCTCGGCTTACTGCAGTCTCGGCCTCCCGGGTTCAAATGATTCTCCTGCCTGAGCCTCCCACGTAGTTGGGATTACAGGCGTCCGCTACCACGCCCAGCTAATTTTTGTATTTTTAGTAGAGACGGGGTTTCACCATGTTGGCCAGGCTTGTCTTGAACTCCTGACTTCGTGATCCACCCGCCTTGACCTCCCAAAGTGCTGGTATTACAGGCATGAGCCACCACGCCTGGCCAAAAAAATTTTTTTTAATTAAAAATAATAATAAAGTTGCAGGGATTGGGAGACGGTCAGAGTAGGTAATTTCCAAGATAACTTTTGGCCCTGATGAGCTGTGATGCTGTGGGCGAGTGAATGGCTCAGTGAGCACACGTGTGTCTCTGGATAACTGACGATTTGGTGCTCTCCTTTCCAGTGTGTCCCAGATGCCTGTGGCCGAGGGCAAGAGTGTTCAGCAAACCGTAGAGCTCCTTACCCGGAAATTGGAGATGCTTGGGGCAGAGAAGCAAGGAACATTTTGTGTGGACTGTGAGACTTACCATACGGCCGCCTCTACCCTTGGCAGCCAAGGTCAGTGAGATGGGTCTGTAGGATGGCTGGAACCAGGCTTGGAGTTAAGAGACATTTGAGTTAATTGAAGTCTTTCTGCTTTTCTGCTAAAGGTGGTATTCTTAAACATGTGGCGAGATGTGTTTTTGACGTCATTAATTCTTGGTTCTTTATCTCTTAGAATAGGGCCTTTGAAAGCTTTATTTTATTTTATTTTATTTTTTTGAGATGGAGCTTTGCTCTTGTTGCCCAGGCTGGAGTGCAATGGTGCGATCTCAGCTCACTGCAACCTCCACCTCCCAGGTTCAAGTGATTCTCCTGCCTCAGCCTTCCCAGGTAGCTGGGATTATAGGTATGCACCACCAAGCCCGGCTAATTTTGTATTTTTGGTAGATATGGGGTTTCTCTGTGTGGGTCAGGCTGATCTCGAACTCCCGACCTCAGGTGATCTGCCCACCTCGGCCTCCCAAAGTGCTGGGATTACAGGCGTGAGCCACTGTGCCCGGCCACTTTATTTTATTTTATTTTATTTTATTTTATTTTATTTATTTTTTTGAGATAGGGTTTTGCTCAGTCTCCCAGGCTGGAGTGCAGTGGCATGATCACAGCTCACTGACTGCAGCCTCGACCCTTGGGCTCAAGTGATCCTTCCACCTTGGCCTCCTGAGTAGCTGAGACCACAGGCATGAGCCACCACGCCTGGCTAATATTTTAAATTTTTTGTAGAGACAGGGTCTCCCTATGTTGACCAGGCTGGTTTTGAATTCCTGGCCTCAAGGGATTATCTGGCCTCAGCTTCCCAAAGTACTGGGATTATAGGTATGAGCCACCACTCCTGGCTAAAGCTTTATTGAGGTATAGTTGATACACAAGTAGTTGTACACATCTAATGCATACATCTTAATGAGTTTGGATATATGCATACACCTATGATACTATCACCAAAACCAAGGTACTAAACATATCCATTACAACCCAAAATTTCTTTGTATGTGAGTATTTATGTGTGTGTGTGTTTTGAGACGGAGTCTGGCTCTGTCGCCCAGGCTGGAGTGCAGTGGCGCAATCTCGGCTCACTGCAAGCTCCGCCTCCAGGGTTCACGCCATTTTCCTGCCTCAGCCTCCCAAGTAGCTGGGACTACAGGCACCTGCCACTACGCTGGGCTAATTTTTTGTATTTTTAGTAGAGACGGGGTTTCACCGTGTTAGCCAGGATGGTCTTGATCTCCTGACCTTGTGATCCACCCGCCTCGGCCTCCCGAAGTGCTGGGATTATAGGCGTGAGCCACCGCGCCCAGCGTGTGTGTTTTTAAGAGATAGAGTCTTGCTCTGTTGACCAGGCTGAAGTGCTTTGGTGTCTCATAGCTCACTGCAGCCTCAAATTCCTGGGGTCAGTTGATCCTCCCACCTTAGCCTCCTGAGTAGCTGAAACTACAGGCATGTGCCACCATGCCTGGCTGATTTTTTTACTTTTGGGTGTGGTCATGGGAGTGTCTTACTATGCTGCCCAAATTGATCTCAAACTCCTAGCCACAAGCCATCCTCCCACCTCAGCCTCTCAAGTAGCTGGTGTCAAACTCCTGAGCTCAAGGGATCTGCCAACATAGGCCTCCCAAAGTGCTGAGATGACAGGCATGAGCCACCATGCCTGGCCCTTGTGTTCTTTGAGTGCTTTTTGTTTTGTGCAGTTTCTAAAAGCAGTGTTTCTCAGGGTTAATCACTGACTAACCATGTCAGAATCACCTGGGATACTTGTTAGAGTTCCAGATTTCCTGGCCCTGTTTACTGATTGACTGCTGCTGTAG
This sequence comes from Homo sapiens, assembly GCF_000001405.40. NCBI lineage: Eukaryota > Metazoa > Chordata > Mammalia > Primates > Hominidae > Homo > Homo sapiens. Next base: position 41,915,000 of record NC_000006.12, on the reverse strand, counting down.
GCCACATAATCTACATTTAACAATCCAGACAATCCTTATGCACTCTGAAATTTGAGAAAGACTTGTTTTAGGCCCAGAAGTCTTTGTTTATGATTCTTTTAGAGCTTTAGGGTTTCTAGAAGTTTGTGTTTAGAGTTCCCGTTTTCTTACACCTAACCATTGGCCTTGACCTCCTCATTAGCATAAATCAATTGTTCTTTTTAGCGTTTTGAGTGATGAGATGGGGTGTGGATGATGGGGGATGATGGCTGGGAGGGAGAGAGGACTTTTTTTTTTTTTCTTTTTAGAGTGAGAGTCTCACTTCGTTGCCCGGCTGTACAGTAGCATGATCACAGCTCACTGCAAGCTCTAACTCCTGGGCTTAGGCAATGAGAGAGACTCTTTGGATATGAGTTAGGGAACTTGTTTGTCTTAGTCTTGGCTCTGCAGTAACTTAACCTTGAACAGTTCCATGGCACAGTGTTTATCACTGGGGAACCAGAGTCCTGAGTCCTGGCTTTGCCACATTCTAACTGTGTACCTGTAGGTAACTCCCACAACCTATCTGTTACTGTTTCCATGCCACTCATGTACCTGTTTCCCTTAGATCCATTTCCTGCACTTTCCCTGTAAGCTGTATTTTCCAGGCTCTCTACTAGTTAGCTTTGGTTATTGAGAGGCACCAGAGAAGATTAGAGGATGGGAGAAAGGAAGCCCACAGTGTTCCTCTCCCTCTGCTCTGGGCAGTGTCTCTAGCCATGGCTGTGTCTTCACCTCCTTGGTTCTAGCTTCTGCTAGGCAGCCCTCATTCCTGCCTCCGACAACAGCACATATTTTCTTTTTCCTCTAGCCCTAGGGATGGTAGTAGTTTCCTGTGTTGCTAATCTTTGGGTTGTGCCACCATCCTGTTTGGTTTTGCCTTTCTTCCAACCCGTGTATTTGTTCCCTGTATACATTTCTTGTACCAAAACTATCTGACATGGGCTCTTTTTGGACTCTTCCCAGTACAGTTCTCTCATCTATAAAATGAAGATAATCATAGTACTTCTCTCCTCATGTTGTGCTAAGTAAGTTAATACATACAAAGCATTTAGAACTGAGATTGTCATGTAATTTTTTTTTTGAGACGGAGTTTTGTTCTTGTTGCCCAGGCTGGAGTGCAATGGCACAGTCTCGTCTCACTGCAACCTCCACCTCCCAAGTTCAAGCAATTCTCCTGCCTCAGCCTCCCGAGTAGCTGGGACTACAGGTGCGCTCCACCACGCCTGGCTCATTTTTGTATTTTTAGTAGAGATGGGGTTTCACCATGTTGGCCAGGCTGGTCTTGAACTCCTGACCTTGTGATCCGCCCACCTTGGCCTCCCAAAGTGCTAGGATTACAGGCATGAGCCACTGCACCCAGCCTGTCATGTAATATTTAAAGTAATATTTAGTAGCTAAGAGTTGTACTGAGCTCTTTTATCATTGTTGATAAAATTGAAGTTACCATTTGTGTTGCCTTCAATATGAAGGAAGTAAGAATCAAGAGATAATTACAAAAGCATTTGGGTAATAAAACATTTGGATATAGATATGAGATGGCATATGACTTCTAGTGAAACTACCTGGTGTGGGCTGAGCAGGCCCTCACTTTCAAGAAGCCACAGTCTAGTTGGGGAGACAGCACGCCTTCATGGCAGGCAGGAAAGAGCAATAAACTTGGGGTGAGCATGCCTGGATTGGAGCTTCAGTTTTGCTGGTTACTGGCTCTGTGCCTTTAGATCAGTGATTCTCACACTTGACCAGCATTAGCATCATCTGAAAGGCTTGTTACCACACAGATTGCTAGACCCCACGCCAAAGTTTCTGACTTAGTAGTTTGGAGGAGAGTAGACAATAATTTGCATTTCCCCCCACCTTTTTTTTTTTTTTTTTGAGACAGGGTCTCTCTGTCACCCAGGCTGGAGTGCAATGGCATGATCATAGCTCACTATTGCCTCGACCTGCCGGGCTCAAGTGATCCTCCAGCCCCAGCATCCTAAATAGCTGGGGCCACAGGTGCGTGCCACTATACCTGGCTAACTTTTTGATTTTTTTTGTAGAGTCAAGGTCTCCCTATGTTGCCCAGGCTGGTCTCAAACTCCTGGGCTCAAGCGATCTTCCCCGCCTTGGCCTCCTGAAGTGTTGAGATTACAGGCATGAGCGCCCTGGCTGTAATTTGCATTTCTAATAAGTTCCCAGGTGGTTCTGCTACTGCTGCTGCTCTGGGATCCAATTGGCTTCATTTTCCTCATCTTTAGAAAGGGGATAGTAAACCTGGTTCTGCTTGCTTCACAAGGTGGTACAGACATGAAAGGATTTTGCTGTGATAGAAAATACGATTGTCGTCTGGGCGCGGTGGCTCATGCCTGGAATCCCAGCATTTTGGGAGGCCGAGGCGGGCAGATCACCTGAGGTCAGGAGCTTGAGACCAGCCTGGTCAACATGGGGAAACCCTGTCTCTACTAAAAATACAAATATTAGCCAGGCATGGTGGCAGGCACCTGTAATCCCAGCTACTCAGGAGTCTGAGGCAGGAGAATCGTTTGAACTTGGGAGGCAGAGGCTGCAGTGAGCCCAGATCATGCCATTGCACTCCAGCCTGGACAACAGAGCTAGACTCCATCTCCAAAAAAAAAAAAAAAAAAAAAGTACTATGGTCAGCTGAGTGCAGTGGCTCATACCTGTGAATCCCAGCACTTTGGGAGGTAGAGGTGAGAGGATTGCTTGAGCCTAGGAGTTTGAGACCAGCCTAGGCAAGATGGTAAGACCTCATCTTTACAAAAAAAAAAAAAAAAAAAAAAGGTGGGCATGGTGGTCCCAGCTACATGGGACACTGAGGCAGAAGGATTGCTTGGGCTCAGGAGGTTGAGGCTTCAGTGAGCTGTGTTCATGCCACTACACTCCAGCCTAGGTGACAGAGCAACACCGTGTCTCAAAAAAAAAAAAAGAAGAAAAGGAAAATGTTATTGTCCATAACAACTAGAAGTGCCTTCTTCATTAAGCGCACACACACACCCCTTAGTTGACTTTTAAGATATTTCCAAGGCAGTAACACTTGTAGACTCATATAGTATGAATAAAGTATGCAATTACAGTGAGTAGACAGAACAGAATGACGAGGTCGGCTTTGGATGGATTTTTTTCTTCAGAGTCGAGAAGTTTGGAACTGGATTTAGAATGAGGTGACAGGTGTGAATTGTCAGCAAGCAGTCAGGAGGAGGGATGTGGCCTGGAGGATCTGTGCAGAGCCTGCTGTGTTCACGCACAGCAGCCTGTATAGGGAAGCCATATGACCTCTGCTCTCGCCGCCCTCGCACCCTTTTCAGTTGCACACTCTTACCCCCGTCTAGAATGTCTTCTTTCCTTTGTGTGGCTGGATCCTACCTTCTCTTCATATTGCAGTTCAAATCCTACTTTTTTTTCCTGCTGACTTGTTCATTTTAATCTTTTCCTATCCTGAAGTCTTTCCTTTTTCCGAAAGACTTGTGGTCTTTCCTCGGTAATAACTTGTTTTATTTTGTGGTCTTTCAAAAAGTTTTTAGCCTATCTCAGCTGGGCGTGGCGGCTCATGCCTGGAATCCCAGCCCTTTCGGAGGCTGAGGCGGGCAGATCACCTGAGGTCAGGAGTTCAAGACCAGCCTGGCCAACATGGTGAAACCCCGTCTCTACTAAAAATACAAAAATTAGCCAGGTGTGGTGGCTCACACCTATAATCCCAGCTACTCAGGAGGCTGAGGCAAGAGAATCACTTGAACCTAAGAGGTGGAGGTTGCAGTGAGCCAAGATTGCACCATTGCACTACAGCCTGGGCGACAGAGTGAGACTCTGTCTCAAAAAAAAAAAAAAGTTTTTAGCCTATCTCTCTCATGAGATTGTCAGCTTTTTTTTTTTTTTGAGATGGAGTCTCGCTGTCACCCAGGCTGGAGTGCAGTGGCACGATCTCGGCTCACTGCAACCTCTGCCTCTTGGGTTCAAGCGCTTCTCCTGCCTCAGCCTCCCGAGTAGCTGGGATTACAGGCGCATGCCACCATGCCTGGCTAATTTCTGTGTTTTTAGTAGACACGAGGTTTTACCATGTTGGCCAGGCTGGTCTCGAACTCCTGACCTCAAGTGATCCACCCACCTTGGCCTCCCAAAGTGCTGGGATTACAGGTGTGAGCCACTGTGCCCAGCCTGATTGTCAGCTTCTTGAAGTCAGGGGCTAAGTCCTCTGCTTGTACATCTCTGAAGCCCTAAGAAAAGTGTTGGGAATGGCTTATATATGTAATAAGCATGTGGGATTGTGGCAGTCTATCCATTAATTCTTGTAGCGTATGAAAGAGGAATCTTGCTTTCCAGTTTTTACCTTTTTTTTTCTTTTTTTTTTTTGGAGATAGAGTATTGCTCTGTTGCCCAGACTGGAGTGCAGTGACACGCTCTCAACTCACTGCAACCTCTGCCTCCTGGGTTCAGGTGATTCTCGTGCCTCAGCCTCCCCAGTAGCTGGGATTACAGGCGTGCACCGCCACACCCAGATAATTTTTGTATTTTTAGTAGAGACATGTTTTCACCATGTTGATCAGGCCGGTCTGGAACTCCTGACCTCAAGTGATCCACCCGCCTCAGCCTCCCAAAGTGTTGGGATTACGGGTGGGAGCCACTGTGCCCAGCCCTGCCTTCTTTTGTTTTCTACTTAACTAAATGTGTATAGCTTTCCATTTTTATTGCAAATAGCCTATGGAAATAAATGAGAAAACTCATATTTTAGAGACTGGAAGGGGTGAGCTGGGGCTTGAAAGTTGATCTTCTGATCCAGATCCTGAGGTCTCTCTGCTGTAGTGTGCTGCTTGCTTCCCAAGTTGGCTAGACTTCTAAAAATTCTCCAACGGTTTGCCATTGGTTTCAGGATACAGTCTAAACTTCTTGAGGCATGGTAGATAAGACCTATCACAGCTTGGATCCCATCTACCTTTCCCTGCTTATGCTCAGACACTCCCCTTTGCTGCTTCCATAGGACCATTTACTAGATCTCAAAGAGGGAGGAGGCTAAGCTGAGGAAGAGTGTGCAGAAGAAGGGAGCAGCTACTTCCTTTGGCATGCCCAAATGCTGTTACTTTCATTTTACTTATGTAATATATGATAATATACAAAAGATTATACGTAAAGTCTGTGGGAGTTAGACTTTACATGTAGACCATCTGTGAGCCCACCACTCAACTTAAGAATTAAAACATGATCAACACTATTAAAGTTCCCTGTGTGCCCCTCACTGTTTTCTGTAGAGCAGGGTGGGTTTTACCACATGCTGCCTCTCCTGCTATTTCCCCCTACCTTTCTAGAAAAGGCTGTCAGTGAGAGGATTCCCCTCACCCCCAACCAAGAACTGCTGAGGTAGTGCCAGATTGCTGTCTGGCCTCATTCCGGGGGGAGTCATTTGACTCTACTCTGGGGTTTGCCAGTGAAAGTCTTGATGATGAATAGGATCTCTGTCCCTTGCAGGTCAGACCGGGAAGCTGATGTATGTGATGCACAACTCAGAGTACCCATTGAGCTGTTTCGCCCTCTTTGAGAATGGCCCTTGCCTTATTGCTGACACCAACTTTGATGTGCTTATGGTGAAGCTCAAGGGCTTTTTCCAGAGTGCTAAGGCCAGCAAGATTGAGACCCGGGGCACCAGGTACCAGTACTGTGACTTCCTGGTGAAGGTGGGCACGGTCACAATGGGGCCCAGTGCCCGGGGCATCTCTGTGGAGGTAAGACCTTGGTGAAAATAGGAGCAGGATGTTCTGAGGGGGCTGCTTAGCAAAGGGCTCTGAAGATTTTCCAGTTCTTCTCTTTTTTTTTTTTTGAGACAGAGTCTTGTTCTGTCACCCAGGCTGGAATGCAATGGCACAATCTTGGCACACTGTAGCCTCGACCTCCAGGGCTCAAGTGATCCTTCCGCCTCAGTCTCCCAAGTACCTGGGACTACACCCACCGAATTAAATTTTTTTTTTTTTTTAGTAGAAATGAGGTCTTACTATGTTGCCCAGGCTGATCTCAGACTCCTGGGCTCAATTGATCCTCCCATCTCAGCCCCCCAAAGTGCTGGGGTTACAGGTATGAGCCAACACACCTGGCCTCCAGTCCTCAATTTAAACAGATATTTATGCCTACCTGATCCCTGACTCCAAGGCATCTATGCTTCCTCTTCGTGAATCTTTTATCCTTTCTTTAATTATTCAGAGACTCTCTAACACAGCTGGCAAGTAGGAAGCGGGAAGCTGGGTTCAAAGCAAGCAGAAAGCTTCATTAGGAAGGGTGGCTTGCTGGAGAAGGGAAAAGATAGTCAAGGAAGGCAGGTGAGTTATGATATGGAGGGACAGTCACCCATGACAAGAAGTTCTGGAGCAGACCAGGACAACTCTTAGAACAATTTTCTGGCGGTGGGCCCTAAATCACATATGCCCATATACCTTTCCTTAGTATGCTTTAAGATAGGTTGGGAAGCAAAAATGTGCTTTTCCTTTTGACATGCTGTCTGCTTTCTTTCATGGTAGAAAGAGTGTTTGTGTGTGAGATCACTTCATCTGTGACACAGAGAGTGTGTGTGTGTCTGTGTATACATACACATATATAGTGACAAGGAGTGAGAGTGGCAGTGTAGCAGTGGCTGGCTTCTTTGGGACCAGGGAAAGTTCACAACCTATAATGTGCCCAGCACTGAGATAAGAAAACAAGTAAGCTTGCAGGTCTACCCTTTGAAAATTTGTGATTTATTTATTAAGAGTGAGGCTGAAACACACAAACTCTTTTTGAAGTTAGTCTGAAAATGCTATAAAAGAGGCAGTTGGCTCTGGGAATTCAGGCCAGTGTGAACACTGCTGACTTTGGTTGTGATGCTTCCTGAGGATCAACATTTATGTAGGGATTTAAAATGTAGAGACATGGGGATAGATAAGTCTAGGAAGAATCCCAGTTGGAGAAAAGGGCATTAGTGGTAGTTTCTGCTCAGCAACCTCTAGGACCAAGACTTCTAACCCTTTCGGCTTGTGATAGACCTTGGATTTGCTGAGACCCACTGAGGACCCGCTGTTTATCCTCCACATTTCTAATCTTGTAGTAGAAACACACTCCACCTGTTTCTTTACTTATTTCTCCTTAGGGTTGCCAGTAATTTTGCCCTGCCATCTCTCCAGTAAAAAATTAAGAGAGCAGAAGGAGAAAACCTAAGATGTATATTTTTTGGCCCATGACACACTATTTGGGAAATTCTTTCTTAGGGTCAGAACCCAGGTTGGTTCTACTTAGGGAGTAAAATTTGGTCTTGAAAAAAACTCATGAGCATATGTGTCCACTCTACTCTCTACTTACCACCCCCACACACATTTTCCTTCTCTTTCTCTTTGTTGTGTCTCTTAGAATTTTCTTGAGCTCTCCTTGAATCTTTACCCAGCATAGCAGGGACAACACAGTCCTGAGATCATCAAAAGGGGCCCAGATCTGCTTCTGGGTCCTCTGGGAGGGCTGCGGGTTGGCACAGCTCCAGGATGAGAAGGTCAAAGATGCCTAAAGATGCTGGGTATTGAGCCCAGTGTTTAGGTTGAATGTTTCCTGTGGACCAATACTGTGCTAGGAGGTGTGTGTCTTTAGCTCGGGGTTGGGGAAGATGGGAGCAGGAGGCAGGAGGTACAAGAGAAGCAGACCTTGTCTTAGCCTTCATTCACCCTCATTCTCTGTGCTTTTGGTTCCCAGGTGGAGTATGGCCCCTGTGTGGTAGCTAGTGACTGCTGGAGTCTGCTGCTCGAGTTCCTACAGAGTTTTCTAGGCAGCCACACACCAGGGGCTCCCGCAGTGTTTGGGAACAGACATGATGCGGTCTACGGCCCAGCAGATACCATGGTCCAGTACATGGAACTCTTCAACAAGATCCGCAAGCAGCAGCAGGTGCCGGTGGCTGGGATTCGTTAGTGATGAGCAGCTGCCAGCTGAGCTCTGTCACCAGGGGTACTCCACAGGAGGAGCAGGTGCTGACTTTCAGGTCCCTGGACCCCAGAAACCCAGGGTAGACATGGACTCTACTCTCCTTCTCTGGTTCTCAGCTGTGGCTTTTGTTCTGGGGCTGAGTCCCCTCCCCAACCCCCTGACTCTCACACATAGCCCCCCATCAGCTGTTTTACTCCGTGCCTTACTGGATTTGGCCTGTCCTCAAGAATGGTAATTATGAAGAGTGGAGAAGTTTGGACCTTGCCTCCTTTAGGGGAAAGGTAGGACAGGAATGTCCCTGCCTGGTACTGGTGGGGGAAATAGTCCGTATCCCCAACTATTAAGGATTTGTCCCAGGCCAATGGTGAACATGCTGCATTTTATGTTTGGATTGTGCTGTAATAAGAGCCTCTTCCTTCCCTCAGAGGATGTGGCTGGGCTTCTATCCTAGAGATGGAGTAGAAGGCACAACTGGTTTGATAGTTACTATTTTCTGACCTGTTTGCTGAAGTGATTTGCGAATTGACTTTCCTAGGGTGTTGCCTGAGTCCTTTGAAATCTCCTTCTGACATCTTTCCCTTCTGTTGTGAAATATGTTAAGCCACAGGCCAAACTGCTATAAGATCGAAGTTTGTTTTTTTCTCACCTAATAATAGAGAGGTAATCAGATGGTCTAGGGCAGATTTAACTCTACAAGGTTATCAGGAACTTTGTTTCCTTCTGTCTTATTCAGCCATTCCCAGTATGTTTTCTTACCCATAAGATCAAAGCAGACTCATCAGCTCCATATCTGCATTCCACTGGGGAAAGAGAGAGAGAAAAGAGCAGATTTTAAAAAAAAGATATGACTGAGCATTGCTCAGATCACTGTGGCCACACTTTGCTGAAAGAGATGCTGGGACATAGAACCTCTTATCTGGGCAGTCATGTGCTGAGTTAAAACTCAGGGATTCTGTGACTACAAGATGAAAGACAATTTGGTTGCTGAGATGCAGTTAATGGCTTCTGTTACATGGAGCTCAATGGACGTGCCCAGGAATGCTTTTGGCTGTTATTTTGCAGTTAATACCTCCTGTAACTAAAGCATTTGTTTATGAGTTGACTTGAGAGAAGGGCTGATCTCAGAGCCGCTTTGAGCTAAGTTGGATTAGTCACACTAGGAAGTTAATTCCACACCTTTCGTCTAAGTCTCAGTATTGAGGCCTCTCCAGTTCTCATGCACCCTGATCTTAGGGTTAGAATACTTGACCCTGATACCTGCACCATGCTTCATGGTTCCTGAGCTCTTTCTCCTGTTTCATTTGAGCCTCCAAACTACATATTTGGTCATATTGCCTGCCTACCCCATGCCTGCTGCAGAAATATTCATCCAGGTTAACCTTGATATACACAGAGATGGTCTTGGAGAATTGTGAATGTATGTACTGTATTGTCATCAAGGATACTGTCCCTTATTTGAAGGCATCTAAAGAGAAACTGTTTTCAGATCCAAGTGCTCAGATCTAAAGCCTCTGCAACAAGTCAGGTGGTGGTCATGTTTCCCTTCTAGTTTTGGCTGACAGGAAGCTCAGTTCAGTACCATAACTACAGAACCTGTCATCTGTATTTTTTGTTCTCACCCCGTTTTTGTTATTTTGTTTCTGGTTTTTTATATTGAGGTATGTTTTAGATATAGTTTACAAAAATAAAACGCACAGATCTTACCTTTTTGGCCTCCTGATTTACATTTGCTCTCGTCCAGGTTTATTTATTTGTATTTTTCTGTAGGCTGCAGCTTTTATGGAATGAAACAATGCATAGGCAGCATTTTGAACACAATGCATTTCCTGAAAATCTCCAGAAGTTGATCGTGGTAAATATAGACTCTCTAGACTTATGCATCATAAGGAGGGACTCTGTTCCCTAAAAGCTAAAAAGCAGTATAAAATCCCTAACTACACTTGGCTTTTATTTTGTTTTTTTATTATTATTATTACTTTTGAGATGGAGTTTTGCTCTTGTTGCCCAGGCTAGAGTGCAATGGTACAATCTTGGCTCACCACAACCTCCGCTTCCTGGGTTCAAGCGATTCTCCTGCCTCAGCCTCCCGAGTAGCTGGGATTACAGGCATGTGCAGTTAATTTTGTACTTTTAGTAGAGATGGGCTTTCTCCATGTTGGTCAGGCTGGTCTCGAACTCCTGACCTCAGGTGATCCACCTGCTTCAGCCTCCCAAAGTGCTGGGATTACAGGCGTGAGCCACCATGCCTGACCCTTATTTTATTTTATTTTTTTGCAATGGAGTTTCATTCTTGTTACCTAGGCTGGAGCGCAGCGGCGCAATCTCGGCTCACTGCGAACTCCGCTTCCCGGATTCAAGCAATTCTCATGCCTCAGCCTCCCGAATAGCTGGGATTAGAGGCGCCCACCACCACACCCGGCTAATTTTTTGTATTTTTAGTAGAGATGGGGTTTCGTCATGTTGGCCAGGCTGGTCTCAAACTCCTGACCTCACGTGATCCACCTGCCTCAGTCTCCCAAAGTACTGGGATTACAAGCGTGAGCCACTGTGCCTGGCCCACTTTGCCTTTTAGGCACAGTCTTGGCCTAAATTTCCAGCGTTTTTCAGTTTTGTTCTTTTCCTTCACATTTAAGCACACATTCGACCAGCTTTAAGTCTAGAGAACACCAGATTTAAGAACTGCCACTTGGGTACTTTTTCCTTTGTGTCAATTAAAGGAAATGTGTCACTAAAAGAAGCAGGTAATGTAATACATTTTTTTTTTTTTTTTTTTTTTGAGACAGAGTCTTGCTCTGTCACCAGGCTGTAGTGCAGTGGCTCAATCTCAGCTCACTGCAGCCTTCTCCTCCCAGGTTCAAGTGATTCTTCTCCCTCGGCCTCCCGAGTAGCCGGGACTACAGGTGCACGCCACCACACCCAGCTAATTTTTGTATTTTTCCATTTTCTTTTTTTTTTTGAGACAGAGTCTTGCTCTGTCACCCAGGCTGGAGTGCAGTGGCGCGATCTCGTGTTACTGCAAGCTCGGCCTCCCGGGTTCACACCATTCTCCTGCGTCAGCCTCCTGAGTAACTGGGACTACAGGCGCGTGCCATCATGCCTGGCTAATTTTTTCTTGTATTTTTAGTAGAGACGGGGTTTCACTGTGTTAGCCAGGATGGTCTCGATCTCCTGACCTCATGATCCGCCCGCCTCGGCCTCCCAAAGTGCTGGGATTATAGGTGTGAGCCACCGCGCCTAGCATTTTTTGTATTTTTATTTTTTTATTTTTTGAGACGGAGTCTCGCTCTGTCGCCCAGGCTGGAGTGCAGTGGCACGATCTCGGCTCACTGCAAGCTCTGCCTCCCGGGTTTAGCCATTCTCCTGCCTCAGCCTCCCGAGTAGCTGGGACTACAGGCGCCTGCCACCACGCCCGGCTAATTTTTTGTATTTTTAGTAAAGACGGTTTCAGCGTGTTAGCCAGGATGTTCTCGATCTCCTGACCTTGTGATCTGCCCGCCTCAGCCTCCCAAAGTGCTGGGATTACAGGCATGAGCCACCGCGCCCGGCCTAATTTTTGTATTTTTAGTAGAAATGGGGTCTCACCATGTTGGCCAGGATGGTCTCGATCTCTTGACCTCATGATCTGCCCGCCTCGGCCTCCCAAAGTGCTAGGACTACAGGCATGAGCCACCGTGCCCAGCCTACATTTCTTAAATAATTTAAGAAATACGGCTCCACTAGCAAAGTTGCCAAAAATAAATTGATGACTTGTGGGAAGGACCCATATGTTATCCAGCTCTTGTGTGCATTTCTGAGTGGGGCTTTCAGGAGTACTTTAGGATATAAATGTTTGTGTATGAAAGTGAAAGTTGAGGGCTATTTTTATAAATTAAGGGGAAAAGGACGTGATTATTCCCATTTTATAAATCTTACACTCAGCCAGTAAATGGAGATGCCATATTTTTTTGGTTCACATCTGATGTTCTTCTTGCCCCTCTAGACTATGTTCCTACCACTCCTTCCTCTGTTGCCAGATGCTTTAGCCCTTTTCCCATCTGTAGCTACCCCAAAAGAGCAGAAACTGGGAAACTTCTAGGGCCTTGCCAATGTCATCTTGGGGTACTTTTGCCAGAGCCACACAGAAATATGCTAACCTTGACTGTCAGCTGTCAGGGCAGCTTTAGAGCTCATTTAGTTCTCTCAGTGTAAAATGGAGAGGCTGTATCTCCCAGAGAAGTCATGCAGAGAGATGAGGGTGGAGTCAGGACCAAATTTCAGGCCCAGACTCCTGGCTACCAGCATGTGCCAAAGTACAGCAGCTGGACCTCCCTGAGGTGCCAAATGATTTTAGGTGGAATGTGGAAACATTTTAATACTAGTACTTCTGTCTTATTCTAATTTATATTAAGAGAAAAATATAACTAGTACTTTATTCCTTAGGATGGGGGTGTTTTTAAGAGTTTGTTTGTTTATTTATTTATTTATCAGTAGAGATGGAGGTCTCATCCTGTTGCCCAGCCTGGAAGAGTCTTTTCAAATGATCTATTAAGTTACAGTACAGGGGATACATGCAAACCTCAAAACCTGTGTAAGGGGAAGGCAAATACTGGATCTTGGGAACCACTGTAATCTACTTTGTGTCTAGTCTATTTCCTATATCCATTGATGGTTCCTGCCCTGGCTGTGCTTTCCTGTTGTCTCTCTTTGATGCTGGATTCTCTGTACCCTGCTCCCACACTGCCTCCTGCTGGCTTTCCTCAGATATCAAGGACCAAGTAGTCACATTTCCCCTACCATGCATTGGTGTCGCTTCTTCACTGAAGAAAACACCTAGGGACTGACCACTCCTCCCCTCCACCAGATCTACCCAACCCAGTGTGTTCTGAGGCTTCAGGGTAAGGCAGTTAGTGAAATTTTTCTCTCCAAATCCTGGAAGGTAAGGGTTGTGGTTAGAAGTTCCCCACCTAAGCATGTGCTCCAGGTGTCAAAAATTGACAGGCAGGACTGATATATGGCCTTGTGGTCTCCAACCCCATACCTTTAACTCCCAACATTGCCTTTCTCTTGCCACACCCTCCCTCTCCATTTCTGTTACTGCCTGGGTGTCTTAGGCCACAGACCCCAGTTACTATTGCATGGGGAATGGCTGAACCCAATTGCATTACAAGTTTGGGCCTCCCCTGAGAATTTGGTGTCTTTGGCTTGTGAGTACTCACTTCTTGGGGGTGGGATCTCTCCAAGATGAGTCACTATGATTGTGTAGAGCATTCCCAAATCAGTCTTTTTGGTTAGAACAACTCTTTAAATCACCTAGCTTGACCATCATTCAATACTTACATCTCGGCCAGGCGTGGTCGCTCACACCTGTAATACCAGCACTTTGGGAAGCTGAGGTGGACAGATCACCTGAGGTCAGGAGTTCAAAACCAGCTTGACTAACATGGTGAAACCCCATCTCTACTAAAAATACAAAATTAGCTGGGCGTGGTGGCGCATTCCTGTAATCCCAGCTACTTGGGAGGCTGTGGCAGAAGAATGGATCACTTGAACCTGGGAGGTGGAGGTTGCAGTGAGACGAGATCTTGCCACCGTACTCCAGCCTGGGTGACAGAGTGAGACTCTGTCTCAAAAAAAAAAAGAAAAAGAATCTGTGATCCAAAAAAGAGTCTCTAAAGGGAGAGCAAATCCTGAAATGGAAACAGTATGAGGACAAAGTTAAGCAGGTTTGAGACTGGTCCAGCCAGCTTTTGTGAGCAGGATCTTTCCCTGCCTTCTGGACCTTACATCTGGGTGTCAAGCCAGAGGATTTTCCTTCTTCATTTTATAGCCAATCCTTTGGGCCTTTCAGACAGTTTCTGGGAAGATGGACTGAGTTTTTGCTATCTTCCTATGTTTCCCCTTTTTCTTTTGAAAATAGGCAGGAGTAAATATATATGAAGCAATCTTGATAGCTACCTCTGTGGCTTCAGAGTTACTCTTCTGTTATGACACTCCATGGGGTCTGGCAAGTATTCTGTTGTAATGGAATTTGGCATAATGCATATACTTCTTCATTTTTCAGAAAAACGTGATTGATGAGGCAGAGAAATAGTTCCTTTCCTCTGTGATGAAATTATCAAGTTAAAAAATTATTGAAATGATTAGGGCAAAGTTTCCTAATTCTCTTGCATTCTCTGTTTAATTTCCCAACATAGACCCCTGCCCCACCATCAGATAGCACAGATTAATTTTTAAGATTAATATGAATTCAACTGAATCTTCTTCGGAGACTTTTAAAAAGAGAGTTTAGGGACCACATTTATGTAGCCTAGATTGTCCTGAAGTCAGAATTCAAGAGTAGAAGTCTTTTGTCATGTAGGAAAGGCAAGGCTGTGAATGTGAAGGTGACGGGTATTCTGGGGTGGCCTGCTCAAGGGAAGAGAATGCGTCTTTAAGAGACAGATGGCTGAGTGCTAGCCATAGCACTGGCCCTAACTTGCCACGTAACTTCAATCAAGCTGTTGTCTCTGAGTCTCATCTGTACAGTGGGAATAATGATGCCTGCTTTCCATATTTCATAGAGTTGTTGAGAGGCTCAAAGGAAAATACATATGAAGAATGTTTTGTAGGCAAGAAGATGCTATCTCTGCTCTCATGTCTTTTAATTTTCTATAATTTTTTATTTTTTAAGACAGAGTCACGCTGTGTTTCCCAGGCTGGTCTCAAACTCCTGGGCTAAAGTGATCCTCGGCCTCCCAGTGTTGGGATCATAGGTGTGAGCCACCATGCCTGGCCTAAGTATTTATTAATTTGCTTAAAGGTAACAGTAAGCCCATCACATGTTAACATAAATAATTTTTTTTTTTTTTGAGACAGAGTCTCACTCTATGGCCTAGGCTGGAGTACAGTGGTACAATCTTGGCTCACTGCAACCTCCGGCTCCCAGGTTCAAGCAATTCTTGTGCCTCAGCCTCCCGAGTAGCTGGGATTACAGGTGCCCGCCACCATATGACCTCAGGTGTTCTACCCACCATGGCCTCCCAAAGTGCAGGGATTACAGGCGTGAGCTACTGCTCCTGGCCAAAATATATATATATATATATATTTATTTAATTTTTTTTTTTTTGAGATGGGGTCTTGGTCTGTTGCCCAGGCTGGAATGCAGTGGCATGATCATAGCTCACTACAGCCTCCATCTCCCAGGCTCAAGCAGTCCTCCCACCTCATCCTCCTGAGTAGCTGGAACTACCTGTGCCCACTGCCATATCTGGCTAATTTATTTTTAGTAGAGATGAGGTGTTGCTATGTTGTCCAGGCTTGGTCTCAAACTTCCTAAGCTCAAGCGATCTTCCCACCTTGGCTTCCCAAAGTGCTGGGATAACAGGCATGAGCCACTGTGCCTGGCTGATAAAATATTTTTAAGGAAAAGTAATTATTTTTCCAAACAAAATTTCTTGAGAAGAGTAGCATTGTTTTTAATTTTCATAAATCTTTTGAATGTCTGGCATAATAGAAGACTGTGAAATACTCATATCTGCTTTTGCATTCAGTCTGTTTCAATGTTATTTTGGTTGAAGAATATGAAGAAAATTCAGCCTCCCACAGATGTGTATTTGGAAAAAGGGAGAAATATATTCATAACTTTTTCAGATAATTGTGGATATTCTTTGATGCTATCAAAACTCTGCTAAAGGTTAGTTGCAATGTGGAACCTCAAAGTATATTAGTGAACTTTTTATATTCCATTAATATTTATTGGTTTATTTTGCACTTTTTTTTTTTCTTTTTAGGGATGGGGGTCTCGCTATATTGCCCAGGCTAGTCTCGAACTCCTGGGCTCAAGTGATCCACCTGCCTCAGCCTTTCAAAGTGCCAGGATTACAGGCGTGAGCCACTGCACCTGGCCTTATTTTGCACTTTGAATGGATCTTTTACTAATGTGTGATTTTGTAGTGTCATGCATTGGTCATTTGGAAAACACTGCACATCTCCTAAATGTTGACACATTATACAGTATCAAAAAATCATATTTATTTATTTTTATTTTTATTTTATTTTATTTTATTTTTTGAGATGGAGTCTCGTTCTGTCGCCCAGGCTGGAGTGCAGTGGCACCATCTCGGCTCACTGCAAGCTCCGCCTCCCAGGTTCAAGCAATTCTCCTGCCTCAGCCTCCCGGGTAGCTGGGACTAAGGCACATGCCGCCATACCCAGCTAATTTTTTTTGTATTTTGAGTAGAGATGGGGTTTCACTGTGTTGCGCAGGCTGGTCTTGAACTCCTGAGCTCAGGCAATCCGCTCACCTCGGCCTCCCAAAGTGCCAGGATTACAGGCATGAGCCACCGTGCCCGGACTTATTTTAGTTTTGTGAGACAGAGTCTTGCTCTGTTGCCCAGGCTGGAGGGCAGTGCCATGATCTCGGCTCACTGCAACCTCTGCCTCCCTGGTTCAAGCAATTCTTGTGTCTCAGCCTCCTGAGTAGCTGGTATTACAGGCATGCGCCACCATGCCCAGCTAATTTTTTTATTTTTAGTAGAGATGGGGTTTCGCCATGTTGGCCAGACTGGTCTCGAACTCCTGGCCTGAAATGATTTGCCCACCTTGACCTCCCAAAGTGTTGGGATTACAGGCATGAGCCACCGTGCCTGGCCCACTACCAGTCTTATTAGAAAAAGTCATGGGAAGCTATCAAACTTACATTGGGAGATACAAGTCAGTTGTTAGAAATTCTGTTTGACTTAAATGCTTGAGTTTTATCAGGCCGGGTGCGGTGGCTCACGCCTGTAATCCTAGCACTTTGGGAAGCTGAGGCGGGCAGACTGCCTGAGCTCAGGAGTTCAAGACCAGCCTGGGCAACATGGCGAAACCCTGTCTCTACTAAAATACAAAAAATTAGCTGGGCGTTAGTGGCGTGTGCCTGTGGTGCCAGCTACTCAGGAGGCTGAGGCAGGAGAATTGCTTGAACCTGGGAGGCAGAGGTTGCAGTGAGCTGAGATCACGCCACTCCACTCCAGCCTGGGTAACAGAGTGAGACTCCGTCTCCAAAAATAAAAATAAAGGCTTGAGTTTTATCATAACCGACAATGCTATCAGGCTCTACTTTATTTTTAAGAACATGTCTGCCAAATATCCAGTGAACAACTAGTCTGTTAGCTGTTCTTTCAAATAAAAACGGTGTTCCATGAAGAAAGCTATTAATTCAGCTCCAAACTCAAATTGCAAGAGTGCTTTTCCTCAAGACAAATGTTGTACTTAAAAGTGCTTGATGCATACATACATGCATTTAATCACATAAACGTGTACTTAAATAAAACAATTTTTATTGTCTTCATCAAAGACCTCTTAAATGAAACAGGTGGTTTTTTTTTTTTTTTTTTTTGAGACAGTGTCGCACTCTGTTGCCTAGGCTGGAGTGCAGTGGTGCGATCTCGGCTCACTGAAACCTCTGCCTCCCAGGTTCAAGTGATTCTCCTGCCTCAGCTTCCCGAGTAGCTGGGATTACAGGTGCGTGCCACCACGCCCAGCTAATTTCTGTATTTTTAGTAGAGAGAGGGGTTTCACCATGTTGGCCAGGCTGGTCTCGAATTCCTGACCTCAAGTGATCCACCTGCCTTGGCCTCCCAAAGTGTTGGGATTACAGGTGTGAGCCACTGCACCCATCCGGCCTGAAACAGGTGTTTTTTTACTGTAGCAGTGAAGAATACCTTGACCTCTAGCACAACTTGGTGCAGTTGCCTTGATTTGTGCTAAGGCAGCAGTTTTACCCATTGCTACTTTTGTATCATTGTGCAAATATCATCACAGTGACAATGCAGATATGTCTCAGTATTATTAGGAAAATCGTTTTGATCTCAGGCACCCCACTATCCCCCCAGCCCAAAGGGTCTCAGAGATCCCTAGGCCTTTCCAGGCGACACTTTTTTTTTTTTTTTTTTTTTTTTGAGATGGAGTCTCACTCCGTTGCCAGGCTGGAGTGCTGTGGCACGATCTCAGCTCACTGCAACCTCCAACTCCCTGGTTCAAGCAATTCTCCTGCCTCAGCCTCCTGAGTAGCTGGGATTACAGGCACACGCCACCACGTCCGGATAATTTTTGTATTTTTAGTAGAGACGGAGTTTCACCATGTTGGCCAGGCTGGTCTTGATCTCCTGACCTCATGATCCACCTGCCTTGGCCTCCCAAAGTGCTGGGATTACAGGCGTGAGCCACCGTGCCCGGCCTCCAGGCCACATTTTTGAGAACACTGATCTAATACATGCTCACATCACTGAGAAACTTTTCCTCCTGTATTGCTATTCTGGGAGCATCCCTTCCATTGGAAGTTTTAAGTGGCTCCCAAATTCTTCACTCAGCAAAAGCACCTTGTTATGGAACTAACATTGAATAAGTAACAATCTTTCTTCTCCAAGAATTTTCTTGGGGATTGTTGAGTAAGGGAATAAGACATATAATTAGAGTTATAATGTTAAGAATTCCTTAAAAAGAATTATGTTAACTGTGATGGACGACAAAGGGAGAGCTAAATTCTGAATCTAACTCTGAGGCCTTGAACCTCATGATAAATCCCGACCAAACCAAATTGAAACACTCCACTTCCTCTCCTTCTATCAAACCTCTTTTAAAAGTGCAAGTTGTTAATAAATTGCCTACACAGCGCTTGGTCCAGGCATTGTAGTTTCCCCCTTCCTATTGTGTGTGGTGTTCTTTTTTTTTTTTTTGTGCTTACCTAGTTCTCCTGTTTACAGGTGTGTAACTTGAGCCACTACTATAGCTAATGTCTGTTTCTTTTACTTGTCCTTATATTTAAATGTAAGTCTTTATCTGCCTTAGCTATGTGTTGGGTGTTGAAATTGTTGATCTTATTTTGGGAGACTCCCATCCCCTCCCCCCACTACCACCCCGCAAGTAGTTTCAAGACAGTGCACCTAGGAGACTGCTTAACCTAAGCCTTTTGTAGCTTAGGTGCTGTTCTGTTTCCCAATGGACCACTACCAAGTCAGTCTGGTTTATTTCCCAAGCCTTACAATCTGCTGAACTTCTTCAGTTCCGGCAGCGATCCTCTAACTTGTGGGGGATTTCCATAAAACAGCTGAATCTCTCTTGGGTCATCTGTGGCAAAAGCCAGACACGTGCTCACCCGCCTGGGAGCCAATAGTAACTTTTGCAAACGCTGCCTCCGGAAACCCCACGGTTTGAGGGCTGCTGCTTTAGGAACAACACAGAAATAACGTCTTTTAACAGAATAAAACAAAACATACGGACGGGATAGTGAGAAAGCCTTTGTCCTTCGCAGTGGGGAGAGGTGTTAAAGGTGAACCGAAAAGAGTATGGGAAACTCATGTAAAATACCTTTACAGTTCCCCGGGAAGAAGGGGGCGGAGATGGGCTCGGGAGCGTCTCTGGCCCTTTAAGGAGGAGGGACAGACATAAGAGTCTGTACCTTTAAGAGTCTCTTTGTCTGGAAACCTTCTTATTTACCCTCCTGTGCTTCAACCAAACTTCGACCAGCTATTCACAACGTCCCCCTACGCCGCCGCCCCTTACGCCAGGCTCAAAGCGGCCGCGCGTTTGTGGCTGACCCTAAACTTTGCGCCTGCGGCGCGAACCCTCGGAACGGGTGCCGGTGCCGGGGTCGCGGCCCAGCGCTGCGCCGTTGGCGCAATGCAGGGCCTGAGGGGCGGGGCTCCAGCGGGCGGGCCAATAGACGGGCAGGGGGCGGGGCCGTGTTCGGTTGTCTCGCGCCCTGGTGACAGCTCGCGCGTGCTGATGATGGCGGTAAATAGAGGGGGCCGGGGGAGGGGACGGAGGAGGTGGGGAGGCAGCAAAGTGGGTAGCTCCAGGGGGTAGGGGGAACGGGGGCCGGGGAGGCCGCGACGGCCAGGGAGCCCATTCTAAGACTCGGAGGCGGGGATAGGAGTCTCCGGCTCACTAGCCCTCCCCTTTAAAGAAGCAAAATCCTCACACACCGGGTGAGGGGCGACAAAGGCAGCGCGCGCCTCGCGGGCGGGAGGAGCGGCGGCAGGGGGCGGGACCGCGGCGCCGGCGGGCTGGGGGCGCCCGGGGCGGGGGCGGCGGGAGGCGAGAGCCGGGAGTCGGGGCGCGCGGGCGCCTTATTTTGGCGGGGTGGGCGACGGCTGGGTTGGGGCAAAAGCGTTGAAGGGAGAGGGAAAGGAAGGCTTGGAGGCGATGAGGGGAACCGGGTTGAGAATGAGATGAGGAGGATTAAGGGGAGAAAGGGTTAGAAGCCAGGGAGAGGAGGAGTGAGAAAAAGCCAGCCAAGGAGATAGGAAGGAGGCAAAAGCCAGGGTGGGCGTTAAGGAAGCCGGGCAGGGAATGAGGTTAGGGCTGGGGAAAGGGATCCTGGGGTTAGGTGTAAGAGCAGGGGTTTGAAGGGGAAATCTTCGTAGCGGGTGGTGTTGGGGTGAGGGGTACCGGGGTAAGTGTTGGAAGTGGAAGACAAGGAGGGGCAGAGCTGGGGTAATAGTTGGGAGTAGGAAAGAGAGAGTGATTAAGAGCCAGACGTGACGAGGGTGTGAACTAGTGCGGAGCGAGATGAGCTGAAGGACTGGGACCAACGGTGTGGTGGGAACTGCTGGCGAGGTTCTGAGAAAGGAATGGGTTAGTGGGTGGGCGATGGATGTAAATTCTGTAAAGTGAGGGAGGGCAAATGAGACCTGGACTGGAACCAGGTGGAGTCAGGAATAAGAGTGTGGTGGAAGGGCGAAAGGAAACAGATAAGAGATGGGTGTCTGTAGGACGATTCTGGGACCAGAAGAGCTGAAAGGAGACTAGAGTTAGGGTGTAAGAAGTGATGGCCATCTGGGACAAGGATAACTGGGTAATTACGTTAATTGAAGAGGTTCAGCAAGATCCAAGGTGAAAACAGTGAGGTAAAGAGACAGGGCTAAAAGCAAATGGTGAGAGGAGCAGGAAGAGATGGGCCCCAGAATTTAAAGGATGAGATGGGGAGTAAGGGAAGAGAGGGGGCTAAGAGAAGCTGGGGGAGTCCTGATGGATGTAGAACTGGGGTAGACTGCAGGGGGGTGGGAATCGAATGTGCGTGTTATGGGGAGTTGCTCCAGAAGGTCTGCAAGGGTCAGGGCAGAAATGCTGTAGTGAAAGATCAAGTGTAAGAGAGCCTTTGGTGCAGAAGACGAGGAACCATGGTGAGTGAAAGGGGACCTAGAGACAGGGGTAAAGACTAAAAAGTAAGGGCAGAGGTGGGGGGTGCAGGAAAGGAATTCTTTGTTGAGGAGAGAACTGTGTGTTGAAACTGTGAATCCTTTTGTCCCTAAAAGTAGGAAATTCCAGAAACCTCTTTCTCTCAAGAAATCTTGAATCTGCTTCCACCCTTCATTGCTTTTGATTTGACTTTCCTGTCCACTTTGAAGAAATGAGACTCATTTTGATTTGATTTTTTTCTTGTATGGATGATAAAGTATAAACTCTGGGTGTTGAAAACCTCTGCATTTCACTAGTGTTGTGATAATTCGGGGAAAGGGTGTGCTTATTTAGGGTGTACTCGTGTGATGTGATAGTTTTAGTGTTGTAGGAGTGTTGCACCTGACAAGTGCTGGGCTGTGTTTTATGGACAGCATTTTCATTTTCAATGGAGAACGCACTGTTGTTGGGATAGAGAAAGATGAGAATCTGTTTCTTTTGATTAATCAACCAGATTTCTGCTTATTGTTTTCAGTTGCTGGAGAATGTTAAGAAATCATTTCAGAGAAAGGCAGATAACCAACCAAGGAAGTTTACTGGGGGAGAGATTAAATCAGAGCTGAGGGCTTTGAGTTCCTGAGCTGCCTTTAGCTTTGTGCGGGACGTTTCATGCTGTAGTTGGTAACTCACCCATTTAACAAAATGGCATAAAGAAAGGGAGAATTGTAGAGTAGTGGAGGATTTTAGAGTAGCAGACTTATTTTTTAGGGCAAATAAATTTATGAGTAATTTTGATGGAAAAACATCTCTGTAAGATAATACTGCAGCAAGCTTGGTCTTTGGACAGCTCCACTGCCTTTCGTGTTTTATGGTTATGAATAAAGAAGGCCAGATTAATACTAATTTTCTAGAAGCTTTTGATTTTTAAGACACCTTTAGAAATGAAAAGGAAGATAAGAAATTTGGGGCAAAATTTGGTTATTCTTACTTAGAATTTTGTTTTAATGATTTTTTTCAGAAGCTTTTACATTTAGCTAAGAATATGAATGAATATTTGTTTTGCATTTGATGGTGCCAAAGGATAGCATATGATTTACTTAGGGAAAAATTCAAACAATTGTTGAGAATCTTCTTTGGGGTTATTTCATTGTGTACACTCAGATGCACAAAGATACTTTTTTTTTCAAAGTTGGGTAAATTTTGGATTGACACTTTTGCTGGTGTTTGTATAAATAACAAAGATTAGGTTTATGACTTTTGTAGTAGTTAACAAAGATTAGATTTTGATTTGTGGATTTGAGCAACAATGGTTAATGTATAATTTAGAAAACTCTTTCTGCATTCAGCTACTGTGTTAGTGGCATAGTATTTAGTTTATGGTTTGTTTCCTGGATTGTATTAAGCAAGTGTTCAAGGTTACTAGATGTATTTAGCAATTTAACAGAGGATCTTGGTAAAAATTACTATTTTTGCCACTACATTTTAAAAGGATTAGTTTGATAATGTTGACTTTCAAGATGAAGAATAACTTTGATATGAGGCACTTGTTTCAGTGAGATGTGTGTGCATATTCTTTTTATAGATGTGTTTGGGCTGGCGTTAGTAGTAGGACGTACTCTGTATGGTATTGCCATGTTTATAATGTAATTGTAATTGTTTAATGCTCAATATCTTTATATAAGTGATTATAGACTTATTTGATATTGGTAAAGAAGGAAATATAAACTGTAAGATCAGCCAAGGGAAAGAGTGAGTCCTGCCTTTTGTTTCTGTATGCAACGGCCTTAGTGTGCTAAACCACTGAGTCTCATTGTCAATGGTTATTTCTCAGTCGCTATTTCTAAAACTGAAAATGGATTTTTAAAAATTGAGATAATACTATTTATCAATAAGGACTCCAATGATAAATTTAAGCTTTATTTTCATTTGTTCATCAAGTACAGTTCTACCCAATTTAACTTTATTTTGGTTATAATCTTATTTGCTAAGCAAAAGCTTTTAAGTTTATATTTTTAGATTTATTAGGCTGTACATAATTAAATGTTTTCCTGGTTAACCGTAGATTCTTTGGATGGGAAGAGACCTTGAAAGGACCTCTAGTTTATCCTGCAACTCCAGTCAATATCCCACTTAAATCATTCCAGGTAGATAAAAATTTATCCTATTTTTTAAAACAAATCTTCAGCAGTAATGTGGTAACCTCTGTAGATAATCTTTGCAAGCATTTAATAATTTCTCTATCAGGAGAGTCTGCCTTCTCTCCAACCAGCACATGTTTAATGCTATATATGTGTTTGTTTCCTCTTGCCCCATTCTCAATTTTTGAGTAAAAAATACCTGTGTACTTTTGTATTTATAAGACCTTAGTTCTTCATAAACTTAATAATAGTAGCCAACACACATATAATGCTTTTGTGCCAGATACTTCTGTAAGCACTGCAAATTGTAACTTGTTTACTCCTCAATGGCAATCCTGTGAGGTAGGTACTATTACTATTCTCATTTTACAGGTGATGAAATAGAGGGTCCTTGAGATTAAATGATTTGCCCAAGGTTATACTCAGACATTCCTACAACTATTTATTTGGTAATTATCTTATATTACAAATAATACTATGTTTTGTAACCCAGTGATACATTTAATCTTTATTTTAGTTCAAAAGCTAGAATTCTACCAAGTGGTGGGATGGGATTCCAGCCTTTGCATTTTGCCAGCAGAGTCTGTGCTCTGGTTTTGCCTCTGGCTTGCCTGTTGTGAAGTTCTCCCTCACCAAGTTCTTCTTCAGATTCAACACTTAACAAGTCTTGTTTGCCAATCTTTAAAAATTATCCCTGTAGTCCTGTTACTAACCTTTTATCCAGTTCCTTTCTAGATGAGGAACCTGGGGTAAACACCGTAACGATTATGTATAATGTAAAGATTACATCAAGGTTGTTGCATGCTTCTATTTTTTCATTCCAAAATTGTATTTACAAAACAAACCCAAACCAGTAAAAAATGCCTTATTGCATTGCAGATTCCCCATCCACCTTTTTAGCTAGAAAACTGCCCTGGACTTGTTATATACTATGACACATTTATAGTTGAAAGATTATTGCTGTTTGAAGAAAAATGGATTTTTTCTGATTTCAGATTTCAGTGCAAATATCCATAAGCAAAATCTGTTTATACCCTCACTAATTTTTTAGTATTTTCTCTTTATGTGTGCCTAAGTGATATACCAATTTCCCCATATATTATTATTATGATTATTATGATTATTATTGAGACAGAATCTTGCTCTTTTGCCCAGGCGAATGCAGTGGCGCCACGTCAGCTCACTGCAGCCTGGACCTCTCTGGGACTACAGATGTGTGCCATCACACCTGGTTAATTTTTGTATTTTTTGTAGAGACAAGGTTTCACCATGTTGCCCAGGCTTGTCTCGAACTCCTGGGCTCAAAAAATCTGCCCACCTTAACCTCCCGAAGTGCTGGTATTACAGATGTGAGCCACCGCGCCTGGCCTCCTAATACTTTAATTGGTTAAGTAAATTGATCCACTCGTTTTTTTTTTTTTGAGTTGGAGTACTGCTCTGTAGCTTAGGCTGGAGTGCAGTGGCATGATCTTGGCTCACTACAACCTCCGCCTCCCAGGTTCAAGCGATTCTCCTGCCTCAGCCTCCCTAGTAGCTGGGATTACAGGCACCCACCACCACATCCAGCCAAGGTTTTGTATTTTTAGTAGAGACGGGATTTCACCTTGTTGGCCAGGCTGGTCTCGAACTCCTGACCTCAAGTGATCTCCAAAGTGCTAGGATTACAGGCGTGAGCCACCGTGCCCAGCTGATCCACTCATTTAAAAAAAATAATTAACAATTACTGAGTGTTTACTAGGTGTCCAGCATTAACTGAGTATGTGAATTGTTTGAAATTTGAAACAGCCCTATGAGAGAACTTCTGTTGTTAATACTCTATTTTTTGGTGACTCTTGATTTTATTGCAGTTTTTTAAACATATGGAAAAGTTGCAAAAATGATACAAGAAATTCTGTATACCCTTACTCAGTTTCACCAATTTTTTTCATTTTGCCCCATTTGCTTTATCATTTTCTCTCACTTGAGTATTTTTAAACAAGTCAAATTGAAGAAAATGCATATGAAGACCTTAATTTTAAAGAAGAAAAGGGGAGAATGTTTTGAGTATTTCAAAAAGTTTAGTTTGTGTTTAATTTTAGTCAAATACTTGAAGCAAAGGAATCTCAAGATTGGGTTTAGAGTGGATTTTGTGTTTTTATGGTCTTGTCTCCTGTACATTCTGAGATTCTTTCACTTGTGAATGATGGGTTTGTAGGTCTCTCCCATTAGAAAAAACTGTGTCACAGTGTACCCATGTGTTGAGAACCTCCCTAGCATGTGGCATGGTGTGCTCATGCATGGATGTGTCCTCAGGACATGCTAGCTATGGAGGTATGGGTGATTATTGTGAGAAACAGGAGCCATGGGGCCTTTCAAAACCACAACCAAGAAATAGTTAGGTGAAATACATATTTTAAAGACTCTTATGTAGCTTCAAGGAGCTGGAAAAGATCAAAGTACAAAATGTATTGCTTTAAGAATATTGGTTGGCTGCGTGCGGTGGCTCATACCTGTAATCCTAGCACATTGGGAGGCTGAGGCAGGTGGATCCCTTGGTGCCAGGAGTTTGAGACCAGCCTGGCCAACATGGTAAAACCCCACCTCTACTAAAAATACAAAAATTAGCCACACGTGGTGGCACGTGCCGGTAATCCCAGCTACTCTGGAGACTGAGGCAGGAAAATTGCTTGAACCTGGGAGACAGAGGTTGCAGTGAGCCGAGATCAAGCCACTGCACTCCAGCCTCGTCAACAGAGCGAGACTCTGTCTCAAAAATAAAAAAAAAAAAAATTGATTGGGATTAATACAAATAAGTTTGCCATATTATGAGGGGGACGAATGGAAATATCTTAATATTATATTACCTTCCCCCCAAATAAACCTAAATTTTGGGAGTCTTTTCTGTTGTTGTGACATAAGGAAATTAAACTGACTCCCTTCCCATCATTTAATCTTCATTAAAATGATGGCCTGTCCATTTGATAAACTCGTGACCTGAAGGAGGTCCTCTCAGTTTAACTGGAAGGAATATTAACTGTATTCTGACAAATGTAAAATACGGCACTTGTGGCTGGGTGCGGTGGCTCACACCTGTAATCCCAGCCCTTTGGGAGGCTGAGGCGGGTGGATCACTTGAGGTCAGGAGTTCGAGATCAGCCTGACTAGCATGGAGAAACCCCGTCTCTACTAAAAATACAAAATTAGACAGGTGTGGTGGCGCATGCCTGTAATCCCAGCTACTCGGGAGGCTGAAGCTGGAGAATCTCTTGAATCCGGGAGGCAGAGGTTGCAGTGAGCTGAGATCGTGCTGTTGTACTCCAGCCTGGGCAACAAGAGTGAAACTCTGTCTCAAAACAAAACAAACAAACAAAAAAACAGCACTTGTGGGCTTCTTTTCCTTTTTTCCCCACTCTTTAAGCAATTATCAAAGCTGTGAAATATAGCTCCTTGTTAAAGCTGATTGTAGGCCAGGCACAGTGGCTCACACCTGTTAATCCCAGCACTTTGGGAGGCCGAGGCAGGTGGATCACTTGAGGCCAGGAGTTCGAGACCAGGCTAGCCAACATAGTGAAACCCTGTCTCTGCTAAAAATACAAAAATTAGCTGGGCATGATGGTGCATGCCCGTAATCCCAGCTACTTGGGTGGTTGAGGAACAAGATTTGCTTGAACCTGGGAGGCGGAGGTTGCAGTGAGCTGAGATTGTGCCACTCCATTCCAGCCTGGATGACAGAGTGACACTGCATCTCAAAAAAAAAAAAAAAAAAAAAAAAGCTGATTGTGATAATTAAAAACACTCCCCTTTCATAAGGATGAAAAAATTACAAATTGTTTGGAAAGCATTCTTTCTAGTCATGTGTTATTGTTTCGGAGACATGGGCTATTTTTAAAGACTATAATACTGTCCCTTTTCCATTCACATGTTAATAGAAGTCTGGAAAGTAAGGCATTCTCCTGAAATTTTCAGGGTTTTTTATTATATGTCAAATTGTAAACAGCATTCTGTGACAAGTATTTTCTCTCTGTCTTTTATTGAGCTAATTAGTGATTTACACTCTAGTAGCATCTCTTCCAGCTTTACTGTGTGAAAATGTCTGCTACTCCGTGCCTTCTATGCAGCCAGGGCTGGCAAATGATTGGGGGCAGATGTTGGTTAGCACATCAGAAGGATCAGGGATAAAATTTATTTTTCTTTTGTGGTTTTAAAGATATGTTTTAAAGGCTTTTGTCTATGTCTTTGCCCCACTCCATTATTCCCTACCCTCATTCAAATAGGAATGTTATGACCTCCGTAACCTAGAGCTACTGTTCTTGATTCAGTTTTGGATTGTTTTCTATCCTGTTCCCCACCCCCACTGAAACGTTGTGTTGTGGGATTTGGGGAGGATTAGCACGGCAGTCTGGCATAGTTTAGAGCCCAGGAAGCTGGTCTTCACTGCTCCCTCCCATCATCAGAATACAGAGCTTTCAGTCATTGCCTTTAGAACCCAGCAGTGCTTCTTTTGCTGGGCAAATTGTGTGAAAGATGGGAGGGCAGCACTGTTGCTAGTGAGTTAGGAGGATACTTTTGTATGATGCTTGTATCTATCCAAGGGAAGGATGGGCTCTACTGTTGTGTTAGCTTTTTCAAAATGCAGCAGAGAATGGCCAAAAGGTAATTTATAGCTTGGCTTTAGCATTTTGTCACATTGGTGTCCTGCTCTTTCCTGCCTCCTGCTCTTTCTTTCAGTCTCTGACATGGGAAAGAAGATGTGTAGGATATGTCATATGCTCACTTGGATGGACCATGTGGGTGCATTAAAATAGCAAGAACTTTGACTTTGAAATAAAGTCTTTAAGGATCAATTTGTTTTGTAGATATACATTGTAGTTGAAAATGAAAGGAAGAGTAGATAGGGGTTTACTGATTTATCAACTTTTTTTGAGATAGAGTCTCACTCTGTTGCCCAGGCTGGAGTGCAGTGGTGCGATCTTGACTCACTGCAACCTCTGTCTCCCAGGTTCAAGTGATTCTCCTGTCTCAGCCCCTAGAGTAGCTAGGACTACAGGCATGCACCACCACGCCCGACTAATTTTTTGTATTGTTAGGTGGAGATGGGGTTTCGCCATGTTGGCCAGGTTGGTCTCAAACTCCTGACCTCAGGTGATCTGCCCGCCTCGGCCTCCCAAAGTGTTGGGATTACAGGCGTGAGCCACCACGGCTGGCTTTGATTTATCAGTTTTGAGCCCAGACCTTTCTAGAATGCCAGGTAATTTATGGTACTTATTTTTGCAGTTATGGATATTAACTTATCAGGACAATAAGGTCAAAGTCCCTGTTAGAGCTAATTAGATTCTCCTTGACAAAAATTGGAGGTAGCAACAAAGAAAATCAAGTAAGAAAATGTATGAATTGCTCAATTCGGCCGTCATTGCTAATAGCTTAATGATCATAGACATCTAGCCCTTGACAGCGAATCAGCATTTATGAACAGAGGTCATCTCATTTATGTAAGCATTCATAGAGTATGTGGGACTATATTAATGTTATGTTTTTATAAACCAGAATGCCAAGAATATCCCTATAGATGGTCATTGCTAACATTTACATCTTTAACTCTCCTTTTTTATGTTCTAATACAACCACCTATATCAATTGGATGCTTATGGCTATACACTGATTGCATGCTTGTATCTAAAAGAGGTCAAAGGTCAGGTTAATAAACATTGCATATAAAAAAGTTAAATATGGTCAACTGATTAGAAGGGTCTTATAAGTAAAGATGAGAAAGCAAATACATCACCGTGGAATTGAATATACTCTTAAAAGAAATATTTTAGAAATGTGTGACATAACTTGAAGAGCTTATAACAATGCATTTCAAGTGAAAGGTAAGTGTGCTTTAATGAAGACGTCAGTCTCATCTGTGAGTGGCTTCATTGTCTGCTCCATGCTGAAAATCCCAAATTGGGCCCAGTGTGTAGTTTACCTTGTTATCCCAGCACATTGGGAGGCCAAGGTGGGAGACTCTCTCTTTTTTTTTCCTGAGACAGAGTCTCACTCTGTCCCCCAGGCTGGAGTGCAGTAGCATGATCTCGGCTCACTGCAGCATCCACCTCCCGGCTTCAAGCCATTCTGCCTCAGCCTCCTCAGTAGCTGGGACTACAGGTGCTTGCCACCATGTCTGGCTAATTTTTCTATTTTTAGTAGAGACAAGGTTTCGACATGTTGGCCAGGCTGATCTCGAACTCCTGACCTCAAGTGATCCACTTGAGCGGGAGGATTGCTTGAGCCCAGGAGTTCAAGGTTACAGTGAGGTATGATTGTGCGCTGACACTCAGTAATCTAAATCTGAGATACTGAAGTACTGCAATTTTAGAGCCTTATAGGCAGCTGTTGTCCTACTACAGGTTGCTATTATTTTCCTTTACCAGTATTATCATGTATACTAGTTAACATTTGGAATTTGTGGCCTTTCATTAGGAGACATCTAAAAAGGGGTGAACGGGTAATTTTTTTTGTTTGTTTGAAAATGTTATTCTCTGTGCCCAGGGAATATGGAATAGACATGTCACTCTGCACTGAATGCGTTAATCAGTTTTTGTTAGCAGCATGGCATAATGAGTATATTAACTACAACACCTACGTTGGCAGCCAGCAGTGTGCTTGTGAAATCTTTTAGAAAACAGAAATCTGGTGAGAAGTGTTCCTGAGCAGTTGAAGTATTGTTGGGTGCAGAGGGAGGGCGTTACATAGAACAAATAAAGTAGAAAAAATTTATCCTCCAAAAAGTAGTTGTTTCACCACTGAAAGCCATGAGACTTCAAGACGTTTTATCTGTGGATTGAGATGTGGCTGTCTAATTTATGTAGGACTTACAGAGTTCTTTTTGTATTTTGATTTTTCATTTAACTTTGTCATTTAAAGAACTTCAAGGTACATTTCCATTTGATGAAAAAAGTTATGTAAAACATTTATTTTAAGGATGGTTTCTCATTTTTTAGTATATATTATATGCTACTGTAAATTATTTTTCCCTTCCACTTCCAATTAAAACATATCTGACTTGAAAAAATATCTTCAGCAGAAATAAGAAAAGTTTCTATTTAAGCAGAGTTCTTGGCACTTAAGAGGTGTTCAATAAGTTTTTATGGAATAAATTAATGTATGCATGAATGAAAAATATTATTCTGAATTTGGACTTCCTACTCCCATAATTTGGGTTACAGTATAGCTTTGGTGTACAAAGGCCTTCTGTTCAGCCCTCATTCCCATGTCTATTTTCCTCCCCACCTCACAGGCACACTCTCTAATGTGTTTGATATGTCCTTGATTCTATGTGCATCTTTGTAAAATACTTACTGATTCTTTTGGTGTATGTATTTTTAATTAAAAAATTGCTCATTATACCACACTGTTGTAGAATTTGGCTATAGAATTCTCCTTGTAGAAATGCTGTAGATCTTACTCTGGTTTTTACTTTTTTCAGTGAGCACTATGTTTTAAGATCTATGTTATGGGCCTGGCGCGGTGGCTCACGCCTGTAATCCCAGCACTTTGGGAGGCCAAGGTGGGCAGATCACGAGGTCAGGAGTTCGAAACCATCCTGGCCAGCATGGTGAAACCCTGTCTCTACTAAAAATACAAAAAATTAGCTGGGTGTGGTGGTGCGCACCTGTGGTCCCAGCTATTCGGGAGGCTGAGGCAGGAGAATTGCTTGAACCCAGCAGGTGGAGGTTGCAATGAGCCAAGATTGTGCCACTGCACTCCAGTCTGAGTGACAGGGTGAGACTCCATCTAAAAAAAAAACAAAAAAAGATCTGTTCATGTGGATGTAGATTTAGCTAACTGCTTCGAGCTGCAGCATAGTATTCTGTGGTGTGCATCCATTCTCATAGTGATGGGCACCTAGGCTACCATAAACAATGATACCAGTAACAGTCTTGCACATGTCCATTATGGACATGTTTGAGAATTCTCAGGGACACAGACCCAGGAGTGGACATGTTTGAGAATTCTCAGGGGCACAGACCCAGGAGTGGCATTGCGGCATAAGTACTATGAGGCTGTTGAATGGTTGTATAAGCTTATACCCATAAGCATTGTGTTCCTATAACCGCCCCTCCCAACACTTGGTATTATCCACATTTCTAATTTTGGCCTTTTAGTAATGTCTCATTTTAATTTTTATTTTATTTATTTATTTATTTATTTATTTTGAGATGGAGTCTCGCTCTGTCGCTCAGGCTGGAATGCAGTGGCATGATCTTGGTTCCAGCTATTCTCCTGCCTCAGCCTCCCGTGTAGCTGGGATTACAGGCGTGTACCACCACACCTGGCTAATTTTAGTAGAGATGGGGTTTCACCATGTTGGCCAGGCTGGTTTCGAACTCCTGACCTCAAATGATCCACCTGCCTCGGCCTCCCAAAGTGCTGGGATTACAAGCGTGAGCCACTGTGCTTGGCATTTTTTTTTTTTTTTTTTTTTGAGACAGAGTCTCACTCTGTCTCCCAGGCTGGAGTGCAGTGGCACAATCTTGGCTCACTTCAACCTCCATCTCCTGGGTTCAAGCAATTCTCCTGCCTCAGCCTCCTGAGTAGCTGGGATTACAGGTGTGTGCCACCACACCTAGCTAATTTTTTTGTATTTTTAGTAGAGGCAGGATTTTGCCATGTTGGCTAGGCTGTTTAATTTTTATTTCTAGTTACCAGTGAGTTTAATCATTTCTTCATATACTAGTTAGCCATTTTCCTTTGCCTCTTCATATCCTTTGTTTCCTGTATTTTTCTTGTTGATTTATAGAACTCCTTAATATATATAATATTTCTTAAATCCCTGGTTGGTTTTGGACCATATAAATATCATCTTCTGGGATGTCATCTGTTAACTTTGCCTAGGTGTTTTTTGTTTTTTGTTTTTTGTTTTGAGACAGAATCTTGCTCTGTTGCCCAGGCTGGAGTACAGTGGTGCGATCTCAGCTTACCGCAACCTCTGCCTCCTGGGTTCAAGCAATTCTCCTGCATCAGCTTCCCGAGTAGCTGGGACTACAGACGCGTGCCACCATGCCTGGCTAATTTTTTGTATTTTTAGTAGAGACGAGGTTTCACCGTGTTAGCCAGGATGGCTTTGATCTCCTGACCTCATGATGTGCCCGCCTCGGCCTCCCAAAGTGCTGGGATTACAGGCGTGAGCCACTGCGCGTGGCTGCCTTGTTCTTTACCGAATGGAAATTCTTGATTTTGATGTAGTCACATCCATCATTTTTTAGCCTACTGTATTTGCCTTATTACTGCTTCTTGGACTTAGATCATCCAGATTGTCTCCCTAAATTTCTTTTAGCTTTATGGCTTTACATTTCCCCTTAAGTTTTTAATGTATATGGAGCAATCTTTGGATGTGGTATAGGTTGGATCCAGCCTTATTATTTTTTTATTTCCCAATACCATCCACTAAACTAGCTGAACCTTCCAGTTGATTTGTAGTAACACCCTTATTGTAAATCAAGTTTCTCACCTTTCTATTCTATCTCATTGGTGTATTTATCTCGAAGTTTCTTAAAGGGGGCACAGTTAGTAGAGTAGGTATGTTTAGCACTGCTGGGCCTGTCCACTCAATGTCAGTAGTGTTGCCCTGTCATTGTGACATCCATGATGGCCCATGCATTTCCAGACACACCCTAGATGAGATCCTGTACCATATCATGTTTATTACTGTTCCTTTCTAGTATTTCTTAAGATATGGCAGGATGGATTCCCTGTCTTTGCTTTTTTTTTTCAAAATTGATATAACTATCTGTGGATCTTTTTTTTAAATATTTAGATTTAGTTTATCTAGTTTCCTCCCTCCCCAAAATGTCCTGTTGTAATTTTGATTAAGATTGAGATTATAATTTGATTTAGATTAATTTACGAAGCTTTGGCATCTTTTTACAAAGTTAAGTCAGCATATCCATGAGTATGAAAGAATGAACATAGTATTTTATTTTATTATTATTTAACTGGAGGAACTATTGGGTATGTATTATGTTTTGTAAGAGAATAGTGTATTTTCTCAAAGTTTGAAAAGGAAGGAAAACTATACTTTATGCAGAAGCATAAAGTATAATGAACCTTCTCCAATGACATCATAATATGTTAAACATTCTTCTTTTTCTCTTTGCTGGTTTTATGACTATGACTTTTGAATATCTATGAGCAAAAACATTATTTCCTGCCCTTAATGTTTTTCAAACAAAGCCACGCCTACTATTTGAGTTTTCCAAATACTTTGATTTTGTTTTGCCTTGAAACTTAGACTTTTTTTTCCTTTAGTTTCTTTTTCC
Organism: Homo sapiens; assembly: GCF_000001405.40. NCBI lineage: Eukaryota > Metazoa > Chordata > Mammalia > Primates > Hominidae > Homo > Homo sapiens. The sequence goes on along the minus strand of NC_000006.12, from coordinate 41,881,519 downwards.
CCTTAGAAATCTTGATTGGAAAAATCATATTTTTAGATGTGATTTTAAAACATTTATTTTAACCTTTCCAAGAATCTTTTTGAATTTAGTTTTTATTTATGTTAAGACTATATACAGCATAAAAAGAATATTACCTGCCTTTCCCTTTCCCAACATTTTGCCTCTCTAGGGACCTCTGTTTTCTATTCTTCTAGCTGGGCTTTTTTTTTTTTTTTTTTTTTTTTTTTTTTTGGTATTTAATGCCATATTTCTGAACAGTAGGCTTATGCTTACAAAAATCTGCGTAGGGGCCGGGCAGGGTGGCTCACGCCTGTAATCTCAGCACTTTGGGAGGCCGAGGTGGGTGGATCACGAGGTCAGGAGTTTGAAATCAGCCTGGCCAACATGGTGAAACCCCATCTCTACTAAAAATACAAAAAATTATCCAGGTGTGGTGGCAGGCGCCTGTAATCCCAGCTACTCGGGAGGCTGAGGCAGGAGAATTGGTGGAATCCGGAAGACAGAGGTTGCAATGAGCCAAGACCATACCACTGCACTCCAGCCTGGGCAACAGAGCGAGACTCCATCTCAAAATAAAAGAATAAAAAATAAATAAAATAAATAAAAATCTGTGTAGGTTCTTTTCTAGACCTGCCCAGCTTTTATCCTGGGATCTACTTCCCCTCGTATCCTGGGTATTTCCTTTGCCTTCTTACGGAGAACCCCCTGTTTTCCTTGACTTGATATCTTTCTCCTTTATTGTTTATATTTTAATTTGTGTGGAGCATGTCCCCCAGAAGCTCCTGAGAAAAAGGTGCATGAGATGTAAATTTGTTTGGGAATCTGCATATATGAAAATATCTTTATTTTCTTTTATACTTGATTTATAGTTTACCTGGGTATAGAATTCTAGATAAGAGAATATTTTCTCTGACTTTATCAGGCATCACTCTATTGGCTTCTAGCTTCTGTTGCTGCTGACGAGAAGTCTGATGATGTTCTGATTCTTGGTTATTTTTTTCCTCCCTGGAAATGTTCTGAAATTTTAATATAATTAGCCTCATTCTAGGCCTTGTTTTGTCTGTTATGCTGGACGCTTGGAGGGCCTTTTCAATTTGGTAACACTTTTCAGTTCTGGGAAATTTTCTTGAATTTTTAAATTCTAACCAATCTCTTCCTTTTCCTCCTTGCCCCCAGTTTTCTCTGTTCTTCCTCTCGAACTCTCAATACTTGTGTTGGAATTTCTAGACTGATGAGTCCTTTAATTTTCCTTTCCTATTTCCCATCTTTTTGTCTCTTTATTCTACTTTCTGGGGGGTGTCTTGAACTTCATCTTAAGACCTTTCTAATTAGTTTTATATTTATGCTGTCATATTTTTAATTTTTAAGTTTTTTTTTTCTGTGAATGTTGCTTTTTAATAGTCATCTATTTTTGTTTCAGATGGACTAGCTCTTCTCTGAACATGTTCTTTCCTCAGCTTTCTGTAAAATCTGTGTTTCCTTAAAATACATTACTTGTTCATTTCATTTATTTTGATCTTTCATTTAGGGAATTTCCTTAAAAGTATAGCTTTGGCTGTTTTACTCATATTCAGGAGTGAGCCACGAAAAAACTGAAAGCTGGATTTGCCCAAGTGTCAGCTTCTGAAAGTTAACTGGTGGTTTATTCTTGGAGAGGACACCTCTAGCAGTCAGTATTTGTGCTTTTCTCTTGACCAGGTTCATCCCCAGAAAGAATGTTCCTATTATCTGCTTAGGGCTTACAAACCTGGCTGTATCATTTGGGAAGCTGAGTGGGGAAAATGGCTAGGGATGTTTCACCTTTCACGATATCAACTTTCTCTTAATCACCATCTTTTTTAGACTGGTGGGCCTGCCCCTAGTTGTGCCTAGTCCAGAGTCTCTCTAGTAATCTTTCCAGAGAACAAACCTCCCATCCTCTGCCCAGCAGCTGCTTGGAGACAGGGCAGCAATCTAGGGGTAGAACTTTTACTCCATTCTCCTTTTTTTAGCTTTGTCTGCTATCCCCACTTTCAGAGGCACTTTGAGTTTTTCTGGTTTGTCTTAGCACAATTCAGTTTGATTTGGGCTTCCCCTTAATATAGAAAGACCCTCCGTCTCTACATAAAACTAGAAAAAAAAAAATTAACCAGGTGTGGTGGCATGCACCTGTGGTCCCAGCTACTTGGGAGGCTGAGGTGAAAAGATAGCTTGCACTCTGGAGTTTGAGGCTGCAGTGAGCCGTGATTGCGCCACTGCACTCCAGCCTGGGCGACAGAGGAAGACCCTGTTTCAAAAACAAACAAAACATAGAGGCAGAGTCTCGTTATGTTAGCCAGGCTGGTCTCAAACTGCTGGCCTCAAGCAGTCCTCCCACTCTGGCCTCTGAAAGTGCTGGGATTATAGGCATGAGCCACCATACCTCTCTGACCTATGTTTAAAGTTAGAAAGCATTTTTGTAGAATGAGTGCAGATTCATAGTTGAGTAACTTCTCAAACAAGGCTAACTTCCAACTAAGTTTTACCACAGGCAAAAAACCTACTTAAATAAATTTTATGTTCCTTGCCACCGATTTAGGGTTACTAGAATTGCAGCAATTCAAAGCAATTATCTTGGGCCTGTGTGTTGCTGCTTCCTTGCTTTGTGATCCTGGGTCATTTCCTAATGAAATTGGGCCCTCTGTGCTTCATGCTGTAAAATCCTGCTGATACCCACCTCATTGTGAGAATTAACTGAGCAAGTGTACATGAAAACACCTCACACAATATGGTATCTAGGAGGAAGTATAATAAATATTCATAAATGTTTTCTCATTAAAATTATTGCTTTGCTGACAAAATTGCTATATAGTATTTATAAGAAGTGCTTGATAATGACAGAATTAATGATTTTAATGTATGCTGGCAGACTGAACTTTACCAATTAATATTTATTATATGTGGGACATATAAGAAGCAGGATTAGATTTAAGCAGAGTGATGAAGTAGCAACTCTGGTATATGCTATATAGAAGGTGATTTTTGTGGCTGATGCTGCCGCTCTACAAACTAAATGGGATTTGGTATTGTTTTTATTTGCATTTATCTTGGATGACTGAGGAGAATGCAAGCACATTCCTTTGCTCTCAGGTCACATTTTTTGGTGAGAAGGAATTCCCAATCTGGCTAAGATCGTATGTCCTTTAGTTCTTATTAAGCTGTCAGTTAAAATTATAAAGACCCAGATACCCAACACATTTTAGGATTCTTGAATTCTACCTGAATGATGAAGCTCTTTTATCCCAGCCTGCCCCAGAACACCTGGGATGTTTGAATATCAGTGTTTCTTTTTGCTAGAATAATGACATAAAGTCTTTGCT